>NC_000004.12:56593951-56920357 GCF_000001405.40 Homo sapiens
ACGTGTTCTTTGATACCTTGAAGATTCAGTGTGGCTGCTCAGTGAAGGAGGTCTTGGGCAGGGCCGCTCAGCGGCAGATCAATTTTCGGCTTTTTGAGGATGGCACACTTGGTATTTCTCTTGATGAAACAGTCAATGAAAAAGATCTGGACGATTTGTTGCGGATCTTTGTTTGTGAGTCATCTGCAGAACTGGTTGCTGAAAGCATGGGAGAGGAGTGCAGAGGTATTCCAGGGTCTGTGTTCAAGAGGACCAGCCCGTTCCTCACCCATCAAGTGTTCAACAGCTACCACTCTGAAACAAATATTGTCCGGTATATGAAGAAACTGGAAAATAAAGACATTTCCCTTGTTCACAGCATGATTCCACTGGGATCCTGCACCATGAAACTGAACAGTTCGTCTGAACTCGCACCTATCACATGGAAAGAATTTGCAAACATCCACCCCTTTGTGCCTCTGGACCAAGCTCAAGGATATCAGCAGCTTTTCTGAGAGCTTGAGAAGGATTTGTGTGAACTCACAGGTTATGACCAGGTCTGTTTCCAGCCAAACAGGGGAGCCCAGGGAGAATATGCTGGACTGGCCACTATCCGAGCCTACTTAAACCAGAAAGGAGAGGGGCACAGAACGGTTTGCCTCATTCTGAAATCAACACATGGGACCAACCCAACAAGTGCCCACATGGCAGGCATGAAGATTCAGCCTGTGGAGGTGGATAAATGTGGGAATATCAATGCAGTTCACCTCAAGGCCATGGTGGATAAGCACAAGGAGAACCTAGCAGCCATCATGATTACATACCCATCCACCAATGGGGTGTTTGAAGAGAACATCAGTGACGTGTGTGACCTCATCCATCAACATGGAGGATAGGTCTACCTAGACGGGGCAAATATGAACGCTCAGGTGGGAATCTGTCGCCCTGGAGACTTTGGGTCTGATGTCTCGCACCTAAATCTTCACAAGACCTTCTGCATTCCCCACAGAGGAGGTGGTCCTGGCATGGGGCCCATTGGCGTAAGAAATACCTTGCCCCGTTTTTGCCCAATCATCCCATCATTTCACTAAAGCGGAATGAGGATGCCTGTCCTGTGGGAACCGTCAGTGCGGCCCCATGGGGCTCCAGTTCCATCTTGCCCATTTCCTGGGCTTATATCAAGATGATGGGAGGCAAGGGCCTTAAACAAGCCACGGAAACTGCGATATTAAATGCCAACTACATGGCCAAGCGATTAGAAAAACACTACAGAATTCTTTTCAGGGGTGCAAGAGGTTATGTGGGTCATGAATTTATTTTGGACACGAGACCCTTCAAAAAGTCTGCAAATATTGAGGCAGTGGATGTGGCCAAGAGACTCCAGGATTATGGATTTCACGCCCCTATCATGCCCTGGCCTGTGGCAGGGACCCTCATGGTTGAGCCCACTGAGTCGGAGGACAAGGCAGAGCTGGACAGATTCTGTGATGCCATGATCAGCATTCGGCAGGAAGTTGCTGACATTGAGGAGGGCCGCATCGACCCCAGGGTCAATCCGCTGAAGATGTCTCCACACTCCCTGACCTGCGTTATATCTTCCCACTGGGACCGGCCTTATATTCCAGAGAGGTGGCAGCATTCCCACTCCCCTTCGTGAAACCAGAGAACAAATTCTGGCCAGTGATTGCCCGGATTGATGACATATATGGAGATCAGCACCTGGTTTGTACCTGCCCACCCATGGAAGTTTATGAGTTGCCATTTTCTGAACAAAAGAGGGCCTCTTCTTAGTCCTCTCTCCCTAAGTTTAAAGGACTGATTTGGTGCCTCTCCCCAGAGCATTTGATAAGCAAGAAAGATTTCATCTCCCACCCCAGCCTCAAGTAGGAGTTTTATATACTGTGTATATCTCTGTAATCTCTGTCGAGGTAAATGTAAATACAGTACCTGGAGGGAGTCGAAGCTGATGGTTGGAAGACAGATTTGCTTTGGTATTCTGCTTACATGTGTGCCAGTTGCCTGGATTGGGAGCCATTTTGTGTTTTGCATAGAAAGTTTTAGGAACTTTAACTTTTAATGTGGCAAGTTTGCAGACTTTATAGAAGCTATCCAGGAGACTTAATAGACATTTTTTTGTTCCAAAAGAGTCCATGTGGACTGTGCCATCTGTGGGAAATCCCAGGACAAATGTTTACATTTTGTATACCCTGAAGAACTCTTTTTCCTCTAATATGCCTAATCTGTAATCACATTTCTGAGTGTTTTCCTCTTTTTCTGTGTGAGGTTTTTTTTATCTGCATTTATTAGTATTCTAATAAAAGCATTTTGATTGGAAAACAAAACACAACAACAAAAAAAAGAAAAGCTACATCGGAATCCATGTAATCTTGTTTGAGAAAGATAGAAATTGATCCTTTCAGCTGTGATTATAGGTTACTGCAAGATTCCCACCCTTTCTGCTGGAGTGTTGAGAAGTCTGGCCCAGAGGTCAAATCATACTTTGTAATCTTGAACTAAATAGTGTTTATTACTTGATGCTTATAAGTACTGTTTTATTTTTCTCCCCTAGATGCAAACCAAGATTTCACTTTCTACCCTGAGTGCGATTGCAACTCCAAGAATTATAGAGCTTGCCCACCCAAGGATCAAGTTAGAGGGTCTGTGCTATGAAAGACAAAGAAGTGAACTGCCCATCCGTCCTGTAAGCCATCGCTACCTTGGTATCCTTCAGCTCACTTTTTGGCTGCTCTTAGGATGCTATTTTGCCTCTACAGGGCATAGCCCAAAGTCACTGGAAAAGAGAATCTGGGAAGAGTGGTCTGTGGCAGGAAGAGAGACTAGCTAGATGATAGGGAGAGAGGGAAAAGAGTAGAACACCAAAAGCATGGGCTTTGGAGTTCAGTTTTGGAGCTGGATTCAAATTGCAGCCTCGTCACTACAAGCTCTATGATGTTGGGACAAACTTCCTGAGCTTTATTCATTCAACAAATATTTGGATGCCTACTGTGAGCCAGGCAGTGATCCCAGTGAACAACTTGGAGCTCTATGCTAATCAGGGGAGACAAACAATAAATTAGTCAATAGATAATGTCAGATCATGCTAAATGCTATCAGGAAAATAACATAGAAAATGAATGACTGTGGGGCAGGGTGGTAAGATACTTTGCCTATGGTAGTCAGTGAAGGCCTCTCTAAGGAAGGAATATTTGAGCTGAAACCTGACTGGTAAGAAGGAGTCAACCAAGTGAAGATCTAGAAGAATATTCCAGTAAAGGGAAGAGTACATGCCAAAGTACTAAAGTTGGGATGCACTTGAAATTGGGTGGAGCAAGGTGAGCTAGAGAATTCTGGAGATAGCCGCCCTCACCGAGTGGTCTGCTGTGTTGAGCAATAACAGGTAAGTCATGGCACTCAGCACAGAGCCTGGAACCTTTGATGGCTTCCCTCCCTCTTCATCCTTGACATTCCCCACCATCAATTGCAGTGCCAACTTGGTGCCCTATTCCAATTGGGTTTTCAAAAAATATCTAATGATCATGTTGCCAAAAGAGGTGGGGCCAGTTTCACCCTGTTTCAAGGAAACTGAGGATTTAATATGGAATTCTATTAGGAAAGAAAACCATTCTGGGAATCAGAAACTCTTGGACGAGTGTCTTAAGTTTACTAAAGTGACTTGTGACTGTCAGGCAAATGACTTTATTCTCAGTTTTTTGGTATGTAAAAATGGAAGTAATGGAGATCTTTCCTTAATTGCTAGGATTGTTTGGGTTTATTTTATTTTTTAAGGTCTTTAGAAAAAAGGAATACCACTGCAGAAAATCATAGTCTTAGAACCCGAAACAAATCTGCACCAGTGCAATGCAGAACACTTTCAAGACTACTGAGAGTGGTGTTAGCTGTCCTCCCTAATTCTTTTGTTTGTTTTTTTTGTGATGGTGGTGTTTTTTTTTTAGACAGTGTCTTGCTCTGTCACCCAGGCTGGAGTGCAGCAGCACGATCATGGCTCACTGCAGCCTCAACCTTCTGGGCTTAAGTGATCCTCCCACCTCAGCCACCTGAGCAGCTGGGACTACAGGCATGTGCCACCACCCCCAAGTTTTAAAAATTTTTTTGTAGAGACAGGGGTCTCACTATATTGCCCAGGCTGGTCTGGAACCCCTGAGCTCAAGTGATCCTTGTGCCTCAACCTCCCAAAGAGCTAGGATTATAGGTGTGAGCCATCATGGCTAGCCCCACTCTAATTCTTTTGAGTGAGCATTTAAAAGAGAGTAGTAGATGTCATCCTAGGTATTTTACCAATAAAGCAACATAACAGAAAGGCAATCTGGTAGATGTGGTTTTTAAAGTAAGACCAAAAGGAGTCAGTCAGTATATGTTTATTCAGCACCAACTATGTGCCAGAGCCAATTTTAGCTTTTAGCAAACAAGTAATTCCCCTTGAGCAGCTTATATTCTAATGGGGAGAAATACAGTCAATAAACAAAGTGATAAATGAGCTAATGTGGGTGTTGACATGTGCTATGAAGAAGATTAAGTAAGTCCTGCAGAAGAGGGTAATTAGGCTGACTTGTCTTGCCTGGCCAGGGAAGATCTCCTTGAAGAATGTGATGTATGAGTCTAGAGACTTGAGTGAGGGAGAGGCAGCCAAGCCAAGGCTAAGGGAAGTTTTTTTTTCAAGGAGAACTAGCAAGTGCAAAGGTCCTGAGAGGGAAGGACCTGGTCCAGGGAGTCTGTGTGGCTGGAATCACAGGGATCAAGGAGAGGAGGGGAGGAAGATGAGGTCAGAGGGGTGGGGCAGAAGGCAGATCATGTAGGGCCTTGTAGGCCACAGAAGGAGCCTAAGTGATAGGGTTTGGCTCTGTGTCCCCACTCAAATCTCACCTTGAATTGTAATAATCCCACATGTCAAGGGAAGGACCAGGTGGAAATAATTGACTCATGGGGGTGGTTTCCCCCATGCTGTTCTCCTGATAGTTAGTGAGTTCTCATGAGATCTGATGGTTTTATAAGGGGCTTCCCCCTTCGCTGGGCTCTTACGGTCTCTTGCCCCCGACCATGTAAGATGTGCCTTTGCTCCTCCTTTGCCTTCCGCCATGATGGTGAGGCCTCCCCAGCCACTCCCCAATGGAACTGTGATTCCATTAAACCTCTTTTTCTTAATAAATTACCCCATCTCAGATATTTCTTCATAGCAGTGTGAAAACAGAATACACTAAGTGTGTGTATATATGTATATATACACAATAATATGTAATAATTATTATTATTTTGAAACAGGATCTCACTCTCTCACCCAGGCTGGAGAGCAGTGGTGCTATCACAGCTTATTGTAGCCTCAACCTCCCTGGGCTCAAGTGATCCTCCCACTTCAGCCTCCTGAGCAGCTGTGACCACAGACATGCACCACCATGCCCAGCTAATTTTTTTTGCTCAAAATTATTATTTTTTACTTTATTTTTTAATTTTTTTCACTTTAAGTTCCAGGATACATGTGCGGAATGTGCAGATTTGTTACATAGGTATACATGTGCCATGGTGGTTTGCTGCACCTATCAACCTGTCACCTAGGTTTTAAACCCCACATGCATTAGCTATTTGTCCTAATGCTCTCCCTCCCCTTACACACCCCCTGCCGCTGACAGGCCCTGGTGTGTGTTGTTCCCCTCTCTGTGTCCATGCATTCTCATTGTTCAACTCCTTCTTATGAGTGAGAACATGAAGTGTTTGGTTTTCTGTTCCTGTGTTAGTTTGCTGAGGATGATGGCTTCCAGCTCCATCCATATCCTTGCAAAAGATATGATCTCATTCTTTTTTATGGCTGCATAGTATTCCATGGTGTGTATGTACCACATTTTCTTTATCCAGTCTATCATTGATGAGCATTTGGATTGGTTCCAGGTATTTGCTATTGTGAATAGTGCTGCAGACACTTCTCAAAAGAAGACATTTATGTGGCCAACAAACATATGAAAATAAAACTCAACATCACTGATCATTAGAGAGATGCAAATCAAAACCACAATGAGATACCATCTCACACCATTCAGAAAGGTGATTATTAAAAAGTCAGGAAACAACAGATGCTGGCAAGGCTGTGGAGAAATAGGAATGCTTTTACACTGTTGGTGGGAATGTAAACCAGCTAATTTTTGTTTTTCTTTGCTTTCTTTTTTTTTTTTTTTTTTTTTTTTTTTTGTAGAGATGAGGTTTTGCCATTTTGTCCAGGCTAGTCTTGAACTCCTGGGCTCAAATGATCTGCTCACCTCAGCCTCCCAAAGTGCTGGGACTGATTACAGGCACAAGCCATTGTGCTTGGCTGAGCCTAAGTATTATTTTTAGCAAAATGGGAAACAATAGGATGGGTTTATTTATTTATTTATTTGAGACAGAGTCTCACTCTGTTGCCAGGCTGGAGTGCTGTAGTGTGATCTTGGCTCACTGCAACCTCCGACTCCCTGGTTCAGGCGATTCTTCTGCCTCAGCCTCCTGAGTAGCTGGGATTACAGGCACGGGCCACCAAGCCCAGCTAATTTTTGTATTTTTAGTACAGACGGGGTTTCACCGTGTTAGTCAGGCTGGTCTCAGACTCCTGACTTCATGATCCACCCGCCTTGGCCTCCCAAAGTGATAGGATTACAGGTAGCAACCAACGCATCCAGCCCAGCATGGGTTTAAAGCCTGGTAGCGATATGATCTGATTTGGGCTTTAGAAAGTACTTAGCTCATGAAGCTGTTGTGATGATTAAGTGGGAATGATTTAGGTAAAGCTTAGAACACTGTCTGGCTCACAGAACACACTCATTATATGTTCATTCTCTCCCTCAGTAACTGTCATGGAAGGCTGCATTGTACAGGAGCAAGGATGGAAGCAGAGAGACCAGTTACGAGTCTGTTGCAGTAATCCAGAAAAGAAATGATTGTGACTTAAGTAGGGATATAGCTATAGACATAGAGAAATGTAAAATTTGGGATATATTTTTGTGTCTCTTTGTTTCCACTATAGGTACCTCCTGCTGCCATGATAGCTAAACCTAGCCCCCGAACAATAGCTCTAGCGAAGTCCAAGTCTGTTCATCAAGATTATCTACCTGACCGTGATGCCCATTGGCCAGTATCTTATGCTACTACTCATTCCAAAGCATCACCTAGGATTCAGGAACTAGCTAATCCAAATAAGAGGTATGTCAATTTCAGGCTAAAGTGGGACAGGAAAGGCTGGGGTTCTGGGGAGAGGGAGAAAGTTGACCTAATAAGGCAAATGAAAAGAGTTGTAGAAATATGAAAAGAACTTCCAAAACATCTTACTTAACGAATTACATTTATTGTGATACATCTATGGTCTTCTTACCCTAAATATAAGGCTACTGTTAAAAGGTTAGTGGACTAGGTATTGCAACTTAGATCTAGGATGGGGCAGGTGGATCACACCTGTAATCCTAGTGCTTTGGGAGACCAAGGTGGGAGGATAGCTTGAGGCTAGGAGTTGGAGACCACCCTGGGGAACATAGTGAGACCCTGTCTCTACAAAAAATTCTTTAAAAATATTGGCCAGGCACGGTGGCTCATACTAGTAATCCCAACACTTTGGGAGGCAGAGGTGGGAAGATCGCTTGAGCCCAGGAGTTTGACATCAGCCTAGGCAACAAAGTGAGACCCCCATCTCTTCAAAAAAATACCAAAAATTAGCCAGGTGTGGTGGCATGTGCCTGTAGTTCTAGCAACTTGGGAGGCTGAGGCAGGAAGTCATTGCTTGAGCCCAGGAGTTTGAAGTTACAGTGAGCTATGATCTGCACTCCAGCCCAGGCAGCAGAGTAAGACCTTGGCTCTAAGAAAGAGAAAGGAAAAAGGAAAAAGAAACTTAAGATCTAGGAGACAGTCTGATAAGTATGTGTATGGAATTATTTATCTAACATATATTATTAAGTGAAACAGATTCTAGAACACAGCATGTAATATGTTGCAATTTGTGTAAGAAAAAAAGACATGGGCCATATATTTGTTTGCATATGCCTGTAGTATCTCAGAAGGGTATACAAGAAGCTAGTAACAATGGTTGCCTTTGGGGGCCTAGGGAATTGGGATAGGAGGAAGACTTATTTTTCAATAAATAGGCTTTTGTATTTTTCCAATGTTTTGCATCATGTACGTGTATGGCCTAATTCAAATAGATAAGAATATATAATTAACAAAGAAAAACATTGCCTCTCATTTCTGTTTATTTTTTGGAGGCCTCTTAACTTGCCCGAGCCTCAATTAATTTTGTTACCTTGACGGATAACATCTGATCCCTCTTTTAAAGCATCAATAGCAAAACCTAGGAGAGGCAGAAAAAGTTGTGGAAGTCTTGAGCTCAGGGAAAAGGAAATATGCTAGTCTTATATAATGACATGTTTAAAATGCTGTAATGTGTTTATCCTTTAAAAAAAATAAATTTGCCATCAGATGAAATGAAGCTCATTCTCTGTTCATTAAAGAGAAGAGGCTGGATGCGTTGGCTCACACCTGTAATCCCAGCAGTTTGGGAGGCCAAAGCAGACAGATCACTTGAGCCCAGGAGTTTGAGACCAGACTGGGCAACATGGTGAAACCCCGTCTGTACTAAAAATACAAAAAAGTTTGCTGGGCATAGTGGTGCACGTCTGTAGTCCCAGCTATTTGAGAGGCCGAGGTAGGAGAATCACTTGAGCCTGGGAGGAGGAGGTTGCAGTGAGCAGAGATCGCACCACTGCACTCCAGCCTGGGTGACAGAGTGAAACCCTGTCTCAAAAAAATAAAACAATAAAATAAAAAGTAAAAGAGAAGAATATGATCAAGTGCATTATCAAGGTTTTTATCCTGGTGACAAAATTATTATTTGGTGGTAAGGTGCTGAGAGTGGCCAACTTCAAAAATTTTATTTTCTTAAGTCTACCAGAGAATACTCTGGCTTGTTTTAACATTGACAAATTATGTTATGGTAAATGATACATAGGGGATACAAACTCAGGTCTGTCTGATTCCAAAACTCAAGTTCAAGACTAAGCAACTTCCTGAATTTACTTTCTGGGGAAAGAGAAAAGGTTTTGGAATCTGAGAGACATATAAATCTGGATTTGTCTGTAAATTCATTCATTTAACTTCATTTAACTGAGTCTTGATTTCCTTATCTGTATAGTGGAGGTCATGAAAATAAAATGGGATAATATCATAGTACATAACATACAGTGGATGCTTGAGAAACATTAGCTACCTTCTCTGTTCATCTTATTTCAGGTTGATTTCTTTTTCCCCTATTTCAGGGCTCCTGTGCGTATTGTGTATTATGATCCAGATGTCTTTAAAACCAAGCCAGCTGCTTTGAAAGCACAGTGTTCTCAAAGGATCTGGGAGTTGTCACAACCTCTTACACGTTAAATACAGAAAGCCACAACAGTCAGACCCTGGTTATGTATCTAGAACACATATTAGATGACTTAGTTCCCTGTTGCGGTACTGTCAGTTTACATTCACCCCTTGCTTCCCCTCCCACAAAATGAGACCTTTAGGGAAAACCACCATGATCATTAAATAGCAGTTGTTGCTGTTAACCTGTCGCTGAATCTTTAGCAGATTTGAGGACTCCAGCATGCAATAAATGAGAAAATGAGAGACTGCCTCATTATCCTTACTGTTTCCTCACAAGCATCTTGGCTGCCTCATTGCTGTAGCTGACCTGAAGAAACACTCTTCCTTATATTTGTGGGTTTTGCTTTTCCTTTCCCAGTGAGTTCCATGTTCCCCAGTAACTGATCCTACCTCAGTCCCTTCTCCAGTAAGTCCTGGGAAATGAAATCATTCTTTGTGTTATTTCAGCATCCCCTTATTACTTAGAAAAAACACTGAAAAAGTGAAGCTCTTTTGGAAAAATTGAAATACTTTTTATAGTCTATAAATACAATTTATAATTGAAATTTAGGGAACAGGTTACCTTAATGATGATGTCACCAATCTCTGTTCCTTTACTCATGCCAGAGTCACTTACCATGAATGAGAGAAAAAGCTGTTTGGTAAGCATTAAAATTCTCTGTAAAATTGCATCTGCCCAGAATTTTATTCTCTCTATAGATCAGTATTTTACAAATTAAACTAACTTTTATGGGGCATATCTAGATTTGCATGAAAATGAACTTACTTGAAAGCCAATTTTACAGATGAATGAGTTCTACCTTTAACGTCTTTGTGTTACAGAGGGGTAATACCACATAGCAGTTTTGAACTTGAGTTTTGGAATCAGATAGAACCTGAAGTTGTCTCTGTCATGGATTATTTACCAGGTATGTGATCTTAAACAAATTTCCTAACTCCCTGTGCTGCAGTTTCTTTATGTAGAAAATGGGTTCCTGCAGCATTCTTGTAAAGATTAGATGATAAAATGTATATAATAAAGTATATATTTGAAACAAAAATTTTTATTTAGAAATTTAGCTGTGGCTAGGCACAGTGGCTCATGCCTGTAATCCTAGCACTTTGGGAGGCCGAGGCAGATGGATCACGAGGTCAGGGGTTCAAGACCAGCCTGACCAACATGGTGAAACCCCGTCTCTACTAAAAATACAAAAATTAGCCTGGTGTGGTGGTACACACCTGTAATCCCAGCTACTCAGGAGGCTGAGGCAGGAGAATCACATGAACCCAGGAGGCAGAGGTTGCCATGAGCCGAGATTGCACCACTGCACTCCAGCCTGGGGTGATACAGCAAGACTCCATCTCAAAAAAAAAAAGAAAAGAAAAGAAAAGAAATTTAGCTGTGTTTCACATGTTTAAAGCAGCACAATTCACAATTGCAAAAATATGGAACCAACCTAAATGCCCATCAACCAACAAGTGGATAAAGAGAGTGTGGTATATGTACACCATGGAATACTACTCAGTCGTAAAACAAAACAAAATAATGGCATTTGCAGCAACTTGGATGGAGTTGGAGGCCATTATTCTAAGTGAAGTAACTCAGGAATGGAAAAACCAAACATTGTATATTCTCACTTATAAGTGGGAGCTAAGCTGTGAGGATGCAAAGGCGTAAGAATGATACAATGGACTTTGGGGACTCAGAGGGAAGGCTGGTAGGGGGGTGAGGAATAAAAGATTACATAATGGGTACAGTGTACACTGCTTGGGTGATGAGTGCACCAAAATCTCAGAAATCACCACTAAATAACTTATCTATGTAACCAAAAACTACCTGTACCCCCAAAGCTATTGAAATTAAAAATAAGAAATTTACCTGTGCTAGCTTTCTAAGGGTACAGTGGCATAATTCATATCAGTGGGGAAAATATGCCTTGATTCTTACATTAAATGAATGTCTGTTGAGTGTCTTTGCTTTGCCAGGCCCTGTGCTTGGCACTGGAGATAACACAGTGAACCAAACAGATATGGGTTCTGCTCTCACGGACTCTTTAGCTTATTGGGAGAGATGATTTCATTAGAATATTCACCAATAAATGTAAAATTACAACACTAGCAAGTACTATGAAATAGTGTTATGAAATAACAGAATAGAGAACTTTGATCCCATGGGAAAGTGAGAGAAGGCTTCTCTAATGAAGGAACAACTGGGTTGGATGCTGATGAAATGCCTAACCTTGTTTTTACTTCAACTCATTACTTTGAATTTTGTCCTGCTTGTCTCTTTAAATCACCTAGCCTTGCTTTTCATGTAAATAAGACTCTCTAGCTAGGAAAGCTGGGCAAACTCCAATTGGCCCCTTAATTTACAAGACACTAGGGCTCCTCACCCAACCCCCTTTCGTGAGGAGTTGGCCTGGGTAAACAGATCCTCAGCATTTCAAAGGAGCCCAATTAACTGATAAGGTACCAACACCAACAACGTATGAAGTTCCCAGGAATTTTCTCCAAGAGATAACAACATAAAACCTTGAGTTCGTGTCCGGCATAAACCCTATATCTAATTATAATAAAAGATTTAGAACCTTGCACCTGGTACCGTTGCTCTTCTTGTAACCATTTGTCTTTTAAGTTGTTTATCACTCTGTAACCATTTTGATTCTTTTGATTCTTGCATGTTTTTACTTCTGTAGAATTATTACATTTGAGTCCCCCTCCCCTTCCTAAACCTAGGTATAAAAGTTAATCAAGCCCTTTCCTCGGGGCCGAGAGAATTTTGAGCATTAGCCGTCTCTTTGGCCGCCGGCTTAATAAAGGACTCTTAATTCGTCTCAAAGTGTGACGTTTTCTTAACTCACCTGGGTACAACACTGAAAACTGAGTAGGACTAACTAACCAAAGAGGATACAGGAAGACATTCCAAGTAGTGGGAACATATGTTAAGTGGACAGTTGTTGATTTTTGGATCACTCTGAATTCATTCTTCCTCCTTCTGATAAGAACTGCGCATTTGCTCTTGGAGAATTACTTTCTCCTCATTGTTTAAAGCTTTATGGGGATTTTTATTCAAGGTTTCCTAGCCGAGGTATGGATATGTAACCCAAGTCAGCCACACCCATTGAACTGTCTTCTGGGACTGTGGATCTTAAGCATAGTGAAGCAAGGGTGATGGAGCTGATATTTCCCATATAGGTGCCCTGATGAGACTTCATTTTTCTCCTACTACCTGTGTCCCTGGAGCTGTTCTGACTCCTACCCTGGTGCTCCGGCTATTCCTCTGATGCCGGAACTGCCTTCCAGTAAATCCCCTGAGGCAGATGGAAGGATGCATCAGGGACTGAAAGATTGCCAGTGTGGCTCAAACAGAAAGAAATAGGAGGTTGTGTGAAGCAAGAGGAGGCTGAAGGATGGGAGCCAGACCAGACCACGTAGGGCACTGGAGGACAGGTTAAGGATTTTAGTCTTCATCCTAAAACCAAAGGGAAGCTATTGAAGTAATTTAAGCATGGGGTGATGTGATCAGAGTTGGCTTTTGAAGTAATAGTTCTGACAAATAAATTGGGAAGGGGGCAGTGGAGGTGGGTAGGCCAAGTTAGGAGGTTATTTAGTACGTCATTTTAAAGGTGAAAATAGTTTGTTGGTACCATGGTGGAGACAGTAAGAAGTGACAGGCTCAAGAGCGATTTGAGAAGGTGGATTTATGGGATTTGATGATGGGTTATATATGGGGAGTGGGAGAGGAAAGAATTCAAGATAACTTCTGGATTTCTAGGTTATGAAACAGGATAGAGAGTGCTCTGGTTTGAATGTTTGTGTCCTTCCAAAATTCATGTTGAAACTGAATCCTCAATGCAATAGTATTCAGAGGTGGGGCTTTCAGGAGGTGATTGGGTCTGAAGGACTCTGCTCTAATAAATTGGATTAGTGCCCTTGTAAAAGGGCTTGAGGGAGTGAGTTCATCCCTTTTCTCTTTTTGCCATGTAAGGATGCAGTAAGAAGGTGCCGTCTTGGAAGCAAAGAACAAGCCCTTACCAGATACCGAATCTATTGGCACCTTGATCTTAGACTTCCCAGCCTCAGCTGTGAGAAATAAATTTCTGTTCTTTATAAATTAGCCAGTGTTTGGTGTTTTGTTATAGTAGCCCAAAAAATTGAGGCAGAAAATTAGTACCAGGAGTGGAGTACTGTGTAACAAATACCTAAAAATGTAAAAACAGCTTTGGAACTGGTAATGGACAGAGACTGGAACAGTTCAGAGGAGCAGGCTAGAAAAAGCCTGTGTTGCCATGAATGGAGCATTAAGGGCGATTTCTGGTGAGAACTCAGAAGAGTTGTAGAGAAACCTTCAATCTTCTTAGAGATTACTTAAGTGGTCATGAACCAGACAGTTGGCAGAAATATGGACAGTAACCTGGGCATGGTGGCTCCCGGCTGTAATCCCAGCACTTTGAGGGACTGAGGTGGGAGGATAGCTTGAGCCCAGGAGTCCAAGACCAGCCTGGGCAACATAGGGACACCCCATTTTTATTTAAAAAAATGTTTTTTAAAAAACTAGCCAAGCATGGTGGTGCTTGCCTGTAGTCCAAGCTACTCAGAGGCTAAGGTAGAATTACTTGAGCCTGGGAAGTTGAGGTTGCAGTGAGCCATGATTGTGCCACTGCATTCTAACCTAAGCAACAGAGTGAGACCCTGTCTCAAGAAAAAAAAAAAAAAAAAAGAAAGAAAGAAAAGAAATATGGACAGTAAAGGCCATTTTAGTGAAGTGTCAGATGGAAATGAGGAACAAGATAGTGGAAACTACAGAAGTAAGTTAATAAGTGACAAAAAGAAAAAAAAGAACCTTGGTTACATTGTATTCATATGATATTTGCAGGAGAAGTCTCTAAGCAAAGTGTTGAAGGAGCTGCTTGGCTTCCCTTGACTGCTTGTAATAAAATGTGAGAAGTGAGAATTGAATTAAAGATGGAATTTATAATTAAAAGAGAGGCAGAACTTAAAGATTTGGAAAAGTCTCAGCCTTGTCAAGTTGTAAAGGATAAGAAGCATGGTTGAGAGAGAACACCAAGAGTGTGACCAAGAGAATGTTTGGTAAGGCGATTAGTATGGCTAGAAGGAAGTCAGATGCTATTAATCAAGACAATGGAAGAATGACCCCTAAGGTATTTTGGAGATCTTCAAGGCTGCCACTCCCATCACAAGCCCAGAGTGCCAGGCCCTTGAGGACAGAATGATTTCAAAGCAGGAGCACAGGGCATCTGTGGGACCTTGGGGCCCACTTCCTAGTATTGCCTCACATTTCTGCTCCACAAATTCTGGTGCAGTGCCCCTCAGCCACCCCAGGTATGGCTTCAGTGGGCCCAGGTACAATATAGTTGGCAGAGAGTCCCCACTAAGACAGTGTCTAATGGAGCCATGAGAATAGGGCCACCCTTGTGACCCCAGGTTGGTAGAGCCACCAACATGCAACATCAACCTGGGAGAGCCACAGTCACATGACTCCAAACCCTGCTGACCATGGGTTGTGCCCAGCAAAGCCAAGGGGGTGAGCCCACCTGGGTGAACCTTAGTGTGTTCAGAAGATGGGACATGGAGTCAAAGAAGATCATTCTCAAGCCTTAATATTTAATGTTTGCCTTGTTGGGTTTTGGACTTACTTGAGACCTGTTACTCTTTTCTTTCCTACCTCTCCCTTTTGGAATGAGAATGTATATCCTATGCTGATATCACTATTGTCTTTTTTTCTTTCTTTCTTTCTTTTTTTTTTTTTTTTTGAGACAGAGTCTTGCTCTGTCACCCGGACTGGAGTGCAGTGGCGTGATCTTGGCTCACTGCAACCTCTGCCTCCCGGGTTCAAGTGTTTCTCTGCCCCCCGAGTAGCTGGGATTACAGGTACCCACCATCACGCCAGACTAATTTTTGTATTTTTAGTAGAGGCAGGGTTTCACCATGTTGGCCAGACTGGTCTCGAACTCCTGACCTTGTGATCCACCTGCCTTGGCCTCCCAAAGTGCTGGGATTACAGGCATGAGTCACCGTGCCCAGCCACTATTGTAATTTGAAAGCACATAACTTGTTCGATTTCACAGGTTCACAGCTGGAGGGGGAGTTTGCTTCAAACTAATCATTCATTTATATCTGATTTAGATGATATTTACGTGAGACTTTGGACTTAAACTTTAAAGTTGATGCTGGATTCAGTTAAGACTTTTGGGGCTATTGGAATGAAAAGAATGTATTTTGTAAGTGAGAAAAACATGAATTTGGGGGAACCGGAGGCAAAATGCTGTAATTTGAATGTTTGCATCCTTCCAAAATTCGTGTTGAAACTTAATTTCCAGTGCAACAGTATTAAGAGGTGGGGCCATTAGGAGATGATTAGGTCATAAGGGCTATGCTCTCATCAGCGGGATTAGTGTCCTTAATAAAGAGCTTGAGAGAGTTCATCCCTTTTTCCGTTTTTAGCCATGTGAAGATGCAGCAAGAAGGTGCCATCTTGGAAGGAGCAAGCAGCCATCAATTGACATTGAATCTTCCAGTGTCTTGATTTTGAACTTCCCAGGCTGTAGAACTGTGAGAAATGAATTTCTATCATTTGTGAATTATTCAGTTCATTGTATTTTGTTAGAGCAACCTGAATAGGCTGAGAGAGATAGTGAGAGTCAAACAAATGGAAACACATCCCATGCTTATGGATGGGTAGAGTGAATATTGTGAAAATGACCATACTGCCAAAAGAAATCTACAGATTTAATGCAATTCCCATTAAAATACCACCATCATTCTTCACAGAATTAGAAAAACAATCCTAAAGCTCATATGGAACCAAAAAAGAGCCTGCATACCCAAAGCAGGACTAAGCAAAAAGAGCAAATCTGGAGGTATCACATTATCTGATTTCAAACTACTAAAAGGCCATAGTCACCAAACAGCATAGTACTGCTATAAAAATAGGCACATAGTCCAATGGAACAGATAGAGAACCCAGAAATAAACCCAAATACTTACAGCCAACTGATACTTGGCAAAGCAAACAAAAACACAAAGTGGGGAAAGGACACCCTATTCAACAAGTGGTCCTGGGATAATTGGCAAGCCACATGTAGAAGAATGAAACTGGATCCTCATCTCTCACCTTATACAAAAATCAACTCAAGATGGATCAAGGACTTAAATCTAAGACCTGACACTATAAAAATTATAGAAGGTAACATCAGAAAAACCCTTCTAGACATTGGCTTAGGCAAGGATTTCATGACCAAGAACCCAGAAGCAAAGCAAATGCAACAAAAACAAAGATAAATAGCTGGGACTTAATTAAACTAAAGAGCTTCTGTACAGCAAAAAGAACAGTCAGCAGAGTAAACAGACAACCCACAGAGTGGGAGAAAATCTTCACAATCTATACATCTGACAAAGGACTAATATCCAGAATCTACAATGAACTCAAATCAGTAAGAAAAAAAAATCCCATTAAAAGGTGGGCTAAGGATATGAGTAGACAATTCTCAAAGGAAGATATACAAATGGCCAAGAAACATATGAAAAAAATGCTCGACATCACTAATGATGAGGGAAATGCAAATCAAAACCACAATGCGATACCACCTTACTCCTGAAAGGATGGCCATAATAAGAAAATAACAAATGTTTGTGTGGATGCAGTGAAAAGGGAAAGGGAACACTTCTACATTGCTCATGGGAATGCAAACTAGCATAACCCCTGTGGAAAACAGTGTGGAGATCCCTTAGAAAACTAAAAGTAGAACTATCATTTGATCCAGCAATCCCACTACTGGTTATCTACCCAGAGGAAAAGAAGTCATTATACGAAAAAGATACTTGCACACACATATTTATAGCAGCACAATTCGCAATTTCAAAAATGTGGAACCAACCCAAATGCCCATCAATCAATGAGTGGATAAAGAAACTGGTATATGTATATGATGGATTAATACTCAGCCATAAAAAGGGATGAATTAATGGCATTTGCAGCAACCTGAATGAGACTGGAGACTATTATTCTAAGAAGTAACTGAGGAATGGAGTGTATGTTCTCATAGGTGGGAGATAAGCTATGAGGATGCAAAGGCATAAGAATGATACAGTGGACTTTGGGAACTTGGGGGGAAAGTGTGGGAAGCGGGTGAGGGATAAAAGACTACAAATCAGGTTCAGTGTATACTGCTCGGGAGATGGGTGCACCAAAATCTCACAAATCACCACTAAAGTACTTACTCATGTAACCAAATACCACCTGTTCCCCAATAACCTATGGAATTAAAACATTTTTTAAAAAAGGAAAAAGAGTCAGAATACACAAATGAACAAAAGCCAGGCCACATATGGCAACAGAACTCTGCCTCACAACCTCTGCAGCAACTATGCCAGGAAGCTAAACCACAGCCTCTGCAACAATCATGCCAGAATGGTCAGAATTTGCTCAATGGTGCTTTATTGGTGCCTATGTTTTTGCCCCCACTTCTAACTCAGGACCAACCAGAGAAAGCCAAATACGCTCCCTAAGCCAATCACGTAAGACCCCCTAGTTCTAGTTAACCCCCTTCAACTTCCCCACACAAGCAGCCTCCAATCAGAGCATATCCAAAGCCTCCCCACACCCCTGCTGCTGTAAAGCTTCCCCTCTCCCCTAACTGCCTTTAAGTTTCTGTCAAATGCAAGTGTCTCCCTTGCTTTAGCCAGCTCTAAATAAGTAGCCTGTGCGTGCTCCCATTTGGGTGGTCTTTGTTTATTTTCACAACAATGAGCCCTTCACTGATTTAGGGGACACTGTGTGAGGACCAGAAGAGGAGCGTGGAGAAGCATGTGTTCAGTTCTGGACACATAGATTAGAAGACACCTTTGAGACATTGAAAAGGAGATGTCAGGTACAGCCTGCATTGTGACTTTCATGGACCCAAGGCACTTTTGCCTTCCTGGATAATTAATTTCTTCCTTAAAATAATATTAAAACTTACATTTTATGACGTTGTTGGTATAAAGATGGACATGTTAATATATACTAAAACATTTTTTACCCAAACATTTCTTTTTTTCTTTCTTTTTTTTCTTTCTCACTCTGTTGCCCAGGCTGGAGTGCAGTGGTGCGATCTTGTCTCACTGTAATCTCTGCCTCCCGAGTTCAAGCGATTCTCGTGCCTCAGTGACTACAGGCATGAGCCACCACGCCTGGCTAATTTTTGTATATTTAATAGAGATAGGGTTTCACCCTGGTGGCCAGGTTGTTATTATTATCTTCTTGCTTACTGAATTGTTTACTTTTTTTTTTTCAAGACAGTCTCACTCTGTCACCCAGGCTGGATTGCAGTGGCGCGATCTCAGCTCACTGCAATCTCCACCGCCCGGGTTCAAGCGACTCTCCTACCTCAGCCTCCCAAGTAGCTGGGCTACAGGTGCGTGCCTCCACGCCCGGCTAATTTTTGTATTTTTAGTAGAGATGGGGTTTCAGCATGTTGGCCAGGCTGGTCTCGAACTCCTGACCTCAAGTGATCTGCCCACCTCGGCCTCCCAAAGTGCTGGGATTACAGGAGTGAGCCCCCACGCCCGGCCTGCTAACCTTTTTAATTGCTGGTTGCAGGGCCTAGCTAAGTGCCTGGAATTTCCCAGGCATTTTGAAGGGATTCAAAATCTTTCCTTTATTTCCATGCTTGGGGTGCCCAGCAAACCTCTAAGCGGAGTCCCTGCTCCATCTCATCACAGCCAGGCCCATAAGGGTCCCAAGCTGTCTTCAGTGGTTAGCCTTTGTTCTCCCTTATATAACTCTTCCCCTTCTTCCCAGAGGGTTTTACTTCCTAAGGGCCTGTCTGAGGAGGTGCTGGCCCATGGCCACCCTTGGTAGCAGAGACATGTTACGGGCAGTAAGGGGAGGGAGCCTGAAGACACATATTCTGTTATAGTTTGCGTTGCTTTTTGTTTTCCATCTGGGAGGGGTTGCCAGGTGCCTTCCCTACCCACCAGCTGCATGCGTCTGCCTGCCTGCCTACTCTCTATTACCAAGGTGTGGTCTGCTAGGACTTCCAGGATGCTGGGCACCCTGGGTAGGATTGCAAGACAGGGCAGGCATCAGGCTGGGTATGGAGAAAGGTGGCTTGGTATGGTGGGGAGCAGAAAGAAGCTGTAGACTTCAATGTTGCCCCCTGCAGATACCAGGGACATAATGGTGGTGGGTGGGCAGCTGCTCTGTGGAAAGGCAAGGATGGCTGCGACTCAGGCAGGCGGACATCAAAGAAAAGCAATAACAGACCTCAACTAGCAAACCTCTTTTTGTGTAATGATCTCAGTAGTCAGGAATGTCCCAGAGCTTGGATCATTGGAAAACACCATGCTCCTGGCTTCAGGAAACTTAAAACATGGCCTGAGTCAGGCAGCCATTTCAAATTCCAGCTTCTCTGGGATTATTACCACATAGTTGACTACTGATGGGGAAAGAACAAGTGACTGCATCATATGATTTCAGATGTTCAGGGAAGGTAGTGTAGACATGTGACTAGAATTGTACATTCTGAAATAAGAAAGGATTTGAATGCAGGACCTACCACTTGATCTGTGTATTTGGATAAATTAGCTAACCTCTCTAGGCTTCAATTTTCTCACCTGTAAAATGGAAAGACGAATAGCGCTGTCAGTGCTGGCTCCTCAAGGCACCACCACATAGGCTGTGGACAAAGCAAAGCTGAGTTTATAGCTTACTGAGGTAAGAGGGCTCTCGCTGTCTCAGTGGAGTCCTGGTAGCTTTTAGTCAAGGGGAGGGCCATGTAGGATATTTATAAGAATTCGAGGGGTCCGGTCTAGGACTGGTCTTTCATTGGGAGAGCTTGAATAGGATTGGGCAAGGGATTGATAGACTCTATAAGGAAAGGATTTCCAACAGAGCCTTGGAAAGTTGATGAGACTAGTGGAATACTTTCAGGATAGTAACAATAAAGGTTATTTGCAGCTTCATAATCCTGGAGAAGAGTTTCCTAAAGTAGTGAAGACTGTGGAAAAATATAAGTCATGTTCATGTACATAGTACACTGTGAGGTGGATGGGGTAAGTTTTGAGTTCTCTGATCTTGGCCGGGTGTGGTGGCTCACATCTGTAATCCCAGCACTTTGAGAGGCCAAGCCGGGTGGATCACTTGAGGTCAGGAGTTCAAGACCAGCCTGGCCAACATGGTGAAACCTCATCTCTACTAAAATACAAAATTTAACTAGGAGTGGTGGCACACAACTGTAATCCCAGCTGCCCCAGAGGCTGAGGCAGGAGAACAGCTTGAACCCAGGAGGCAGAGGTTGCAGTGAGCTGAGATCGTGCCACTGAACTCCAGCCTGGGCGACAGAGCGAGATCCGTCTAAAAAAAAAAAGTTTTCTCTGATCTTGCCTCCAGCATGCTTGTGAAGATTAAGCGAGACAATGGATGAAACACTTCTGAGTACAGGCATGGCACAGGGTATATACTCAATGATTGTTATTGCTATTTTTATTTTTCTGTCAAAACCCTATCTCACTTGCCAGTTTGCTAACACATAAAAATTCCACCTCCAGAGTTGTTTCCCCACCACCTAGAGGTTTATCTCTTTTTAAAATGCAAACACAGGCAGAAAAGGTACCTTATTAATCCTTATCAGGCATTTACACCTCAGCATGGATGTTTATAAAATCCTAAATGAGGAGCCCCAGAAGCTTAGAATATAAGCTTTACTAACCCCTTAGGAGAAATAGCACAATACATCCTTATGCTATTTGAGAGGGGCATTGCACATGCCCAGTTCCACATGAGGCAAAAGGACAGCAGTGCCAGATCCAGAATTCCTAAATTCCTCTCCCAATCTGGTGGGTCAGGCTGCTCTGATTTGTGACAATGCCTTTACCTCCTCAGCGTTGGTGCTTCCCAAGTCACAGAAGGAAGCTGAGGATTTGCAGGTGGAGGAAGAATGCTTCATTACCTCTAGAGAAAAATATCCAGTTTGTTCTTGAAGGCACACATTACTAAAGAAGCTCATTAGGCTAGAGAGGTAGTAAACTGCCTCACTTTACCCCAAAGTACCTGCGATCAGTCATCTCTTCTGTAGGTTTCTACGCTATGCCCGCAGGCACTAAATCAGGGTATGTCAACCCTGTCTGCACCTTACAGTCAACAGAGGAGCTTTAAAAAATACTTAAGTTGGCTGGGCACAGTGGGACACGCCTGTAATCCCAGCACTTTGGGAGGCCGAGGCGGGTGGATCACCTAAGGTCAGGAGTTCAAGACCGGCCTGGTCAACATGGCGAAACCCCGTCTCTACTAAAAAATACAAAAATTAGCTGGGCATGGTGGCGAGTGCCCGTAATCCCAGCTACTGGAGAGGCTGAGGCAGGAGAATTGCTTGGACCCAGAAGGCAGAGGTTGCAGTGAGGTGAGATTGCGCCACTGCACTCCAGACTAGGCTAGAAAGTGAGACTGTATCTCAAAACAAACAAACAAACAAACAAACAAACAAACAAAATAAATACTTAAGCCTAGTCCACCCTTACAACCCCTGACCAGGCAACCCTTGACCAAGTGAATCAAAATCTCAAGGTGAGGCTCATTTCAAAAGTTGCCCAGGTGACCCTAATGTGCCGCCAAGAACCGCCACTCGGATGGGTGCTGCTCAAAATTTAGCTGCACAAGAATCACTCAAAGGACTTGTTAAAACACAAGTTCTGGGGTTTCATCTCCTGGAGATTTAGTAGATCTGAATTGGGGCTTGAGAGTGAGCATTTCTAAGGAGCTCCCAGGTGATGCTAGCACCATGGATTAGTTTGCTAGGGCTGCCAACATAAAGTGTCATAGTCCAGGTGGCTTAAACAACAGACATTTATGACCTCACAGCTCTGGAGGCTGCAAGTCTGAGATCAAGGTGTCGGTGGGGTTGTTTTCTTCTGAGATCTCTGTCCTTGGCAATCTCTGTGTCTTTATTTAGTCTTCCTTCTGCTAGTGCATCTGTGTCTAAATTTCCTCTTCTCTAAAGGACATCAATCATATTGAATTAGGGCTCATCTAATGACCTCATTTTAACTCAGTTATTTCTTTAAAAGCCCTATCTCCAAATGCAGTCACGTTCTGAGGTACTGGGGGTTAAGACTTCAACACATGAATTTTGTGGAGACACAAGTCAGCTCCTAAGAGGCTGCTTGCTGGGCATGTGGACCCCACCACCTTGAGTAGCAAGTATCAAAGAACCATTGTGGGTTCACCAAGTAAGTAATTTATAAGAGGTATGATCTTGTATGGCTTCTTTTATATGTCCCTTTAATATTGACAAAATCCTTGAGTTCTCTTTCCATTTCCCTCTGGAGCAAAGTGAGCTAGTGGTCAGTGACAGATGGCAGTCAGAGAAATAGCCAGGGCTGTAGACCGTAGTGAGGACTTTTCACACAAGAAGCACACGGGGGCTTTCTAACTTCAGACTCTCTGCTGAATAATTCCAAGGTGTGGGAGTCATTCCTTTTTTAAGATCTTCCTTTATTAGCCTTCATCTGCCAACTCAGATGTTTAGTGCAAGGTGTCTGTATTTTCCTGTGTTCATGTTCCTTTGTTAATCTACATAGTTATTTATTTTATTTTATTTATTGTGGTAAGAACACTAAACAAGAGATCTACCCCCTTAACAGATTTTGTAGGTATACAATATATTATTGCTAATTTTAGTAGTCCCTGCTTGTCCACAGGGGATACCTTCCAAGACCCTGAGGGGAGCCTGAAACCTCGAATAGTACGGAACCCTATGTATACATCATGTGTCACTTGATGACAGGGATATGCTCTGAGAAATGTGTCACTAGGTGATTTTGTCATTCTGTGAACATCATAGAGTGTACTTGCGCAAACCTAGGTGGTACAGCCTGTTGCTCCTCAGCTACAAACCTGTGTAGTTACTGTACTGAATTTTGTTACTGTACTGGATACTGTAGGCAATTTTAACACAATGGTAAGTATTTGTGTAGCTAAACATAGAAAAGGCACTGTAGAAATACAATATTATAATCTAATGGGACCACTGTCATATACTTGGTCTATTATTGACCAAAATGTCGTTGTGCAGCACATGACTGTATTATGTTTTTTCCTACTACCTACCTACCTATTGTTGTGGGGTGGCAAGGACTACCTGAGCCGGTGGTAGTGAAAGGGGAAAGGGCCTCTTTTCCCCCTTATAGGGCATGCATTGGGGGTGTGGCTCCCTTCTTCAGTGCCCCACTGCTCAAACCTCTAGGGGAGCATACAGATGGGCAGGGTGTTGGGCTCTGACCCCACGGCAGTGTCTAGGGGTGCCGTTTACAGCTGAAGACCCAGTGGGCATGTGTTACAGGGTGCTCTTTTTGTTTAGTTGTCCGGACAACATAGGCGGCTTGTGTTAACGAGCTCATTTAGACCCCCTTCCTTATCACAAGGACAGAGGGATTTTTGTATCCCAGGGTTCTTGCCTTGGTGTACCAGAAGAATCTGATCACACGTGGGCTTGGAGAATGAACTCAAAGTTTTATTGAGTGGAAGTAGCTCTCAGCAGATGGGGGAGCCAGAAGGGAGATGGTTTTCCCCTGGAGTCAGGTCGCCTCTGACTGCTCCGTCCAAATTCTGCGTCCTTCTGCTGGTCAATGGCTTGCCAGTGCTTGTTGGCGTGCTCTTCCACCAGTGTGCTCTCCACAACCAGCCGCTTATGTCTTCTTCTGCCTTGTTGCTCACAACATCCAGCCGCTTGTGTCTCTGCCTTGCTAGGGTCTCGGGCTTTTACATGGCCAGGGTGGTCTTGGAAGATGCAACATTTGGGTGGGAAGGCAGATGTGCCTGTCCTCACCTAGGTCCATGAGGGTAGAGCCCTGGCCAGTGATCACACCCTCCTCTACCCAGCATTTCCCTTTTCCACTTTCATATCATTTAAAGGGACCACTCTCTTCCCTTCCCAGCACTCCCATATCAGTAGGGGATAAAAGAGTTTACCAAGACAGTTGTAAATAAGAAAGGCAGGTTTATTAGAGAAAGTATGAAAATACATTGCCAGGAGGCAGCAGGCAGAACCAGCACAAAAGGAGCGGACTGCAAGGAAACAAAGGTGTATTAGTTATTTCTCACGCTGCTAATGAAGACATACCCAAGACTGAATAATTTATGAAGGAAAGAGGTTTAATTGACTCAGTTCTTCAGGGCTGGGGAGGCCTCAGGAAACTTACAATCATGGCAGAAGGGGAAGCAAATGTCCTTTACGGTGTGGCAGAACCCAGAAGTGCCAAGCAAAAAAAGAAAAGCCCCTCATATAACCATCAGATCTCGTGAGAACTCACTCACTATCACAAGAACAGCATGAAGGTTACCGCCCCCATGATTCAATTACCTCCCACTTGGTCCCTCCCACCACACAGGGGGATTATGGGAACTACAGTTCAAGATGAGATTTGGGTGGGGACACAGCCAAACCATGTCAAAAGGCTTGCTGAGGATTTTATAGAACGGAACTTGGGCTGATTGATAATGCCAAAGCAGCACGGAGCTTAACTTGCATTCTTCTGCCAGCCGGGGTGTTTGAAAAATTGAATCATTTGATGATAAACAGGAAGTTTGGGAGTTCTGTACGTTATCTGTGCAGGAGGGCCATATGTCCTGGGCCATAAAGAAAAGCAGCCCTGTAGCTTATCTGCTTCCTGTTTTTGTTTATATGTTCTGGACCATGAAGAAAGGCAGACATATGGCTTATTTGCTTTATCTCTTTGCTTTCCCCTGGTCCTACAAGCCTGACTCCTTTTCCCTAATTAGGACACCATGCCTATGATAAAGTTTAATTTATAAATTAGGCACTGTAAGAGATGAACAATGATAGCTAGTAATAAAATAGAATAATTGTGATAATATACTGCAATAAAAGTTATGTAAATGTGGTTTCTCTCTCTGTGTCAAAATATTGCATTGTACCCTACTCACCTATTTTCAGACTGTGATTGACCTTGGGTAACTGAAACCTCTAAAAGCAAAACTGCAGTTAAGGAGGAACTACTGTATAGGTACAATGTGGCAGATTTCTAGAGCTTATTCATCTGGCTTTACTGAAACTTGATGCCTGTTGTTAGTACCGTTCCATTTCTCCTCCCCCCAGTGGCTGGCAACTACCATTCCACTCTTTGATTCTATGAATTTGACTGTTTTAGATACCTCATGTAAGTGGAATCATACAGTACTTGTCTTTCTGTGACTGGCTTATTTCACTCAGCACAATGTCCTTAAGCTTAGTCCATATTGTCGCATGAGGCAGGATTTCCTTCTTTGTTAAGGCTGAAGGATATTCTGTTGTGTATATATACCACATTTTTATTTATTTGTTCATCTGCAGATGAACATTTAGGCTGTTTCCACATCTTCACAATATAACGTCAAAAGCATAGGCAACAAAACTAAAAAATAAGTAAGTGAAACTACAATGAACTAAAAAGCTTCTGCAGAGTAAAGAAAATCAGCAGAGTGAAAAGGCAATCCGTGAAGTGGGAGAAAATATTTGCAAACTATTTGATAAGGGGTTAAACCCCAATATATATAAGGAACTCCTACAACTCAATACTAAAAAAACAAAAACAAAAACAAAAACAGAAAAAAACTAGCTTATATAGCTCTGATCTCCATGGAGTGGCTGTTGTAGGATGGTCTGCAGGGCTGACTTGAGGAATGTCATAGGCAGCTCTACCAGGCACTGCAGAGTCACAGCTAAGGCTGGCTGGCTGGGACTTGGATGCATCTACACTTACCTAAACAAGCTGTTTCAAAGTCTCTCACTGGGCATCCCTTCAGCAGCGAGGCTGTAAATCCTGCATGGGAAATGCTAGACCAGGGCCACAGCCTTGCCTACAATCTGCAGTCACTTCACAAGGAAAGGAAAGTCAGGACCCAAGAATCAGACTGGGGCTTGCACAGCCAGAATGAAACCTCTCTAAATGAGTTACTGTTGTCCAGCTCCTTGGGAATTTTTTATGCTGAAAGAAAAGAAAACCCCAAGCTTATGTTCCAAAAGAGATTTTTGGTTTATTTGGATGATAAGATAAAAAGTGAGTTGCAGCCTAAAGGAAACAAAATAGCCTTCTAGTTTTTTTTTTTTTTTTGAGACGGAATTTTGTTCTTGTTGCCCAGGCTGGAAGTGCAACAGCGCGATCTCAGCTCACCGCAACCTCCGCCTCCTGGGTTCAAGCGATTCTCCTGCCTCACTGCCCGAGTAGCTGGGATTACAGGCATGCGCCATCATGTCCAGCTAATTTTGTGTTTTTAGTAGAGACGGGGTTTCTCCATGTTGGTCAGGCTGGCCTCGAACTCCCAACCTCAGGTGATCTGCCCGCCTCGGCCTCCCAAAGTGCTGGGATTACAGGCGTGAGCCACCGCGCCCGACATCCTTCTAGTTGTTTTTAAGGTGCATGCAATTCAGCAGGGCCAGCTGAAGGCTGCATGCATTCTGCTGTGGAAATAGTTTAAATACTCTATTTAAAGTAATGTAATGCAGCATGATATAAAAATTTTAAGTCTCACTGTAAGGAAGTGACTTGTAAACTGTTCTCAATTGCTGCCTAGCATCTGAGAGTGCCCCTTCAGTTAGCAAACTGTAATCCTCTTCATTCTCCATGTCAGGAGAACCATGGTTGTTCAAAGACATCTGAAATTCTGTGAGTGAGGTTAGTATTTATTAGATTGTTATTCTAATATTGACTGTTACTATAATTTGAAAGATTTTACAAATCTTATAAAAATGTCATTCAAGTGATGATGTTGCTAAAACTGGACGGAAAAAAAACGCAACTATAAATCAGAAAGTCCAGCATAAAATTTAGATAGGAGAAAATGGTATGAATAAGGCAAATTATTACTGTACTATTAATTTAGGAGACTGCCTATTAATTTAGGAGACTATAGGAAAAATTAAAAATAGTGCTAAAAAATGAAAAGCAACATGAAAGCAAAAATGTGCTCCAATAGTGATAGGTTTTTGTACTCCCAGAATTCATCTCTCATACTCTTTATTTATTCCTATGGAAAAATGAATCTTGAATTATGAGAGATCTCCAAAAACTTGTTCTTTGAAGAAAAATGACCCTCTCTGTATGACACCATTTAGTTCACAAGAATCAAATTGTATGGCAATGCCAGTTGTTTATGTTGAAGAGCTAGAACTTGAGCAAACATCTCATAACTGTAGGGCAGGTAGTTTATCCTGAAAAATCATAGCAAGCATAAGGTAATTCATCCTTAGACATTATGGCAAGATAAAAGATGATATGTGTGTGGAATCTGCTTGTACATAGGAATAGATCTATGAAGTGATGCTGATTGAACACAATTAGAATTGAAAATAATATGCACAGTTATTATAGCTATGGAAAAATATAAACTTGCCTACTGATAAAGATAGAGACAATGTGAACTGATGTAAAAGGTTAGATATACAATGTAAATGTGTATTCACTGGATTCTCATTTCATTTGCTGTATAGTTGTTTGTGTGATTAATAAAAGCAAATTGGAGTGGCTGCCAGGGCTGGAAAAGGAAAGGGAGAGAGAATGAATAGGTGGAGCACAGAGGATTTTTAGGGCGGTGAAATTACTCTGTGTGATATTGTAATGGTAGAAACATGCCATCATACATTTATTCAAACCCATAGAATATACACCACAACGAGTGGACCCTAATGTAAACTATGGACTTTAGTTAATAATAATGATCAATATTGGCTCATCAAGTTTTTAACAATTGTACCACACTAATGCAAGATGTTAATAAGAGAAATTGGGGGACAGGGTAGGGAGCAGAGGTATATATGGGAATTCTATATTTTTTGCTAAATTTTTCTGTAAACCTAAAATGCTAAAAAAGAAAAGAAAGCCTATTAATTTTTTTACAAAAATAAATTAGTGGAAGAAGAGACTGCTGCAGGATAGATTCTTGGGGAAATCTTGACTCATCCACACAAATCAGGTTAAAACATGCTTGAAGTTTATTTTGCATGAAGCAGCATTATTTATTTTGCAAAGGCAATAAGGAATAAGAACTAAATGAGAGCAATAAAAATACCTCGCACCCATTGCCAAAATAAACTTTCTCATTTGGTTGACTGTCATGAACATTAAATCTATCCAGATGAATCTATTTCACTCTTTATAGGCAAAGTTCCAAATCTCCCTAGGCTTATTTATTAAGTAAACACTGTATCTTAGCAATTCTCACTACAGGATTCACCATATTAACAAACATATATGAAGGTGTTTAACAAAGTGCTTTATTGTTAGTATCTTGTTGATCAGCAATAACACATTTCATTTTGTTCTGAGAACATACAGGTTTTGCTCAGGCAGAGAACCAAGTCTTCAACTCCCTCTCTGTGGTGGGAGTTTGGCTAATCCAGGAGAACTCAAACTGGCTCTCCACAATCAGACTCCAACCTCCTCCAGCCCAAGAGCCACCTACATCCTTCTCCCTCATGCCGCACACTGCCTTCTCTGCCTTGAATCATGGCCATAAACTCAGGTGTATGAAAAGCATGACTTTATTCTCCATAACTCAGCTTGCTTTCTGACTTTGAGCCTTTTTACCCCCAACTCGGCTGGTGGAAAAACAGTCTCGCACCTTTCTGAATTTTCAGGTG
The DNA here is from genome assembly GCF_000001405.40 of Homo sapiens. NCBI lineage: Eukaryota > Metazoa > Chordata > Mammalia > Primates > Hominidae > Homo > Homo sapiens. Next base: position 56,622,928 of record NC_000004.12, read on the forward strand.
CTAAGATGTTGAGTGGTGGGGCTGGAGGGCTGGGGTTAGGGGATAATGGGAGGGAAGGCAGATTGGGATGGTCCTCTGGGCCCTGGTCCACACGGGTTACTGCTAGGATGTGTTCTTTTCCTCCATATGTTCCCTTTGGGTCCTCCAGCTTCCTGCTGCCTTTCTAGCCTGCCCAGGATGCAGGAGCCTTTGATGAGGCTCCTTTAATTCTTTCTACTTAGACATAGCCATTTTCTCTCTAGGGCTTTCTTTCCTAAATAGTGACCATGTTGCAAAGCCAGGCATGATCCTTTCTGCTCCTAGAACCCACAGCCTCTCCTTTTTTCTTTTTACCCCCACCCATGGAAAACTCTTTCCAGTCTGGGGATGACACAGCTTCTTTTTCTTTAATCTCCTCCACAATGCCCCACCTCTTGGATTCCCTAAGGGTGTAAGCTTTTGGAACAAGGAGCAAAAAAACACTTTCAAGCTTTATCTGTGTTCTCCCTTGCTACATTCCTTCCCCAAGGCAATGAGGCCAAGAGCCTTCTCTAAGGAAGGGAGAGGAGCCCTAGAGAGAGAAAAAGAAAGAAATCCACATTTCAAAGTATTATTTGGCCATGATATGGTTTGGCTGTGTCCCCACTCAAATCTCAACTTGAATTCTCCCAGAATTCCAATGTGTTGTGGGAGGGACTGAGAAGGAGGTAACGGAATCATGGGGGCTGGTCTTTCCTATGCTATTATCATGATAGTCTATAAGTCTCAAGAGATCTGATGGGTTTATTGGGGGTCTCCACTTTTCCTTCCTCCTCATTTTTTCTCTTGCCACTGCCATGTAAGAAGTGCCTTTCACCTCCCACCATGATTCTGAGGCCTCCCCACTCATGTGGAACTGTAAGTCCAATTAAACCTCTTTTTCTTCCCAGTTTCATGTATGTTTTTATCAGCAGCATGAAAACAGACTAATACAGTAAATTGGTACCAGTAGAGTGGGGCACTGCTGAAACGATACCCAAAAATGTGGAAGAAACTTTGGAACTGGGTAACAGGCAGAGGCTGGAACAGTTTGGAGGGCTCAGAAGAAGCCAGGAAAATGTGGGAAAGTTTGGACTTCCTAGAGACTTGTTGAATGGCTTTGACAAAAAATCGATAATGATATGGACAATGAAATCCAGGCTGAAGTTGTCTCAGATGGAGATGAGGAACTTGTTGGGAACTGGAGCAAAGGCGACTCTTGTTATGTTTTAGCAAAGAGACTGGCAGCATTTTGCTCCTGCCTTAGAGATTTGTGGAAATTTGAACTTGAGAGAGATGATTTAGAGCATCTGGCAGAAGAAATTTCTAAGCAGCAAAGCATTCAAAAGTTGACTTGGGTGCTGTTAAAAGCATTCTGTTTTAAAAGGGAAAAAAAGAACATGAGGGTTTCAAAAATTTGCAGCCTATGATGCAGTAGAAAAGAAAAGCCCATTTTTTGAGGAGAAATTCAAGCCAGCTGCAGAAATTTGCATAACTAGCAAGGATCCTAATGTTAATCCCCAAGACCATGGGGAAAATGTCTCCAGGCCATTTCAGGGACCTTCATGGCAGCCCCTCCCATCACAGGCCTGGAGGCCTAGGAGGAAAAAGTGGTTTTGTGGGCCAGGCCCAGGGTCCCCATGCTATGTTCAGCCTAGGGACTTGGTGCTCTGTGTCCCATCTGCTCCAGCCTTGGCTGAAAAGGGCCAACACAGAGCTCGAGCTGTGGCTTCAGAGGGTGGAAGCTTCAAGCCTTGGCAGCTTCCACTTGGTGTTGAGCCTGCGGGTGCACAGAAGTCAAGAATTGAGGTTTGGGAACCTCCACTTAGATTTCAGAAGATGTATGGAAATACTTGGATGTCCAGGCAAAAGTTTGCTGCAGGGCGGGGCCCTCATGGAGAACCTCTTCTAGGGCAGTGTGGAAGGGAAATGTGGGGTCAGAGCCCCCACACAGAGTCCCTACTGGGGCACTGCCTAGTGGAGCTGAGAGAAGAGGGTCACTGTCCTCCAGACCCCAGAATGGTAGATCCACCAACAGCTTGTACTGTGCACCTGGAAAAGCTGCAGACATTCAATGCAAGCCTGTGAAAGCAGCCAGGAGGGAGGCTCTACCCTGCAAAGCCACAGGGGTACAGCTGCTCAAGACCATGGGAACCCATCTCTTGTGGGTGACCTGGATGTGAGACCTGGAGTCAAAGGAGATCATTTAGGATCTTTAAAATTTGACTGCCCTGCTGGGTTTCAGACTTATATGGGGCCTGCTACCCCTTTGGTTTGGCCAATTTCTCCCATTTGGCATGACTGTATGTACACAATACCTGTACTCCCATTGTATCTAGGAAGTAACTAGCTTGCTTTTGATTTTACAGGCTCATAGGAGGAAGGGATTTGCCTTGTTTCAAATGAGACTTTGTACTGTGCACTTTGGGTTAATGCTGAAATGAGTTAAGACTTTGGGGGACTGTTGGGAAGGCATGATTGGTTTTGAAATGTGAGCACATGAGATTTGGAGGGGCCAGGGGCGGAATGATATGGTTTGGCTATGTTCCCACCCAAATCTCAACTTGAATTGTATCTCCCAGAATTCCCACAGGTTATGGGAGGATCCAGGGGGAGGTAATTGAATCATGGGGGCCAGTCTTTCCCGTGCTATTCTCATGATAGTGAATAAGTGTCACAAGATCTGATGGGTTTATCAGGGGTTTCCACTTTTGCTTTTTCCTCATCTTCCTCTTGCTGCTGCCATGTAAGAAGTGCCTTTCACCTCCCGCCATGATTCTGAGGCCTCCCCAGCCATGTGGAAATGTAAGTCAAATTAAACCTCCTTTTCTTCCCAATTTCAGTATATCTTTATCAGCAGCATGAAAACGGACTAATACAGGCCATGTATTTTATTTGTATGTAGTTCTTATCTCCCCTAGTAAAATTTCAGCTTCCAGATAGCCGGAGTTATTTCTCAACAGAGTGAAGTCAGAAGGTGTGTTTCCCAGACAATCTCCAGGGTTTCTCCAAGAAGCTTTCAAGAAAGCCCTGTGGCTACCCTGTGGGTTGGCCACACTGGTCCCTGCTGCTAAGTGGTAAGACTTCCCTTCCCAGCCGATGCCAACCATCACATATGTGGTCACCTTTGGAGACATTGGATACCTCTCAACACAGTTCAGCTGAGAGGAAACTGAAGGAATGAGACATAGGACAGATAAGTTTCAATGGAAGAAGATGAAGATAAGGAAAAGAAAAGGCCATAGCCTCCCATGGGTGACTGGGATGAGAAATAAAATATGAAAGTGAAATTGCCTTTGTAAAAATTATAACAGAAAAACATGACAGTAAAAGAGATCTGACCTAACCAAGTCCATCTTGGCCTTAACCTCCAAACTGTCCTTGGTCATTCCTGGGCATGGGCCAAGCTAATTTTTGGAGAAATTTAGCTTATAGTGTAACCTTAAAGCAAGGATAATAATAGCCCTTCCCAAAACTAAACTAAAGTCTGCAAAGTTAGGATTACAAGAGGGGCTTGAATTCTGCTAAGATGTATGCATAGTTAAATGATAACCTGCCATTGTTCCAGAGGTTACAAGATTTGTAACTTCCCCAATTACTCCTGTAAATGACATCAGTATTGTAGAACATAAGATTTGCTTTTTGAGTTGTCTTTTCTGACTTTTCCATTTCTCACAACCTGATGAGTCCACTCATGACTCAACTAGTCCTGTGGCTCCTCCCCAAAAGCGGACTCAGGGCAGAAGGACTATTTCCACACCCTATGAGTGCATCCCCAACCAATCAGCAGCACCCATTCCCTAGCCCCCACCACCAAACTATCTTTAAAAAATCCTAGCCTCCAAATTTTCAAGGAGGCTGATTTGAGTAATAATAAATCTCCAGCCTTCTGGTTAGCTGGCTCTACATGTATTAAACTCTTTCTCTGTTGCAATTTCTGTCCCAATAAATTGGCTCTGTCTGGGCAGCCAGCAAGATGAACCCATTGGATGGTTACAAAAAGACCTCAGAAACCAGTCCAGAATTTATAATTTTGTCCAAGATAGGCCCTGTTTCTGTGGAAAGGGGATTGTGTGAGCCCATTGACTTTCTTTTTTGTGAGTTGTCTGATGAAACCTTTATTCAATCTCTACTCAACTAAGCAGGGAGGCCGCAATGGCAGTATTTGGCTCCAGGTTTTTTCATGTGGGCTGGAGCCCCAGGGCCCAGGTGGGTGGCCCACCGCTGGGAGGCACCATACCCATGGAGAAGAAGGACAATGACAACAAGCTCTTTGCTCCAGTGGCCATTCTGTTCACCACTCCCCTCTTGCTTCCACTGCTCAGGACTCAAATGTTCTCCACAGTTCCTTGCAGCTCTAAATCTTTTCAAAGTCCTTAACAGTCTTATTGTCAGCCTTTCTAGTCCTCTAGCATTTCCTATATACAGAGAGGACAATATGTCATCTTAGCCTCACAGCTGGGCCTAGATAATATGTTTGGGTGCCCAGCCTTCTGTTACCCACTGGGAATGAAAAGTGCAGCAATTGGCAGGAGGAGGTAGCCTTTCCCTCTCCACCTCCTGAGTAAGTGACTCTAAGGTGTCCTGATCTCAAAATGTGATGAAAACCAGCTAAGGAGGCTCTGCAGGGATGTCTCATCACAGGGTGAGCTTATATACATCTGGTTTTACACCTTTAACCATGGAAGGCCAACATCCTTATTCAAACCACATCTGAGCTTCTGCTTGATCCTTAACCTGAGTTCAGTTCTGAAGGTGCATGCAGACTTGGAGAGTAATTAATTGTACTGTATAAGACGGACATACATGCCCCCTGGGAGATCTGCTTAAATTCCAGAGCTGGATGCTAAGTGAACCCATCTAGTGAGAGCAGGGTCAAGGCCTCATTCGTCTCTGGACCCCAGTGACCAGCCCTGTGTCTGCCACCTTGTAGCCACTCTGGCAGTGTTTACTGTACTGAAATGAAACTGCATTTAGTCCATATTTGTGGAATTTGGATCAATTTATCAGACTTTTTAATATCCCCAAGTAAGTCTCAGGCTCTAAAATAAATAAATAAATAAACTAGCTTCATTAAATGACCCAGAGATCATAATTCTTTGGCTTTGCTTTTCTTACTGCTCTCCACATCCCCCAAGCATTAAGGAGTGCAGAGCACAAAAGAGGAGAGATTGAAGGGAAAGTCCCTTCTGATTGTCAGGCTAGAGACTCATGTGCTTTTATGGAATAAGTATTTTGTACCAGGACTGGACAACATAGTAGCTTCCTTATGAGAGAAGATGAAAGGAATGATGATGTTGGCCAGAGCAGGAAAAAAATACCGAAGGTTCGCTCTTCCTTCTGGCTAGCTGTTCAGCTCCTTAAAGCAAAACAATCCTTCTCTCTGGCATATGTGTTAAATCTGGCCCTACTGTGGCTTTTTCCCCCAACAGTTCAAAGCAAGTTCCCTAATTATTATCCTTATTTAGGCTCAGCTAACCCTATAAACAGGACCTCTTAGGTTGCTGCTATTGTTTTGAAACTTCCTTGGCTTTGGAGATGGTCTACGACTTATTTACTAATTGCAGAATCTAAAACTATTGGTGGGGTTTTCACTCACAATTCTCACTTGTTGGTACAAATGGAGCAACTTATATCAAAAGATAAAATTATGACACATTTAGTTTAAAAATCTAAGTGAATTTTATTAGCTATTCTATAACTGGGCAACACTTCAATCTATAGAATAGAATGAGTGTTCTCCTGGGTGTGGCAGAATAGATTTTGTAAGTGGGAACAAGGAAACAATAATTTTTAAAAAATTTTTTCAGAATGCATCATTGGAACAGAGGAAACAATAATTTTAAAAAGTAGATTGGTTAACACAAGCTTACTACAGGTCACTTCTTATAAGGGTTAAAGCAGAGGGGACTTCCTTATTATGCTGACTCAGGCAAACTTGGCTTTTTCTGGTTGCTGTGAATCTCTTGTTTTCAGGAGAACGCTAGTCCATTTGGGGATTTACCTGCTTCAGCTAACATAAATGACTCCATTTTGGTTTGGTCTGGTCTGCTGGAGCCTAGTGCAGGAGACTAGTCCAAAACAATGCCTTCCTATAAACTTTGTTTAACACTTGATTGAAAAGGAATTGAATTCTCTAAACCTCCAAAAGATTCCAAATGGTTGCTGTTTGACCTTGTGGTGTACAACATGGTTGGGTCTTGAAAATATTATACTATGTGAAAAAATCCTGACATGAGACAATGTATCATATGGTTCTACGTATATAAGATACCCAGAATAGGGAACTTCACAAAGACAGAAAATAGATAAGTGGTTGGGGGTTCAGGGGAGGAGAGAATGGAAACTGGCTGCTAATAGGTACAGGGTTTCTCTTTGGAGATGTCTTAGTTTGGGCTGTGTATTAGTCCATTCTCACACTGCTATAAAGAACTGCCCAGCAGTAATTATAATTTATTAGGAAATAAGTTCAATTAACTCACAGTTCCACAGGGTTGGAGAGGCCTTAGGAAACTCACAATCACGGCGGAAGGGGAAGCAAACACGTCCTTCTTCACGTGGTGGAAGGAAGGAGCAATGCTGAGCAAAGGGGGAGAAGCCTGTTATAAAACAATCATATCTCATGAGAACTCATTCATTATCATGAGAACAGCATAGGGGTAACTGCCCCCATGATTCAATTACCTCCTACCCAGTCATTCCCCTGACACATGGGAATTATGGGAACTGCGGTTCAAGATGAGATTTGGGTGGGACACAACCAAACCATATTGGGCTGTGATATGGTTTGGATGTTGTGCCCAAATCTCATGTTGAATTGTAGTCCCCAGTGTTGGAGGTGGGGTCTGGTGGGAGGTGTTTGGATCATAAGGGTGGATCCCTCATGAATGGCTTGGGGCCATCCCCTTGGTGATAAGTGAGCTCTCTCTCTGAGTTCACATGAGATCTAGTCATTTAAAAATGTGTGCCACCTGCCCCCTCAACTCTCTCTTACTTGCTCCTGCTTTCGCCATGTGATGTGCCTGTTCCCCCGTTGCCTTCTGTCATAATTGTAAGCTTCCTGGGGCCTTTCTGGAAGCCAGGCAGATGCCAGCACCATGCTTCCTGTAGAAGCTTTCTTCCTTGCAGAACCATGAGCCAATTAAACCTCTTTTCTTTAAAAATTACCCAGGCTCAGGTACTTCTTTATAGCAATGCAAGAATGGCCTAATATAGGTCTGCTATAACAAATTAACATATACTGGGTGCCTTAAACAACAAACATTTATTTCTCACAGTTCTAGAGGCTGGGAAGTCCAAGATCAAGGAGCTGGTGGATCTTGTGTCTGGTGAAAGCCCACTTGCTGGTTTGCAGATGCTGTCTTCTCATTGTATCCTCATATACTAGAGAGCAGAGGGCTCTTGTGTCTCTTCCTTGTAAGAGCACTAATCTCATTCATGAGGCCTCCACCCTCATGACTTAGTCACCTCCCAAAGGCACCTCCTGATACTATCACATTGGGGGTTAGGATTTCAACATATGAATTTTGGAGGGACACAAATATTTAGTCTATAGCAGGAGTGATGGGAATGTTCTGGAATTATATAGAAGTAATGGTTATATGACATGAAAAATGGACAAAAAATCAGCAAATCAAATTTTAAAATGGTGGATTTTGTTATGTGGATTATATCTCAACTTAAAACATTTAAAATTACTATTACCAGTACAACACATATTTATTGAATGTTTAGTAGCCTGTGAGGTGCTCTGCTGGGTCCAGGTTCTAGAATCTAGAGTAGTGGTTCTCAACTTTGGCTGCATATTAAAATCACGTGGGAGCTTTTAAGAATCCTGATGCCCAGGCCACACCCCAGACCAATTAAATCAGAATCTCTGGGGTGGGATCCAGGCCACAGTGGTTTTTAAAGCTCCCTAGGTAATTCCAGGATGCAGCCAAGGTTAAGCGCCACCAGCCTAGAGCATCATGCCTTCTTAACAGGTTGGGGTCACTTGAGAAGTGACTGCTCTTTCTCCCTGTCTACTTTTATCCAAGAACAGCAATCCGCAAAGACAACTGCATGCCCTCAAGAACAGACTCCCCTTCCAAGTCGAAATGGCTCCTTAATTTCTCCTGTTTAACTGATACTTTCATTTTTGTGGGTGACTCAGAAATGTTCAGTAGTTTAGCTTTACAGTTTTTTTTCTCCTTTTGGATTAGGTTGATTCAACTGTGGGCAGAGATTCATTCATTCCACTTTGGAACAAAAGTCAGATTCTGTCCAAATATGTTGGCACCTCTGCTCTGAAAAACCTGAATTTTATCATTTGTAAATTTCTGAGTGAAAAATTAAGATACAACATACATGTGAGGGCTTTTACACACGTCTGTGCTCTCTCTTCTGCATTGATCATCCAACTTTAGCAGTTCATTTAACTGTCTTTAATTTTGGCCTCCCAGCTTTGGTGTTCTAAATCCTCCATTGTTAGCAGCTCACCAAGTTGCTTTGCTGTCACATTGACTCTGTTTGATAAATCTATCTGGGATTTTGTCCAAAACCACAGCAGTCCGAATTAAATCTACCAACCAAAGTAGAACATGTTTTCATTCATCCCCAGAAGCTGGAGCCAATTTGTGAAGAAGATGGAAATGGGCAAAGAAATAGAAATGGGAGATTTTAAACAGCCATAAAGAGTAGTAACAGCGGATGGGCACAGTGGCTCATGCTTGTAATCTCAGCACTTTGGGAGGCCATGGTGGGTGGATCACATGAGGTCAGGAGTTCAAGACCAGCCCGACTAACGTGGTTAAACCCCATCTCTACTAAATACAAAAAATTAGCCAGGCATGGTGGCACATGCCTTTAATCCCAGCCACTTGGGAGGCTGAGACAGGAGAATCACTTTAACCCAGGAGGTGGAGGTTGCAGTGAGCCAAGATCACACCACTGCACTCTAGCCTGGGCAACACAGAGAGACTCTGTCTCAAAAAACAAAACAAAACAAAAAGGCAACAGCTACTTCAGGTTATAGAAGGGCCAAGCATGCAGGGTTTTAGCTAGTTAGTGACCCACCCTTGGCTCCCTTGGTTGGAGGCAAAGGGGGTGAATACAAAGGATCAGTTTTGGTGCTGCTCATGGCGACTGCAAGGAGAGGAAACTCTAGAAGAAAGACAGAGAAAAGACTGGTGGCCACAAGAAATGTCTGGCAAGTACGTAAGAACACAAAAAACTATAGAGGCCTGTGGAGTGGAAGAAATTCAGACAAGAAAGGGTGGGGAAGTAACAAGCATGTGCTTTTAGATCTGTCTTTTGATAGCAATGGAATCTAGCCATCTATCTGGAATGACAGTACAATGCACAAATCTTAAGAGTATAGCTCAATGAATTTTTACACAAATACACCTCTGAGGCCACCAGCCAAATCAAGATTTATCAATAGAATATTTCCATCTTCCCAGAAAATTCTCTCATACCCTGTCCAGTTCAAAAGCCCCCTCCCCTCACCTATAAGTAGCTCTTATTCTTATTTATCACCACGGGTTAGCTTTGCCTGTTCTTGAAGTTCATATGAATGGAATAATACAGCATATACTCATTTGCAGATGGCTCTTCTTGCATAACATGTTTTTGAGATCCATCTATATTGCTAAATGTATCAATTATTTTCTAAATTATTGCCATATAGTATTGTATAAATATGTCATAACATTTATCCATTCTCCTGTTACTGGACAAACCCAGAAGGGTTGTTCTGAGTTTGCAGCAATTATGAATGAACTGCTATGAATATTGGTGTCCATGCCTTCTTGTGGATGTACACATTCAACTTTTCTTGGGTATATAGCTAGGCGTGGAATTGCCCAGTCATGGAATGGGTACATATTTAACTTTAGTAGATATTGTCGAACACCGTTTTCCCAAAGAAATTGTATCATTTTACACTTTCACCAACAATGAAAATTCTAGTGGTCATTTGTGAGATGAAAAGAAAGTCAGCAGCTACGTTAACCTTGGCCAAGTCCTGGCAGCACGAAATTTGCAAGGACCTGTGAGATATGGAGCCAGTAATGCTTTGCAGCTGACAGATGAAAGACAAACAATAAAAACAGAGGTGAGAGGGGAAGCCTGTAACTGTCTTACCCCCACCAGTGCCAGCAGGAAGGAAATCCTAAGCTATTTTTAGGCAGTTTCCTAGCATGGACATTAGCTAGTTAAAAGGGAAGGGGATGGAATGGGAGATGCTAAAATTGTTTTCAATTAACTTACTGAAAAACAAACATAGGCAAGGTAGGCAGCAATGCTTCTCATATTTCATTGGGCATCAGAATGTTTGGGGAGCTGGTTAAAAATATAGATTCCCAAGCCCTACCTGCAGAGGTTCTAATTTAATAATTCTAGTGGTAGGAAAAAAATTTGATTTGTATTTTTAACTTTTTTTGTTTGTTTGTTTTGAGACAGGGTCTCACTCTGTCACCCAGGCTGGAGTGCAGTGGCATGATCCATAGCTCACTGTAACCTCGAACTCCTGAGCTCAAGCAATCCTCCCACCTCAGCCTCCTAAATAGCTGGGACTACAGGTGCATGCCACCATGCTTGGCTAATTAAAAATTTTTTTTTGTAGAGACAGGGTCTCGCCATGTCGCCCAGGCTGATCTTAAGCTCTTGGCCTCAAGAAATCCTCCCACCTGGGTCCCCCAAAGTGCTGGGATGACAGATGTGAGGCACTGCATCTGGACTACCCGACTCATCTTTAGATGGCTCTGGAAGTCCTGGAAGAGGGCGTGGCCGCCAAACTGGTTTTGCGTCTTGGAGAGACACTGGGCACCCTAGTGCTTCTTCTCCACCAATTTGTGGAAGAAGTAGGCCAGGTGCTGTGGCTTATGACTACAACCCCAGCACTTTGGGAGGGTGAAGCAGTAAGATCACTTGAGCCCAGGGGTTCGAGACCAGCCTGGGCAAGACTCACTCTCTACAAAAATAAAACAAAAAGTTATCTGGGTGTGGTGGTGCACACCGGTTGTCTGAGGTACTCGAGAGGCTGAGTCGGGAGGATCACTTAAGCCCAGGAGGTCAAAGCTAAAGTAAGCATGATTGTCCCACTGCCACTGCACTCCAGCCTGGGTGACTGAGGGACACCCTTCCCTCCAACCAAAAAAAAAAGTGGCCCACGCCTTCCAGAGCCACATCATCATGGTTGAAATAGAAGCCCAGAGAGAAGTAATTGTAGGAAGCCCACAGATGGAGTTGATGGCTGCCTCCACATATGTCGAATAATTCTGCTAAATCTGGGAACTCATGGTTGGTCGGTCAGCAATAGGGAGCTAACCACAAAAATGGTGTGGCTGGTCCTAACACAGTCAGGTGGGAAGGGTTACCAGAAAAACTCCAACTAGCCTGTGCGCTAGGGTGGAGCCTTGAGAAGTTCACGCAGTTTGCAGCACGGAAGAGCCTGGCCCCTCCTCTTCCTGTGTGGAACCTGGGATTCAAACTGCGAGGCAGGAAGAGCACCAAGAGGAACTGCGGCCTTTCGGAGAGTCCCTGTTCCCCTCTTTTTTCCTTTTCACCCAATAAAGCTCTGCTTTACTCACCCTTCAAACCGTCTTCAAGCCTAAACTCTCGTGGCTGTGGGACAATGACTCCATCTTTAGCTGAACTAAGGAAAAGTCCTGCAACAGCCCCAGAAGCAGGAGATGGTGGAGAAGGTGATTCTGGAGGTTGCAGGTGGAGAGGAGATGGGAGGGCAGTCAGAGGCTAGAAGAAAGGGAGTCCCAGGTCCGTTTTATCCAAACATCGTTGAAGCAAGAGACAGATCCACAGACCAACAAACGCGCTAACAAGTGTCCTCTTAAGCACACGAAAATTGGGGAAAAATTTCCACCATCCACTTTGTCCCCTGGAGTTCTTAGTCCCACTTACAAGTTAAAAAGCGAGATGCAGGCCGGGCACGGTGGCTCATGCTTGTAATCCCAGCACTTTGGGAGGCTGAGGCGGGCAGATCAGCTGAGGTCAGGAGTTCAAGACCAGCCTGCCAACATGGTGAAACCCTGTCTCTACTAAAAATACAAAAATTAGCCCGCGTGGTGGTGGGCGCCTGTAATCCCAGCTACTCGGGAAGCTCAGGCAGGAGAATCACTTGAATCAGGGAGGCGAAGGTTGCCGTGAGCCAAGGTCTCACCATTGCACTCCAGCCTGGGCAACAAGAGTGAAACTCTGTCTCAAAATAAATAAATAAATAAATAAATAAATAAATAAATAAATAAATAATGAGATGCAGCGTTTTTCCTACCTTCCTTTTTGCCAAAAAGGACAATCACAATAGATAATTCTCAGCCCTTCTTTTTAAGGGATTTATGGTCAATGAGAAATAAAAATAAAATCCTAAGCCTCCCAAATGACTGAACGGACTATTTCTTGGCCAACGGGACTCCAGTGAAACCTTGGAAGCTGCATTCTCAGCCAAGACTGAATGGGGAGGTCGGACACACCTCATTAGAGCACAGATTGGTTCTGTCCAGTCTATGGAGAATGCGCGGTGAGGATTTCCATGACCTTTCCCCCACTTTTTGACTTCAGAGGACTGAAAATTCCATTCTTGGGCCGGGTGCGGTGGCTGACGCCTGTAATCCCAGCACTTTGGGAGCCCCAGGCCGGTGGATGGCTTGAGGTCAGGAGATCAAGACCAGCCTGGCCAACATGGCGAAACCCCATCTCTACTAAAAATACAAAAATTGGCCAGGCATGGTAGTGCGTGCCTGTAATCTCATCTACTCGGGAGGCTGAGGCAGGAGAATGGCGTGAACCCGGGAGGCGGAGCTTGCAGTGAGCCGAGATTGCGCCACTGCAGTCCGCAGTCCGGCCTGGGCGACAGAGCGAGACTCCGTCTCAAAAAAAAAAAAAAAAAAAAAAAAAAAAAGAATCGCTTGAACCTGGGAGGCGGAGGTTGCAGTGAACCGAGATCGCGCCATTGCAATATAGCCTGGGTGACAAAGCCAGACTCCTTCTCAAACAAACAAACAAGCAAACACTCCATTCTTGTATCAATGCTAACACCACCGTTTTGGGAACGTGGTTCCCATGGAGAGGCATGACGCTCAGTTGCACATGCACATGTTCCTCCTCTCATAATTATTCATCACTCCTCCTATACCTCATTGAATATGTATATTTGGCCACCCTGCTCACCATACATTCCTGTCTTATTCTTTCCACCGTTGAAGTGTCTGTTTCCGGGCCCTGGCTGGATGCTATGCCTCCCGGCTCATAAGAATGGCCACCCTACAGGATGCAAACTTGTAAGAGAAATAAAACTCTCCTTTCTGAATTATGAACTTCACCATTCTTCTGTTGACATTTGTTTCTATGTTGAGCAATGAAGTGATATCAAAAATTACTAATATAGTGTAAGGGAGAAAACACAATTTCTTTTTTTTTTCTTTTCTTTTTTTTTTTCTTCCATTTTTAGGTTCTTAGTTGAGACACTCTCCTAAAAACAAAAGTCAGATTAAAAAGAGGAAAACAAGCAGAAGTTCATTAGTGGATGCTGCGCCCACCATGCAAGACAGGCCTCAGTTTAAAAGTATTACTCAAGCTAGCTTGGGGCCTAGATTAAATACTATATTAACAAAGAGCCATAAATCCTACACAGTGACAAGACAAAGGAAAGAGTGGCTCCAGTCTTTTAAAAGGCAGGAAAATGTGGGAAGATCATAAAATCTGTTCCCCGAGTCCTCTGGTGCCCGCTGATGCCCTCTCTGGACCCATAAGCAAGTGCTGTCCCCAGTAAGGAAGGAAGAGTTTGCCACCAGGCAAATGGAGGCTGGGGCAGAGTGTTCCTCTGTGTTTTCAGTGTCTTTGACTTAACTCCTCAAAATTTTGGGGAGAAATATTTTAGGTTTTTTAAATGGCATTACAAAGTTCAAGCTATTTTGGCATTTAGTAGATACTCGCTACAAGTTGGGAGAATTACGTTTATTTCATTTTTTAAAAGTGTCTTAAGTGCCTATTATGTGACAGACACTGTGCTAGGTAGGGCAAGAAAGCATGGTGAACAAGACAGAGATTTCTACTTTCAGTAAGTTTTTATTCTGAGGAACTGTATTCGTTAGAGTTGGATAACGACCATAACAAAAACACATAAATACTCAATTCTCAGTGGCTTAGCACAATAAAAAATGCATTCTTCACCAAGTTCATCTTAGAATAGTGTGGATTGCTGAGAAGACAGGTATTCTGTTCCATGCAGTCCTTCAGGATCCCAGCCTCCTTCCATATTTTTTTATGTCCACAAAGTCTTCTCCATTAAGCCAGCAGATTAAGAAAGAGAAAGCCAGGAGATTGCACAGGTAGTTTTTATGGCCAAGCTTGAAAGTGGTATACACTACTTTACTCACATTCCATTGACCAGACTCAGTCACATGGCCACACCTAACTGCAAAGGGGATTGAGAAAGGTAGCACACAAGAAAAGAAAACATGATTTGGTGAACATGTAACAGCCTGTACTGCAGGAAACAGAATAAATAAGTGGATATAATCCAGTGTGGTAACTGCTGTAACATGGGGAGGTAGAGTGCCTGATAACATAGAAGAAGGATACCCAACCCAGATGGGGTTTAGGCAGGGAGAATATCTGTACGAACTGATGTCTAAGCTGGAGCAGAAAAAAAAAGTCCATTTCTCTTTAGAATAGTGTAACTTGTTCACTAATGAGATACCCCTTGCATGAACAATTTGTTTAAATCCAAAAACACTTTTTTACAAGGTAACCATTAGAAAACAATAAGCCCTTTTAATGGGTTGCTCTGGTTCCCTGCTTTAAGAAATAGCATAATGTGGCATACACTATTGACTGTCCAATAGCCGTTCCTTCCTTCTTCCTTGATAAGAAAATGCCAGTTTTCTTCAGCCATTAGTCAACAATGTGTTCTAGGAAAATGGGCTCTAGGAAATGGGCTATAATTGGTCTAAGCCAACCATGGTAATCCAATCCACCTTTCATTCATTCAACAAATATTTAATAAGCTCCTGCTATGTGCCAGTCTGTTCCAAGTGCTGATTGTCTTTACCAATTATAGGCATGGAGTGGGCATGTGGCCCAACTCCAGACACTGAGAGGTAAGGGAAGACTGCTAAGGAGCTTCTGGGAAAAGGCTTTTCCTCTGTGATAAAATAAAATGAGAGATGCCTGAAAATAAAGCCAGGACCTTTCCTGTGTTTGGATGATGTCATGTAGGATGTGATGCTTGGAACTGGAGCAATCATCTTGGGACCATGAGGAGAAAGAGAAGAGAATCCCAGAAAGGATGATTGAGAGCTCTGGCCTAGTCAGGCTGTTGAATTAACTGAACCTGGAATGACCTACAGAAAAACAAAAAACCTGATATGCCACTTTCAGTTGAGTATTCAGTCACTTGTAGCAAAAAGTATCTTAACAAGTATGCATGATTTTGAATTTTGTTTTCATTGTTTGTTGTGGATTAGAATGGGTGAATTTTCTTTTTTTTTTCTTTCTTTCCTTCTTTCTTTCTTTCTTTCTTTCTTTCTTTCTTTCTTTCTCTTTTCTTTCTTTCTCTCTTTCTTGCTCTGTCTTTCTTTCTTTCCTTTGTTTTCTTTTTTTGAGGTGGGGTCTCACTCAGTCACCCAGGTTAGAGTGTAGTGGCACGAGCTCGACTCACTGCAACATCTGCCCCCTGGGCTCAAGTGATCTTCCCACCTTAGCCTCCCAAGTAGCTGAGACCACAGGTGTGCACTGCCACACCCAGCTAAATTTTTTTTTTTTTTGCATTTTTGGTAGAGATGGGGTTTCTCCCTGTTTCCCAGGCTGGTCTCCAACCCCTGAGCTCTGGATATCCATCTGCCTCAGCCTCCCAAAGTGCTGGGATTATAGGCATGAGCCACCATACCCAGCCTTGGTGAATATTTCAATAAATGGATGAAGAATCTGACTTTTTCATTTTCTTCCTAGCTGTGTTGTTGATCCTACAGGAATTTCTGTCCTAGGCATCTTTGTGGACAACAATCATATTCCATTATCTTGTTGGCGGCCCCTTTGGCCACTGCAGATTCCCTGTTGGAAGCTGATGTGTTTGGAGCAAAGTCGCATTCTCTATTCTGGATGAGGTTATCTTTCTCTAGGTCCCCTACCTGTGGCCCCTCAGGGAGGACTTCCAAATGAGGCTGTTTGTTTGTTTGCTTTTAATGTAGAAGAGGCGTCTCCTCATTTGAAGAGTCAGCTTTCTTTCTGTGAACCTCGTCAGCCTCCCTCTCTCCTCTCTCTCTTTCCTCCTCTTTTGTTTTTTTGTTTTTTTTCCCCCACCATGCAATGAGTTGGGCTGTGAGCTATACTTTGTGGCTGGTGAGATTTTTGGAGGCCTCCCCGAACCTTGTGTCCCCTCTCGAACCTCATCTTGAGTTGTAATCCCCAGGTGTTGAGGGAGGAATTAGGTGGGAAGTGATTGGACCATGGAATTGGTTTCCCCCATGCTGTTCTCATGATAGTGAGTGAGTTCTCATGAATCTGATGGTTTGGTAAGGCAGTTTTCCCTGCTCTTGCTAGCTCTGTCTTATCTGCCGCAATGTAAAGAACGTCTTTGCTTCCCCTTTGCCTTCCGCCATGACTGTAAGTTTCCTGAGGCCTCCTTAGCCATGTGGAATTGTGAGTCAATTAAACCTCTTTTCCTTATAAATTACCCAGTCTCAGGTAGTACCTTTGTAGCAGTGTGAGAATGGACTAATACACTTGTTCAAAACAGAAACCTGGCAAACTTCATGCCCTAATTTAGAACTTTCTGCCTGAACTCAGTGGAAGCCCAGCTGAGGAATTAATTGGTATGTCAATAATACTTGAACTGAATATTGAAAATATTTTGGAATAAGCTTTAATTTTGGAATAAGTAGGTCAAATAGCTTTTTACTGGAATGATTTGGCCTAGATTCACAGATATTTTGGATGCCACTGCTTCTCACTATCTTGATGATGACAACAAAGGGGATATCTTTTCTATGCACTGTGAGACTTGGGTGCTAGTGCATGTTCGCTCTGCTTATAATCTAAAAGATCATCCTTTGGGACTTACATGTCTTTCCATTTCTTATGTTATTGGCTGTTTTGACTAGTAGCTATCATTTGAGGAAGAAGGATTGGATAGGTCAGGATATTGACAGAAAATAGATGGCAGAGGTAATTGAAGGCAGTTTAATGAAGGAACTCTACAAAGGTATGAAGAATATTAAGGGACACCAACAAGGGATAGTGAAGCATTGGGGCTAACAACAGTTACCACCTCTAGGCTTGGGTCAAAGGGAGGGTCAAGGGGAAGAAGATGTTACCAAAAGCTGGAGAGACCTGTAGCTGTGTAGAGGGCCCTCCTGATAGAGGCCATTGTCTTGAGAAGAAGAACGTAGTCACTGCTAAACTGCAAGTCTAGAAGCCCAGAGCTGCAGCAGATTTGAGGGAGTTGGAAATAAACCACTGCTTTGAAAACACTAAGACTGGAGGTTTTTTGTTAGTGCAGTTAAACCTAGTATTTCCTGAATAATGCAGAGACTCAGGCTCTTTCTGCATGGTTGTCCTCCAACCCTAAGGTGTTGCTGTCACCCATGCAGCTTCGACAGTAAGATGGCTCATTACTATGCTTGCATTCTAGGAAGTGGGAAGGAGAAACAAGAAAGCATACTTATTCCTTTTAGAGGCATGACCCTGAAGTGCACATATTACTTTCTTGGCCACACGTAATGTTCTAGTTATCTATTGCTGCATAACGAATTATCCCAAAGCTTAGCAGATTAAAACAACAAACATTTATGATATCAAATAATTTCAGGAGCAGCTTAGCTGAGTGGTAGTGGCTAAGGCGCTGCAGTTATCTGAAGGCTCAACAGGGTCTGGAGGATGTACTTCTAAGCTTACTTACTTGGTTGTTGGCAGAGCTCACCTCCTCACTGGCTGTTGTCAGGAGGCCTCTGTTCTTTGCCACATGAGCTTCTCAACATGTAGAGCTGCTCAACATGCTTCTCCCAGAGCAAGTAATCCCAGGGGGAAGAGAGAGAGAGAGAGAGAGAGAGAGAGAGATAGAGAGAAAGCTTAGTGTCCTTTAGAACCTAATCTCAGAAGTGACCTAGAAGTATTTCTGCT
Organism: Homo sapiens; assembly: GCF_000001405.40. Taxonomy (NCBI): domain Eukaryota; kingdom Metazoa; phylum Chordata; class Mammalia; order Primates; family Hominidae; genus Homo; species Homo sapiens. The sequence goes on from NC_000004.12 coordinate 56,641,039, forward strand.
TAATTGTGTTAGTCAATTCTGTGGCACAATGTACCAATTCTGTGGCACAATGTGGGCAGGGACTATGCAGAGGTGTGAATACCAGGAGGCAGAGATTGTTGGAGGCATCTTGGGGGCTGGCTAAAAACCTGACTATAAAGTAAGTGAGAAAACGTAGACTTTAGACACGCAGCCATCTCCCAGATAAAACTACTGAAAGAAGGGAAAAAGAGCTAGGGGACAATCAGAATTCTCTCCCTTAACCTGCCCTTCTAGCTACATAAATACACATATGTAGTCTCCTTTTCATACATGAATACATGAAATGAAACTATTTCTCTAGATTACAGTTCCTGTGCCCCTGAGGATTCTTCCTCTTAGGGTCACTATCCCAGGACACTTGACTTCTTCACTCCCAGAGAATGCCAAGTTTCTATCTAAAGAGCTTTTTTTTTTTTTTTTTTTTTTTTTTTTTTTACAGGAGTGGGAAGAGAGAGCTTCTATCTGGAAGAAGAAAGAAAGAAGAAAGAAACGCCTTCTGCATTACTAATCTGGAATGCTAGGGCTGATTCATATGAACCATGAGTCAGTTTGTCATTGCATTTAGTAGTTGGATGAGTTATATAAGTTGAGATTCAAATAAACGTTTCTTATGTTTTTCTAAGTTTAGTTGGCAGACTCTTCTAAGAAGCCACATTGATATTTGTTTACAGGAGCACATTCCTCATGCAGCAGCACTCACTATCTGTAATGATACAATTGTCTTGGTGAAGGTAAAGGAGAGGGTCTCTAGGAACCTTTGCTCCTCTGTTTCTATAATTGTTTCTATAGAGCTCACCAGGCTCATAATGCCAGGTTTCATAAAACCAAAAATCTTATCTCCTGCCTTGCCAATATAAGCTGTGGCTGATGTCCCGGATCCTTGCCTGACTTGTGTCCACTTCACTACCTCTTAGCACGTCCATCATGGGAAAAGAATGTGAAATTTCAAATTATTTGTATTATTACCACAATTGTTATTAGTCACTCTGACATTGAGTTGAGACAAGGATACATTTGAACAGTTGATATGAGGTTTTTTTTTTTTTTTTTTTTTTTTTTTGAGACGGAGTCTCGCTCTGTGGCCCAGGCTGGAGTGCAGTGGCGCAATCTCGGCTCACTGCAAGCTCCGCCTTCCGGGTTCACGCCATTCTCCTGCCTTAGCCTCCCGAGTAGCTGGGACTACAGGCGCCCACCATCACGCCTGGCTATTTTTTTTTGTATTTTTAGTAGAGACGGGGTTTCACCGTGTTAGCCAGGATGGTCTCGATCTCCTGACCTCGTGATCCGCCCGCCTTGGCCTCCCAATATGAGGTTTTTAAAGGACCTTTCAGTGGACAATAGAAGATGTGGAACAAAGTTTACACATGAGGACCAGAGTTGAGAGAGAGTAGCAAAAAGTCTCCAAGAAGGTAACAGGCCAGGTGCAGTGGCTCACACCTGTAATCCCAGCACACTGGGAGATGAGGCAGAAAGATTACTTGAGCCCAGAAGTTCGTGACCAGCTTGGGCTGTCAAGAAAGAAAAAAAATAGCCACGTGTGGTGGCAGGTGCCTGTAATCCCAGCTACTCTGAAGGCTAAGGCAGGAGGATCCCTTGATCCAGGGAGATCAAGGCTGCAGTGAGCTATGATTGCACCACCATATTCTATGTAGCCTGGGTGACAAAGCAAGATTATGTCTCTATTTGTTTTTTAATTTTAAATTTTGAAATAGAGATGAGGTCTCACTATTGCCCAGGCTGGTCTCAAAGTCCTGGGCTCAAGCGATCTGCCCACCTCAGCCTCCCACAGTTCTGGGATTACAGGTGTGAACCACCATGCCCAGCTGAGACCTTTTCTCTTAAAAAAAAAAAAAAAAAGAGGGTAACTTATCTGCCATACATTTGTATATAGTTTTAAAAATTATGTAACCCCTTGAGGTCCATAAATTCTCCACTTGTCAGGGGTTATCTTTTCTTTTAGTATGTAAAAATAATTTTTCTCAAGTTCCCATTGGCTGAGAAAAATCTAGTGCTACTTCTGGTTACCTCTTACTATGAATCTCTGGTTCCCCTATATTCTTAATTACACTAGGGGCTGAGATTCCTCCCTCCATGCACTTCTCTCTTCCTTTATTTGCTCTCCCATTAGTAAGGGCTCTTTTTTATTACAAATGACAGATACACTGAGAAAGGGATTCACTAGTTCACAGAGCCAGGAAGGCTGGGGTAGCCCAGGGAAGAGTGGGAACCAAGGCCTCAGGACTTTCTCATTCCCATCTGCCTGGCTTCATTCCCTCCCTTTACAGAATGGCTTTCTCCATGAGTCCGAGTCAAAGGCTACCTGCAGCCCCAGCCCTCCATCTTCACAACTCTCCATGAAAGGTGACAATGTAGAACCATCTCTCCAGGTCCAATTGCAACAATTCTGGCAAAGGACTTTGGCCCAGCCTAGGCAACATAGTGAGATCCCATCTCAAGAAAAAAAAAAAATTAGCCAGGTATGGTGGTGCATGCCTGTAGCCCAAGCTACTAGAGAAGTTAAGGTAGGAGGATCCCTTGAACCTGGGAGGTCGAGAGCCCATACTTGGTTCAGTTCATGTATGCCAAGGGTTATGACGCTGTCATTGGCCAGCCTGGGTCTAACTGTCATGGGGGGAGAAATCTGGGGAACTGTGATTAACGGCTCTATCAGGACCACATGAAGTAGAAGTAGTTCCCCAAATGTGAAGGTGCTATTACCAGAAAAGAGGCAGACAGAAGCCAGCACTTTCACTGTCTACGGCCTCCTGCAAGCGCGGCTCAAGCAGATCCTTCCCCAATCCCTAAAGCATCACCAGTACAAGGCCATTTTGTGAGACAGAGCTGTTGGGAAGGTTGAAGACAGCAAAAAACAATTACAGCATAGTGACAGCAAGCCCAGCACTGTATAGATAGTCATTGAAAATAGAACATTTGATATTTTAAAGTTCCTAAGCCCAGTCCACCAGCCTCTCACTGGTGCCTTCTGGGTCAGCTGACATTGTGCCTGCCGTCCCTTACCAAATCGTTCTCCTCCACCTCTCCATTCTCCAAGTGCCCATGGATCCTAAACGTCATCCTACCTGAATCTCCGTGGGACAAATGGTATTTTATTGTGCACAGCCACTGAGTTCTTTTTTCCTCGTCTTCTAGACCTATATTTCACAGCCCCCAAAACTATTAAGATGTTTTCCTAGGCCGGGTGTGGTGGCTTATGCCTATAATCCCAGCACTTTGGGAGACTGAGGCGGGCAGGCCACCTGAGGTCAGGAGTTCCAGATCAGCCTGGCCAACATGGTAAACGCCTGTCTCTATTAAAAATACAAAAATTGGCTGGGTGTGGTGGCATGCGCCTATAATCCCAGCTACTGGGGAGGCTGAGGCAGGAGAATCGCATGAACTCGGGAGGCAAAGGTTGCAGTGAGCCGAGATTTGAGCCATTGCACTCCAGTCTGGGCAATAAGAGCAAAACTTCATCTCAAATAAAAAAAAAAAATATGTTTTCCTGAACAAGACAGCCAATTTTTTCCTTAGGAAGCATCCTTCCATCCTCTCAGAACAATGGTTCAATCTGCTGCTAGCTTCTGAATTAAGTTCTTCTCCCTGTTGCATGTGTATTTATGCATAGAAAACATGCCTTCCCCCAATATGATATAGCATAATATTAAGGTTAGTAAGACGTTACCTCTGTGTGGTGGGATCATGGGTAATTTTTTACAGTGTTTTAAACATTTATTAGTTTCATTAGGCAGGGGTTTCCCTCTCCCTAATTTTTGGAGCCCGATCATGTGTAATTTTTATGAGTTTTGTTGGTTTTATCATTTCTTTCTTTTCTTTTTTTGCTTATTTCTATTTCTACAATGAACAACTGAAAATGGTACAAGGCAAGAAAGGAGTGAAGAACAGAACCTGCTGCTTAAGTCCCTTTTATCAAGAAATGCAAAAGCCTTCCCCAAAGGCTTTTTGACCTCCCGCCTTTGACCTGATCCTTGTTGGATAGACTGTGTCATGTGACCACACAGCCTCAAGGGAGAATGGAAAAGAGAGGATTTAATGTTTCCAGCCCTTACAGTCTCATGAAAGAAGTGTGACAACAGAGAAGGGGCTTGGGTATGATGATGGGTCCAGCTAACCTACAGTGTCTGCAACTGCACACCTAGGATACAAGGTGGAGACAGAGGGCACTGTGCAGTTTTTCTGAGTCTAGGGTGGGCATTATTGTTTTGGTGTATGACCCTGGGTGTCCAAAAGAGACTCCTGACAATAAAACTTAGAGTTCTGCGTTCTTGTGAAGACTTATCTCAGGCATCAAAGTAAACCTTGCCCTGTCTGTTAGTACTTTGTAGCAGTAGCAATTATTATGACTATTTACAAAGTGCTTTTTAAAAATTTAGTAGAATGTTGCTATCCCTGTTTCACAGTTGAAAAAGCAAACTCAAGGAGATTAGTACTGGTAACATACTTGCATTTAAAAGGACACTGAACCCTCATTCCCTCCCATCACATGCCATTCAAGGACTCTAGACTATTGGGCAGAGGAAGTGATTCTTTTACCATAAATGGGGCTTCTGGGCCCAAGTTAAAGGCACACTCTCTGCCCAGCTGGTTTTGTCCTGGATTGTTCTTTTTTTTTTTTTTTTTTTTTTTAACAGGGTCTCAATCTGTCATCCAGGCTGGAGTGCAGCAGCATGATCTCAGCTCACTGCAGCCTCTGCCTCCCAGGCTCAAGCAATCCTCCCACCTCAGCCTCACATGTGGTTGGACTACAGGTGCATGCCACCAGTCTCCACTAATTTTTGTATTTTTAATGGAGACAGGGTTTCACCATGTTGTCCAGGCTGGCCTTGAACTCCTGGGCTCAAGTGATCTGCCTGCCTCAGCCTCCCAAAGTGCTAGGATTACAAGTGTGAGCCACCGTGCCTGGCTGTTGCTCTGGATTGTTCTTGAATCATCTCTCTAGTGTGTTGGAAAGACTTCTGACCTGGATCTTAGACCTGGTTTAGTATTCCTCTCATTGCCTGACATGGACCAATCACCATACTCAGTCTGCTTTGTCCACAATTTAGATCCCCACTACTTAGGTTGCAGGAGAGGATGCTAGATATGAGTCTGTTTTGCTCAGACCCTGGTGCACTGTGTATTTGTTGTCAGAAGAAAAGTTTTAAGATACAGGAAGAGGAAGCTTGCCCAGGGATGTTTAATAGGATCTTGTAAACATCTGTATTCTAAATAAATAATTGTTAGTGTTTCCACTTTTGGTTTCTTAATTTTAGAGAACCAGAAAGACTGTTCCTGAACTAGAGGTAAGAGTTCAGAAGTGTATACCTGTGTCATCCCAGGCTGGATTAGCAGGTGTAGTTATCAGCCTTTCCAATATCCATCTTTCCCTTCTTCCTTACGAACAGAACCCTAATTTTGCTCAAGGCAGCACTATGCTCATTTACAAGTGCCCCAATTCCCAGACTCCCTTGCAGCTAGGAGTGGCCATGTGACTCACTTTGGCCAATGTGATGTAGGTGGAAGTTGTTAGGTGGGGGCTTCCAGGAAATCTTTTTAGAGAGGAAAGTCTTAGCTGGCATTTGCCCTATGCTTTCCCTCCCTCTTTCTCTTCATTTTGTTTGAAAGGCAGATGCAGTGTCCAAGTATCCATGAATACAAAAGCTGTGTACTACAGATAGTAAAATGGGAAGATGGAATGACCCCAGCTCCTTGACAACATTAGGGAGCTACTCTAACAGCCCTGGATTACCTACCTGGTGATGTCTTACTTAAACACAATCAAGAAAACAAAGAAACAGCCAGGCTGGTGGCTCACACCTGTAATCCCAGCACTTGGGGAGGCTGAGGCGGGTGGATCACTTGAGGCCAGGAGTTTGAGACCAGCCTGGCCAACATGGCGAAACATTGTCTGTACTAAAAATACAAAAATTAGCTGGGTGTGTTGGTGCATACCTATAAGCCCAGCTACTCAGGAGGCTAAATCAGGAGAATCGCTTGAACCTGAGAGGCAGAGGTTGCAGTGAACCAAGATCATACCACTGCACTCCAGCCTGGGCAACAGAGTGAGACTCTGTTTCAAAAAAAGAAAAAAGAAAAAGAAAAAGAAAAAGAAAAGAAAACAAAGAAACAAGCCTATTTGCTTAATCCATTGTAATCAAGTCACTCTTCCATGCAATCAAACACAGTCTTAACTGATAGACTATTAAAATGGTGTCTTACTCTGTTTGGCTGCTATAACAAAATATCTTAGATTGGGTAATTTGTAAACAACATAAATTTATTGCTCGCAGTTCTGGAGGCTGGTAACTCCAAGATCAAGGCACCAGCAGACTATGGTGAGCCCTCAATCTGGTGAGGGTCCATTCCTCCCAGGTGCTTCCTATGTATCCTCACATGACAGAATGGCAAACAAGCTTGCTCAGGCCTCTTTTATAAGGCAGTAATCCCATTCATGAGGGTGGAGCCCTCATGACCTGGTCACCTCCCAAAAGCCCCACCTCCTAATATCACCACCTTAGGGATTAAGTTTCAACATATGAATTTTGTTGGGGGCCGGGGTGTGGGCGGGGGGGATGGGACACATTCAGGCCATAGCAGACATCTAGTGTGCTATGATAGTAAATGAATGCAAATTGAGTGTAGAGTTTGTTAGAACAGTGCTGCTCCAACTTCCACGTGCATATAAACCGCTTGAGGGCCTTCTTAAAAATGCAGGTTCTGATTCACTGGGTCTGGAACGGGGTTTGAGATTCTGCATTTCTCACCAGGTTGAAGCTAATGCTGATGAGGCTGGTCCTGGAACACACTTTGAGTAGCAAGGATTTAGAAAATGGCAGCTCTCCTGGTCAGTCAGCTCCTACCACATAGGAGCTATTATTTTGTTTCTCTTTGATATGTTTCTTATTTCGTTAAAAACCTGCAGAGAACTCACTCAGTGCATCTTCAACAAAAAGTTAAGGTTTTATTTAGAATATCATTTTAGAGACAAAAAGCAGTTCACTTTATTTAGCAAAATAAACTTAACCAATGCATTTAAATATAGTAAATTCAAGAACTTTGGTGGTTTTTTTTCTTAGATGCTTGCTTTTTTGCCAGTTGGAGTTTCTGTCTTCTGGCCCAACAGGCTTCTTTCCAAGTTAATGCAGCTATATTCCAAGGAAGTGTTTTATGAAATCTGAATACTCAAACACCCCTTCTGTATTTTCACTCAACCATCATTGTATTAGATGATACATAAGGAAAGTGACTTAGGGAAGTAAGTTCAGAAGGAAATGTGTTCCCTTCTCCCTCATATTATCTTTTCAACAGAGGCCTGGATTGCTAAATGGATTATGAAAGCAAATTGCTACTGGGAGGTGATGGTCAAAAGCAAACTTAGATGGTTTTCACACCATCTGTCATCATGACTCAAAGGGAAATGCTAGCCACACCATTTTTCCAGTGAAGCCACTGCTTTACACAGAAGATACACATAGCTTCCTATTGTTATTTTCTTTTCTAATTATGTACATTTAGAAAAAAAATACAACACTGTGTTAAACAGCAGGACAGCTAGCAATGGAACATACAACACTATGCTGAAAAACCACAACAGCTTGGTTAAGCGGAGGAGAGAAACAGAGATGGCCTTCATGGAGTGAAGCTGTCAATGCCTGCCATCTCCTTAGTCTGTGACGGATCTGCACTCTGAGGGCAGGCCTTCTGAGCGCCGCCACTTTGCCAGGCGCTGCTTAAACCATTTCTGGAAGAGAGAAATGAGAAAAAATATTTGTCACATACAGAAAAACTGAAATGCCTGTTCCCTTTCTAAAAGGTAGCCTCTGTGGCACAAGTGGAAAGGAGAGAATCAAGGAATGTTCCCATAGGGATGGTTCTCACTGTGACACTAAACTTTCCTGCCTCAGGACCTTTGCACATGCTATTTCCTATGTTTAGAATATTCTCTCTTTATTCTTTATCTGATGATCTCCCTGTCATCCTCACATCTCAGCTTAAACAGGACCTTCTCAATGAAGCCTTCCCTGATCACTCTATCTAAAATGGGTTTCCCACTCATCTCCTTACTTCCCAATTTAGTATTTTGTTACTTTCACAGAACTTTTAGCATCTGTCATGATTTACTTGTGTATTCACTTGTTTTAAATCTATATTCCCTTCTAGAATGTAAGATCCATGAAAGCAGAGACTGTATTCATCCTATCACCATTGCATCCTTAGCCACTAGTACAAAGGTTTAAGAGTTAGAAATTAATCAATATTTGCTGAATAAATAAAAGAAGTTAAAGCATCTCCTTAATGCCCCAGATAGATCTCTATGGCTGCTGTATTTCATCAATGTATGCTCAGCTCACCAAAGGCCTTCCTCATTGGTAGCAGTTAGTAAGAATTTGTTGAATAAGATTAATAGGTAACTGAGCGCTGCACAACCTCAGAGCACTCCTTGGGGATGCATGGAGTAGGCCAGCCCAATCTATCCTGCTCCAGGGCCACTGAGCAGTGAGAGAAGCTAAAGTGGGCCTACCACTTTACTCAGAATCTCTCAGCTCCGTATGACTCAAATATTCACACCTTACAGAAGTGACCATGGATGTACAGAAGGCCCCAGATGGGATGTTTCTAGACACGGTATCATATGAGGCCTAGAACATGCCTATATGTTGTAAGGCAGTGTGGTATACCCTTGAGAAATCAGTGGCTGCCTTTATCTTGCTAACCGGGGTGGTACAGAGCTCCCCAAAGAGGAGAACAGGAGAACCATGCTGGGGATAGGGCCAGGGTCTGGACCAGGTTGATCAAGAGGAAACTGGGAATAAAAAACAAAGCAAAACAACTTTGAAGAGAGACTAGTGAGGAAACAGATGAGCAAGCATTGACCTACATTGGAGAGGATGAGGACAGAGCTCTATGGGAAGTCAGCACCTCCCCCAAGCTCTGTTCTCCTGTGCTTCCCAACCATTCACATGTCATGGGGTACATTGAGAAGGACAATATTTGTGTGTCACTGGTGTGTAGGCAGGCTGTGTGGTAGGTGACCACCCAGGGCTCTGCAGCCCTGGGCTCTGCCAACAGGAAGCTCTAGAGTAACTAATTGGCTATGAGAACTTGAGGAAGTCCCTAAAAATAGAGCACCAATCATCTGTAAATAAAAACGTAAGCTTAGGGGGTTTCTACTGTCCCTTCTGGTATTTCTATAATTCACCTGTTCTAGGGGTAAGGGGACGAGGAACAGGAAGGAAGCAGAAAGAGCACAGCTGTGAGATGCCAGATCTGGGATGTGCTGATGGAGATGGGATGGTGAGAAACCTCTAGAGGGCTCCCCACATAGCATGGCTTGATGCCTATACAGATACTCAGAATGAACAGGATGGGCTCTAGGAAGCTGAAAGGGAATTCAGTATATAAGCCCAAGATCAGAAGAAAGTGTGAGAATCACAGGGGGAGAAGGAGCAAGGCCTAGAGGAGAGGCTGTTGAGCTTGAATGGGGGTAAGGCTCTGCAGGACTGCTTTGGGCTCCACATCAATGCTAAGCAGGCTGAATAGCATGGGAACACACCTACACCTCACCCACCTGTACAGCAGAGTTTACACACTGAAATCCTTTACACAGTTGTCAAGATCTTACATACCTTTACACTGGGGCGGCAGTAGAGAAAAGTAATCGAAAGCCAAGCACGGCAGACTATCATGGGGGTAGCCTTCTCTTTGGGGGCTACTTTCTGGGTGCCATATTTTGCTCCTGGAGATCAAATCACTACCCTTCATGAGAAGAGAGAACTCATGTAACTTTGGCAGCTTCAATCGAAATTCTACTGCTAAGGGTGGGCCCATTTTCTTCTGTAACCTGTGTGCGTGTGTTTAGTTAACTCTGGATTCTGGTATGAGAGCAGCAAGGTTCCAGTTTCATTAATGAGGTAGCTCTGTGGGGGGTTTCAAGGATGCAAGGTCTGATTAAATAGGATTTCCAGTTACTACAGCTGAAGAAATGGCAGCATTGTAAAGACTGACTAATTAAAATCTGGAGGAGGAAAATCTCACTTTCTATCAGATTTCATTTAAGAAAAAATGGTTGAGCTGGTCTCATTTAAAAGAGCCACCCACATCTTTACACTATGTAATGAAGCAGAATATTGATGGACTGTTACTGAAAATAACTTCAGCAGGGACCACATTTGTGGTTTTGTGAGTTGGTACCCAAATGCTTAACAAACTGAGCCCTAACATTGGGGGATGGGAGGAGGTCAAGAAAAGCTCAACTGTTTTTTGAAGATGCGTATTTTAAATCAAGTATATATATAATAATTTAGCAAAACCAGTTGCAATCCAACAGAAATCATTAAATACCTTGCTTGCTTTTTTCCCTTTAGAGCTGTATCTTATCAATCTCATGCACATCAGTGCTAATTTTCCACCTGGCTTTATCCTTCTCTTCTTTGTTTCAGTCATCCACTGGGAAAGACATTCATCCCTTGCTTGCTTATAAATGAATGCCCTCATTACCCTTGCCCATTGATGGAGATTTATTTACTCTGAATAAACAGATGATAATTAGACACTGTGATGGGTAGGGGCTGGGGCAAAGGAACATTGTTCCTGTCCTTTTCTCTAGTAACTAACATTTCATTCTTTTCAGGAAGAGACCTTTAGAGGTCTTTATTCCACCGATAAAACATCCAGTGACTAAAACCACTGGGTTCTGGGAACAAGCTCAGGACATCAAGAGGAGATAAAAATACTTGGAGACCTCCCTAAGAACCAATTCCAGTTACATTGTGCTTGAATTGAAGAGAAAGGGAGAGAGAGAAAGAGAGAGAGAGAGAGTGTGTGTGTGTGTGTGTGTGTGTGTGTGTGTGTGTGTGTGTTTGAAATAATAGAAAACACCAGATCATCCCAACCTCCCACGGGGCTGAGGAAGGAGATTTCCCAGCCTCTTCTAAAACTGACTTCAAAATAAAAGACATAGGGCTGGGATTCTGTAAGTTTTCATCTAATTTAAATCTAGGAGATATTTAGATTACTGTATTGAGAAAAACCCATTCTAACATCCCAGTAAATGCAACTTAGAAAGTTATTTCAATTACAGCACCCTTCACTTTACTTTGAGTTCTTATGGGTGCCACCTCCACCCCCACAGAGAATTTTGTCCTGAAGTGGGACAATTATAAAGAGGCCAGCAAATCTCCCAAGACAGAGAATGTTTCAACTTCTTAGTCCCGCTTGTCCCTGCCCCAAGTATCGGCCCTGTGAATCAGTTCTGGTAACTATCTTGCAAGAGCACTGGGCAGCTCAGGCTTCTTTTTGTGGTACTGAAGTATTACTTGTTCTAGGGAAGTTAAGAATATGATTCCATTTCTGGAGGTGGGTGGTGTTGGGGTGGGATGAGGACTCAGGCACATGAAACAAATGTTAGTTTGGCTTTAGTGACCCTTTCCCATGGAAAGGAGCAACACTAGTAAGAACAGAGATAGGGGAGGCTGGCTGCGATGGCTCATGCTTGTAATCCCAGCACTTTGGGAGGCCAAGGCAAGAGGATTGCTTGAGACCAAGAGTTCAAAACCAGCTCAGGCAACATAGTGAGACCCCCATCTCTACAAACAATTTAAAAATTAGCTTAAAAATTAGCCAGATGTGGTAGTATATGCCTATATCCCAGCTACTTGGGAGGCTGAGGTAGAAGGATTGCCTGAGGCTGGGAGGCCAAGGATGAGGTGAGCCATAGTCGTGCCACTGTACTCCAGCCTGAATGACAGAGTGAGACACTCTCTCCAAAAGAGAAAAAAAGAAAGAAAGAAAGAAAAAGAAACTGGGGAAGTGTCAATACCAGACATTACTTATATGTAGGCCCAGCAGGTCCTAGCCTCCATGGAGTTATTTAAAGGGTCCTCAAGACCTGCTATAAACAAAAATAATTTTAATGACGGAAAGTTCATCATTGGGCATATGTCTCCAGAAGACACTTTCTTTTTGTAATATTTTTATTTTTATTTACTTACTTATTTTGAGACAGGTTCTCCCTCTGTAACCCAGGCTAGGTGGTGCAGTGGCATGATCATAGCTCACTGCAGCCTTGAACTTCTGGGCTCAAGGGATTCTCTTGCCTTAGCCTTCAGAGTAGCTGGGACTACAGGCATGCACCAGCACACCTGTTTGATTTTTTTACTTTTTTATTTTTTATTTTTTGTAGAGATGGGCAGCGTCTTGCCATGTTGCCCAGGCTGGTCTGAAACTCCTAGCCTCAAGCAATCTTCCTGCCTCAGCCTCTCAAAGTGCTGGGATTACAGGTGTGAGCTACTGTGCCCAGCCAGACACTTTCTTTTTCATAGGAGATACTCTTTAAAAATATAAATGTTGTTTGAGAAGATGAAAGAAGAAATCATTCTCATTCACCAGTACCCATGGGGGTAGTGGGGTGAGAGGGGAAAGAATGGGAAATTGAAAGATGACACCCAATCCAGTAAGGGCAAGCAGACAGCCTGTGGTTCCTAGGAAGTCTCTTTCTCTGAGCTTGCTAAGTGCTGCCTGTCTCTAAGCTCTGGGGTTCCAGATGCTTCCCTGCAGGTCAAGGCAGGAAGACAGAGGGGCAAGCCAAGCTGTGGTAGCCATAGGGAGGAAGAAGGTGTTGGTCCTGTGGCAGGAAGAGGAAGCCAGGGGCCCTGCTAAGAGGCTGACTCACCCCACATCCACTCATTTTGGGGCTGGGTCTACCACTTGTTTATTTGAGAATGGCAGAAGGGGGGAAATGGGAGGACTGCCTGAGAGGTGCAGAAGAACCTGCTATGCAGAGGTCTGAATTGGCTGACCTCAGTCACAGAAAAAAAGCAGGTGCCCTTTTCTTCTTCCTACCCCTAACCGGATTTTATTTCAATTCTCTAATATCATGTGAATCTTGAGGAAAGGTTGAATATAGCCTGGGAGGACTGTTGCCTAATGCAGAGGAAAGACAGCACCAAGAGAGTTGTCAGTTGTCTCCTCCTGCTCATCTAGTGATTTCTATGCCTCCTCTGTAGAGAGAGCATAGCAAGGTGGTTAAGAGTCTGGGCTTCCAGGGTTCAAATCCTGGTCCTGCTGCCTTCTGGCTGCTGTCTTGGGCAAGTATATTTAATCTTTCTGTGCCTCAGTTGCCTTATCTGGACAAGTGGGCTAATAGTATCTACCCTCACAGCATTGTTGTGACAAATAAATGATGTACTACTTGGACAGTGCCTGGAAAAATGCCTGGCAAGTATTAGCCATTACAAAGGTCAACGTAATTATGCTGCTTTATAGGTAAGATGACTGATGGCAACTCGCCAGGCACAATCAGAGGCCGAGAAGGGGTTGGACCTCTTGTTGGTGCTGTGCCCACAATATTTCACAGCCTTGTTTTTAAAAGATAAGTTGTCTCCATGATCACTCCTCTTTTCTAAGCATAGCGTGGGATTTCAAATGATAAAATTTCAGCAGGCTGCCTTCTCAGGGGATGCCAAGAAACATGAGCTGTTAGACTTGGGTTACAGTAAATCACCTTCCTTTAAGTTCTGGTTCTGGTTGGCCAGACAGCTGTTCCATTTGCTAAAAATAGATATGTTTGCCTTTCTGTTTGACCTGTAAATGACAGGATCATCTATGGACAAGCTCTCCAAAGAGTGCCTCTGGCTTAATTAGTAAAAATAATTTTGGACTTGGGGTCCAGGGTCTTGGTCCTTGGATCTACTGGATCCATTACAAGCTTCTAAACCTCAACTGAGCATGGCTCATGGTGACAGGACAAGTGCCTGATGCTCTGGTATATAAAATAGGAAAAATAATGTCTCTGCTTTAGAGTTGAGGTTAGAAGTGTGAAGTGCTTTGGGGACCCACAGGAGAGATGCTAGATCAGTTCCAAGTAGTCTATCATGCAAAAGGATTGTCTTTCCATGACCAAAGGGAAAAGAGAAGTCGGAGTTTAGACAGGGTTTTAAAAGTCAGCTAAAGGCTCCCACATTGCACCTGTGGTTAACAACCACAGGCCGTGTTGCATTCTTTACCTGGCACTTTTCGGGATAATACAGGAGCATTTAAAAAATAGATAAGTCAATGAATGCACTTAGGGGGACATCGGCTGCCGCTGCCGTCAGCTGAAATGTTAGCTATCTACCGTCTTATAAAACGCCAGGAAAAACCTCTAAACCTTAGAGCCGGGGAATTTTTTAAAAAATCGGAACCAAATCTCCGTGGCTTCGTGCAGCGTGAGTTCTGCAGCTCGGGGGACGCTGCAGTGTGATGTGGTGGAGAGAGCATGCTTCACCGCTCCTGCCATCCTGACAGCGCCCTCCCTCCCGGCCTCAGCCTCCTGGTTCGCCAAACCGGAGGACTGAATTTATGGCTAGCTGGTCTCTGGGGCGCCTTCCAGCTCTGACATTCCCGCCTAGAATAGATCTTCCCGAAGGTTTCGCAGACAGACCAGAGGGGACCGAGCCGGGAAGGCGAGACAGGGACAGGCGAGAGACGCTGCTCCCAACTCGCAGAGGGAGAAAGCGTGTATCCCGGGCTGCCGGGGAGAGTGGAAAAGAAAGGACTGGTGACCGAGGGGTTTCTGCGCAGCTCCCGGGGAACCACGGCTGGATGGGGGTGGCGGGGAGACCGGGCGCCCATGGGAGCGGGGAAGCGGGGAGGCGGCGGCGGGAGCCATGCAGGGTCTGGGCCCCTGGGATGCGGGCAGAAGCGATGGGAGATCATGGGGAGGGCAGCCCGGCGGGAGGCGCGGACGAACAGGACCGCCCAGCCGCGAGAAGGCTCAGCCCAGGCAGGGGTCGGGGCGCGCTGGGCGCGTGTGGGGACGCACCTGGGTCTCCTCCTCGGAAAGGCCTGCCTCGGCCGCGATGAGGCACAGCGTGGTGGAATCCGGGTGCTTGTCGACCTTGTTGAAGTTGTACTCCAGGATTTCCACCTGGTCCTCTGTGGGGCCGCTCGCGGTCTCCGCCGACATGGTCCCTGCGCGCTGCGGGGCAGGGAGAAGCGGCGGCGGTGAGCGAGGCGTGGAGCGGGCGGGACGCAGCGAAGGAAGGCGGTCGCGGCGCCGCCGGGCAGCCCCAGCCCCAGGCCGCCCCCTCCAGCGGTGCCACGGCCGCGCAAGTCCCCGGTGGCTGCACGCTGAGCGGGGGCTTACGGCTGCCCCCCACCCGGGCCTCCCTCCCTGGACTGAGCGCTGTTGCGGGCTGACGGCAGAGCCTAGCGTCCTGCGCCTCCCGCGCCCCCCGGGACCCCTTGCAGGAACTGTATCCCTGCCTGCGACGGGGGCGAGATAGATGATTCCGCGGGCCCTCACCGACCTCCGGCTCTAAGGAAGGAGTGAAGGAAGCGCGGGGGTGATTTTGAGAAATCCCCTTAAAAACTTCCTCCCGAAAGGGGGACCTCCCCTGGGGACAGACTTGACAGATCGCGAGGGTGGGTTCGCCCGAGTCCGCGACTAGCCGGCCTCCGGCCTCCCCGGTAGGCGGCCTTCTGTCTCCGCAGTGGGTTGGCGCTTTGGGGCCCTCTCCAGGCAGGGCTGCACACCCCACCCTTCCTCCAAAAAAGTTCCCCGCAAGACAAGTTACTTCTCAAAGTTGGGGAGACGGAGGCGGTGCTTTTAATGTCTTTCCATTTTACAGAGATGGAGATAGGTCCGCAGAGAAGTGATTTAAGGCAGGGGATTGAGACACGGGAGAAACTTCCACCTGTGGGCTTGCATGTGCCACTCTGCCGCTCTGCAACCTCCTCCTTCAACCCTTCGCCCCCACTCTTTCTAAGTATGCTTTAGTGAGTCCCCGGCCTGCAGTCACCAGGCCACTATTCCACAATTTACGGCAAAGAGCCTGCCTCACTGTGTGCTCCCCGAGGGGAGGACTTGCAAGATGGAGCCACAATCCAACTGAGGAGGATCCAGTCAGCTGTCTTTTAAAATTTCAGACTTCCCTGTGATTGTATTAAAATTTACTATAAAGTCAGGAAAATGGGCCCATCACAAGCTTCAAGATCTCTTGTATCTCCTTACTTTAGAGCCAACCATTACTCTAGCAAATTTGAAGCAACATGACTTCCTGCTGGGTTCTCTCCATACCTACGAAGTCTCTGAATTGGGACCAAAAACTTAAAAATTTTAAAAATTGGCAGATGTAACCCCATCCACCTCCTCCTGCTAATTTAAGATGCATGAAGGTATAGAAAGTTGGAGTCTTCAAGATATCCTTGGCTGTGGGTTTGGCACACCTGTCAGGACTTGACTGTCGCTGACAGTAAAAGACAAGGGCAAGTGTGGGAATCACGTTGGTTTGTTGTTTTAACAAACAATTGCAAAATCATCCAGCACAATCCTGAGTAGGTTGTGATGTGGTTTGTGCCTGGGATGAGCCACACTTCACTGATGTCCCGGCAGAATGTACCCAATGCTGTTATAACCTTCTCCACTGTGACCTGCATCTTCTACTTCCTAAATAAGTGTCTTTACCTCTCCTTTGGGTCACTCTGAAGGGGCTTTCAGGCACAACGGGAAGTCATTCTACTGTGAGAGTCTGGCTCAAGTCACTTGCCAAGCCACCATGAAATCCCATGTTTTTAGGGGATTCTGTGCTTTCCCACCTAAAAATCATAGCACTGATTCCTGTCACGGTGCTAGGCAGGAGAGGGTCATACCAGGTCAGAAACACTTCTTCTTCTGTGTGCACCCATTGCCCGTACCTTTGACACACAACTTCAGAGCTGGGAAGAACCTTGGAAATTACCTCTTCCAGTCTTCTTCTGTAACAGCCCAGGAAAATGAGCATAGGAAGACTAACTTTCTGAATGTTGCCCAGCTGGTGACCTGTGCTCCGCTAGACCCTTCTCAGTGGGGCAGTCTGTCATTAGTCTGGTAGGAAAAATCAGGAGGGCAGTAGTCATAATGCAGGCAGGAGCTCATTGCCATTTTGAATGGGCATAGACTGTCCTAGTAGGACACCAATTCTAGCCAAAGTTGCCCACGGGAACCACCCACCACTGCTTGCTTCGCTTGAAAGAAAACAAGGGCTGGGAGACAGCTGCCTCTGATTTTACTTCTTGCCTTAGGAAGGTTCCAGCTAATTTTGTGTAACATAGTTGTGCCGGCTCTTCCATGAAAATTTTGTCTTTTTCTTTGTAGAATCCTCAGTCCTTCAGAAATATTAATTTCTAAACTGACTGTTCTGCTTATACTTTCCCCTCTTTTTTGGTTATTTAATTCCTGTTATAACACTCAAGGGCTGCTACTGGTCTTACATTTAATTTACTGCATTTTATTTTATGAGATTTCTGTGGCTTCTTGTTACAGGACTTTGTATGAGATTTTGTGGAGAGGTCCTGGTTAACTTTAAAGAACTCCTTGGGTTAGTTGGCTGAGAATCATTGGCTTTGGTTGGCTGCTGAGACTTGTGGGAGGACCATTTGAAAGCGCCTACTTCTCCAAGGTACACCAAGCAAACCTGATTTCTAGAAACGAAGGTGGAAGATCTCTATAGTCAAATGTATCTGTTATTTCTCTGCAAAGCTCTCAGCCCTTTGCTTGACAAATGTTTGCTGTTACTTCGTTTCTTCTCTCGCTCTGTCTCTCTTAAAGAAGATATAAATCAAACTGCCTGGGTAACCTTGGCCTTATAAAGCTTTTCAACTATTTCCAGTAAGAAAACAGTTGAGAAGTTTCTCTGAAGATAGTCTAAACAATTTCAGATTAAAAGAACTAAAAATACTTTAAAGCTACTCAGACGTTAATCTTAGCACAAGTTTTATTGTTGTGGCTATTCATATCTCATCAGACATTCAAGGAGTAATTTGTCCTGTGGTTATATTTTTCCTTTGTGGTTTTGGGAAGACATTGCATAAGCTTTTTCAAGATGTTACATGCAATCTGCTGGCTTTTTTCTAAATTAATTCCAATGCTTGGGGTAGACAGTTGGGTCAACCCAATGGTTCTACTTTTGTCCCCTAATCCTGTAATCATTTATTTTAAAAATATCTACTTTTATAAACTAGCTCACAAAAAGCACTATCAACTGGAAATCTTTGGTTACCTCTGTAGTAACCAAAAAATTTCTTTGGGCTCAAATTTGTCATCTTATCCTCCCTCTCCCAGTCATTCTGACCTCTTTGTAATAGCACTAATATCAAACCAAGAACAAAAGGTTATCAATGGCAGATTCTCCAAATAAACCCAGAGTCCTGTGGTGAGCTGGCCAAAAGGGAAACAAGCCAGTGGATTATTCTTTAGCCTATATTTCTTTTATGCTCACTGTGAACTTCCTGGAAGCAATGGGCTCTTGAAACATTTTGTATTTTCCTAAGTGAGGAAAATGATGTGTGGCCACTTCCGCAAGAGAAGTGGTGGGTCTTTGGAAGGGGATGGGGTCTTCCCCTTCGTCACTTATTCAGTTACTCTGAAGGTGGTAGAAGGGGGCATCGCCCAAGCTGTCAAGGCGCCCCAGAAATTGAAAAACAGAAGTTGAGTATTCATCTGCCTCTCCAGGCTAGCACAAGAGCTGGAAGGAGAGAGAGAGAGAGAGAGAGAATTGTTCTTTTAAGTATAAACTTGGAGATTGGTATCCTTAAGCTAACAGCAGTGCTTCTCAAGCCTGGATGGGCTTCAGAATTACCTGTGGAAATGTCTAAGCCCACCTCTTGAACCAGAACTGCATTTTAGAAACCTAGCACGAGAGAGACACAAAAAGTATTTCAGCTCTTAAAAAGATTTGCAATTTAATCATTAAAATCAATTCTAAATATTCTTATGCCGTATACCTGCTCTAATGCTGTATATCATCTTAACATTTAAGTAGATGGTAGGTTGAAGTCATTTTAAAGGAATAAGCTTTTAGAAGTAGATATTAGAATGACTAATTTAAACCTAATGCTATTAATCTTTTGTATATGTGGTCAGAAATGGGGAAAATGCCTTTAAAATTATAAATTAGCAAAAGAAAACAGATATTCTCCAATGCTTTCAAAAGTTCAGAAATGAAATAAAACCCTTTTAAAAACTTTTCAGAAAAAATGCATTCTTGTGATGAGATCAGAGTTTAAGAAAGCAAATCATTGAAAGGAAAACTCCTTCCAGTTCATCACACACATTTTAAGTAAATGACTTGGATGCCAAAAGTCACAATGGAAAAGATTTGGCAGTCTTAAGTATTACTGTTCTCCTCTAATTCCTTAAATTTCCCAATGAGAAAAATTCTAAAATTTAAGTTACTATTTATGTACAAAACATATTTAATAGAACTTAGAACCAAACATTACTCTGAATACATCCCAAATACATAGCATCATTGCTACCTTTACGGGAACAAGATCCCAAATCTAAATAGGAAAATGCATTTTAAAATGTTATATTGATTTCAACTTTATATATTTAAAAAAACTGGAGAGAAATACCACAAAATGTTAACAGTGGTTATATCTAGATTGTGCAACTATGGATTTGCACAATCTAAAACATTCTCTTCTTTATATTTTTCTGCTTTTTCAAATTTTCTATAATAAGCATTTATGACTTTGGGATTTGAAAAAAAATTTTTTTTCCCCCTATATAACAATGTCCTCAATCGGACCAGTTGTCCACCTTGCTCAAAGTTTTATTTGATTATTGGTATCAAATAATATTTTTGGAAAAGTATGAGAGTTGTTCTCCAAGACTATTTAGAAGATTAGGGAAGTAAATATTTTCATTTTTCATGCAAACATGATTAGGTATCAAATAGATATATGTAATGTACATGCAAGTTATGAAGCATAAATTAAATAAACACTGGTGAACCCCGCTCAATTTAAGCATTAAAGCATTACCAAGACTATGGAAGCTACCTGTTTTTTTCCCGGAGTCCCATCCCCTTGCTGACCTGCCCCCAGAAAAAAAACACAATTCTGAATTTTGTGTTAATCATTCCTTTGCTTTTCATTTTATTTCAATTTTTTAGAGGCAGGGTCTCGCTGTCACCCTCAGGTTGGAGTGCAGTGGTGTGATCATAGCTCACTGTAACTCCTGGGCTCGAGTGATCCTTAGGCCTCAGTCTCCTGAGCAGCTGGGATTACAGGTATGAGCCACTGCGTCCAGCCACTGCTTTTTAAATTAGTTCTATCACATATGTATGGATCCCTAAAAGAACTTTTTTTTTAGTTTTGCTCTTGAGTTGTTTAAAAATGATGTCATACCATATATAATTTTTCTGTAAATTGCTTTTTTCACTCAACAGTGTTTCCAGAACAAATCCACATTCTGCGTATAGAGAAGTTCGTTCATATTCAATGCTGTTTTTATTTTGTGAATATACAATTTATGTAGTAGATGTCTTTTCCTACTGGTGGATATCTAGGTTGTTTCCAGATTTTTTTCTGTTTGAACATTGCCTCTCTGAACACTCTTGTATATGCCTTCTGCAGCCTCTCTATGAGGATTTCTCTAGGGTATACAGTAGGGGTAGAACTCCTGGTTTATAGAGTGTGTGCTGTTTAGCTTTACAATATAACGTCAACTTGTATTTTAAAGTTGTTGAACAAAACTACACCCCTTACCACCAGTGTATAGCATTTCCTTTGCTCCAAATCCTCATCAACACTTGTACGGTCAAACCTAATTTTTGCCAAAGTTGTTGTGTGTTCTTTTTATCCATGAATAGTATCTAAGCCTTCTTGAAGCTATTTATGTTTTCAGCCTGCATGACATCTTGGGGCTAAAAGTTTCCACATGTTTACTGTTTACTGTGTAAAAATATTTCCTGTTGCAGCCCAAAAGGAGAGTTGAGTTATTTTGTGAGAGTTATGGACTCTGTTTCCAGGCTAGCCCAGTTATTTCCATTGGTCACCAAGAACAATACAAATATAATGTATGGAAAACTAATTACTAAGACCCTTTGTCTGTATCATGCTAAAAACGTTACCATTTTCTCCTCTACAGAACTCCTGGGAGTCAGGATTTGATTTTGTGCTTTAAAATATGTTAGCCTTATTAATTATTGGTCCCTCCCACAAAAGTAAATATCAAAGTCTCCAAATGAAAACCACAGAGATAGATTGAAAATGACCAATTAAAGAAGAAGAAATAAGGGAGAGATGGAAAGTATAAAAGAAAAATGAAAAGAAAGTGTAAAAGAAAGATGGACAGAAAGCTGTTAGGCTGTGGGTTTAAAATAGGATATCCATGTAAACTGAAATAATGCGCTTACATGTTTAAACAGCTAAGTGCCAGTTCAAAAGCAGTTTGATATTAGTTATTTTCATTTCTTTCACAATTCTCTCTTAGAAATCAGAATGGAGTTAGTTCTATTTTGAGGTTTTTTAAAAAGAGTTAAATTGTCTACAGCATCAGAGGAAGACTCAGAATTCTACCTTTTATTCTGGCTATAGCAGTAAAGGCTGTTGATTTCATGAGCATCAAGATTGATTCATTCGTCCAAATGTATTATTTTCTTTCTTTCTTTCTTTCTTTCTTCTTTTTTTTTTTTTTAGACGGAGTCTCATTCTGTTGCTCCGGCTGGAGTGCAGTGGTGTGATCTTGGCTCACTGCAACCTCCGCCCCCCGGGTTCAAGCGATTCTCCTACTTCAGCCTCCCCAGCTGAGATTACAAGTGCACACCACCACACCTTGCTAATTTTTGTATTTTTAGTAGAGATGGAGTTTTGCCATGTTGGCCAGGCTGGTCTGGAACTCCTAACCTCAAGTGATCTGCCCGCCTCCGCCTCCCAAAGTGCTGGGATTACAGGCATGAGCCACTGTGCCTGGCCCCCAAATATATCTTTCTTATGCTCTATTGATGTCAGAGGTTCTAAGATATCACCAAATCACCTATTTGAATATTTAAGCTCTAACTTGATCATCCTCTGTCCCTTTAGTTAAGAGTTGGGGCTGAAGGCAGCCTGTCTTTTCTTTCCCACTGTGGGATATAGGCCATTTTCAACCTTTTCCTGCTTCATTACTTGGCTACTGGGGTGACATTCTTTCAGACTTCCATGCATCTCTTTAAAAAGCCCTAACACCTACTTGACATTAGGCAATAAAGATAATGGGATCTCTCCTTTCAAGTTTTGTTCTGATTCCATTTTTCACAAGAGTAAATTGAAATGCAGATGATTTGGGCAGGTTGTTCCTTTGTTCTGTAAAGTCTGAGCTCTTAACTTTTGACCCCATGTAACAATTACAGGTACAAGCAGAACCACTTGCTATCAGGACAAGCAAGCATGCTGTTCTCCTAGAACACGCTGCACTTGACTTGATGAGGCAGGAAGACTGAGATGACAGCTATACTTGAATTCATGCCATTCCCACTGGTCACCAGTGACCACACCCTCCTAGGTACCTCTTATTCCTGCAAGTTTTGTCGAGTCAAGGTGTCATCAGGTTTGGTTTTTGATGGTATATATCTCAGTAATTAGTCCATCTCTTAAAAATACGAAGTGCTGCCTTTTGAAATTTTTCAGTTCTGCATATATGATGTGTGCCTTTTTTGGTTTTTAGACAGAGTCTCGCACTGTCCCACAGGCTGGTGTGCAGTGGCACAATCTCAGTTTGCTGCAACCTCCGCCTCCCAGATTCAAGCAATTCTCCTTCCTCAGACTCCTGATTAGTTAGGATTACAGGCACCTGCCACCACGCCCGACTAATTTTTTGTATTTTGAGTAGAAACGAGGTTTCACTATGTTGGCCAGGCTGGTGATGAACTCCTGACCTCATGATCCGCCAGCCTCGGCCTCCCAAAGTGCTGGGATTACAGGCGTGAGCCACCGCGCCCTGCCTGATGTGTGCCTTTGTAGGTGCTCTGTGTAGTTGCTAAACCAGCTTGCTATTTCCCAGGTCCTCCCTTCTAGGTTGGCTTTCCTCTTGCCTTAGGAACCACTCTGTTTTAGAAACATGGCAAAATTAAGAACAAAATGAAATTGGAATTAATGTAGAAAAAAGTTCAAATAATGAGAAGTCTTCTGTACTAATTATTTGAAATGTCACTTTGCTGAGCCTCCATTTCATTTATGTAAAGAAGGAATATAATAATGTCTACCTTTGCCTAGTTCACAGCTTTATGGTAAAGTTCTTATGATGTTATTATAGGGAACATGTCTCTCAACTGTAAAGTGCTTGCTTGGAAGATTCTTTTTTTTTTTTGAGATGGAGTCTCACACTATTGCCCAGGTTGGAGTGCAGAGGCGTGATCTCAGCTCACCAAAACTTCCACCTCCCAGGTTCAAGCAATTCTCCTGCCTCAGCCTCCCTAGTAGCTGGGATTACAGACGTGTGCTACCATGCCTGGCTAATTTTTTTTTTTTTTTTTTAGTAGAGACAGTGTTTTGCCATGTTGACCAGGCTGGTCTCAAATTCCTAGCCTCAAGTTATCCACCCACCTCAGCCTCCCAAACTGCTGGGATTACAGGCGTGAGCCACCATGCCCAGCCTGATATTACTATTAAATAGCTATGAGCTAGGCTTTCCGTAAAGTATCCCCTGGATGGCAAACCAGTAAGAAGAGCTTATAAACTTCACTTCTTCTGGGTTACAATCTCTTATCTTTCTGGAACGGTAAAGCACAATGGTTGAAATTAGACCCCTTAAAAAAAAATCCAATGCTGTATATTTGCTTTATCATAACATGTATCCCTACATGGCACTTCTCAAGAATGGCATGGCAGGGAGGGATGTGATATCTTAAGCATGTTTTCTCATTATGCACTTGTACACTGTGCATTGGTTTATACTTAGTTGTTAGCATTTTCACTAAAATAATTATTTCTCTGCTCCTTCCTCACCACCATTCCCCAGTTCCTCCTCTCCTCTCATCTATTAATGAGGAGGCATAAATAGGACAGAAGATGAGTAGTGAGGAAGGTGATAACAAGGAGGAACAAATATTTTATGAATTGGTGAGTCACTTTTTTGAGATTGTCATGGCCTATGAGAGTAATGACCAAATGGAAATTCTTTGTTTTGTTTTTTGGAGACAGGGTCTTGCTCTGTCACCCAGGCTGGAATGCAATGGCCCAATCATGGCTCACTGCAGCCTCAACTGCAGGGCTCAAGCGATCTTCTCACCTCAGCCTCCTGAGTAGGCGGGACTACACGTAAGCACCCCGACGCCCAGCTGATTTTCTTTATTTTTAGTAGAGATGGGATCTCGCTATGTTACCCAGGCTGGTCTCAAACTCCTGAGCTCAGCACAGTCCTCATGCCTTGGCCTCCCAAAGTGCTGGGATTATAGGCATGAGGCACCATGCCTGGCTGAAATTGTTTTGAAATAATTTGTTCATAAGCCTGTCTTCTCCAGTAAATTATATGCACTTCTATGGGGGATGTGTCATTTCTCATACATTTAAATCTCCCCAGTGTTCATTAGGAGAGTCTGGCACTTAATATGTGCTCATTGGATGGCTGTTGAACAGAACCTAAACAATGGCATTTGACATGACTTGATTTAGGACATAACTTTGGAAAAAACTGCTCTGTGTTCAACAAGGACTAGCCAAAATGTAAAATTGGAGAAAATAACACTCTAGCCTTTTGATATCATCCTCAGTGCCCCCAAACAACATAGAGTTGATTCCTATTGCTGAATCACCTACAGAAACCTCACCTCTGTTATTATAACAATAGTGACAACATATTTGTTGAATAATTACTGTGTGCCAGGTCCTGTCTAAGTGCCTTAGATGCATTCATTCACTTTATCATCAGAGGAGCAGCAACACTATGTGTTCTTATTGTTTTCATTTTATATATGTAGAAACTTATATAGATGGAAACTTATATACCCTTCCCAAGGAGATGGATATTACTTCCTCCAAATCACAAATCTAGTATGTGACAGAGCACAGATCCAACCCAGAAAATCTAACTTCTGCATCCATGCTCTTAATCACTACACCATCTTTCCTCTTTGCACCGAACAGTTCTGCAGACAGCAGATCCTTGATGGGAAGTTGTGGTGAAAGGGGCAGTAGAGCCAGGTGGGCTCGAGGAACAGAAGAAAGGCAGTGCCCGGTGTCTGCTCTGGCTCCCTGTGGGTTGGGGCCAGTCTGAGTACTTCCCTCCCTGTGGCGTATTTCTCAGTGTTGGTGACCAGACATGGCTCTGCCCTAGCTCAATGGATTAGCCAGTGATTTCAGTTAAAACCACCGGCACTACCAGCCAGGCTGGCTTTCCTTCCCCACACGCTCTTCTTCAATTGATGCAGACATCATTGAAAGATGGCATTATGTGAGTAATATAGAATACAAACAAGAAACGTTACAGCATCTGATAGAATAGAAAGGCTGGCTTCAACCAGACCAGCTGGAGCTCAGTGATGATTGCTGCCACTTAATCCCTAGAGGTACAGAGTTTTGTAGAATTAAGGATCATCCTGAAACTGTTGTTGAAACAAGTCTCTCAGTAGTCCAGACTTTCTGTAGCCGCTTACTGAAAACAGGAAGATATTATGAAAAGCCATTGGAGGAAAGGGTGTCTGTGAATGACTTCCAGCAGTGAATGAATCATTAGTCAACCCTGGACATAAAACTCTGCATATGCCCTGAGTTCTTTTCACTGATAGCCCAATTCGTGTTCTAATCTTGTATGTGGAAACCTGGGGAAACAGTGAAAGATGCTCATAAAACTTAGGCTTCTTCTTTGAATGTGCTATGAAATAAGTGGAGTATTTAGTCTACTTTCATAGAAATAAATGGGCAAACAGAAGAAAGCAATTCCATTTCCATAATTTCCATATAGATCTCCATTTTGTAAACAGGTTGCTTTTCTAAAGGTCTAGTCTAACTCTATGATGATTGTTATGAATTCAGAAAAAGTTTTCCCGAGAAAGAATATTGTAAGTGTGTAGATAAGATCCCAGGCTAACCCACTAAAGGTTTCATAGATACTAAACTGCTATATATCTGTAATGGAAAAAAGTATAAAATAATCCTATTGAAATATCCTGGTGAAATTTAATAAGTTATTTAAAAGAAAATACTTAAGAAAATTCAGTTTTAATTAAAATCTTGCTTAGGGAAATGAGGTTTTGGTGCAGATATTGAAGAGGGTTTCAAGGAACTGTTGAGGACTGTACAGATTTATAGCACAACTTCAACGTGTCCAGGTATCCAGAATTGTCATTGAAACATTGGTAGGTACTCAGTGAATATCTATTAAATGCATGTTGATTGAATTTCATCTTCCCTTCAAGAAGTATGACTTTCCTTTATCTTGACATAAAAGCATAAGGTTCTCTTTAGAAAACACTGATATTTTCCCCCAATATCGGAAATCTATTTGCCTCATTTCTTGGTGTTTTAGGACGTTAGACATTTTCAAAGAGATTTGATAATTCAATTTGTTTGACAAATCTAGCCTCTTCTCTATTATCCAGTTTGAAAAGCCCTGAGTGCATGGCTGTGCCCCATAGAAATCTCTAGGACAAACTGTTTTTTTTTCTCTGTTTATATTTGATCACAGGACTGACTCTGTTGGAGATGTAATGGATATTCACACTTACTAAGCATTAGCACAACCGTATTGACAATAACCAAAGCAGGCAGAGGCCCAAGCATAACTCAGTCTACCAGACAGATTCCTATCCTACATATTCAAGTTGCAATAAAAATGAAAGATTGGGAAATTTGAAGCTAAAATGTTTCCTCTTGCCTTTAACCACAGAGCTGCAACACTATGCATTTTTAAGAGTGAAAAACAGCCTCCTGTTCATCACTGTAGTTAAGTATATGTTTTCCTTTCCTCCAGCATCCTAACAGACCTGCATTTTGCTAATCCCTAATAGCAGCAGTGATACCTAGGTTCAACAGGAGCATTTTTACTATTCTCTACCTAAGTGAGAAATTTAACATTTTATGTATAATAAAGGGACCCGATATCCAGGTTTGCCTGGGACACTTCTGATGTACGCCTGTTGTACTGGTGTAATTATTAATAATTTCAAGATGGAGTCTCACTCTGTCATCCAGGCTGGAGTGCAGTGGTGCGATCTCGGCTCACTGCAACCTCCGCCTCCCAGTTTCAAGTGATTCTTGTGCCTCAGCCTCCTAAGTAACTGGGACTGCAGGCGCCCACCACCATACCCAGCTAATTTTTGTATTTTTAGTAGAGTCGGGGTTTTGCCATGTTGGCCAGACTGGTCTCGAACTCCTGACCTCAGGTGATCCAACCGCCTTGGCCTCCCAAAGTGCTGAGATTAACAGGAGTAAGCCACCACACGCGGCCAAACTGATTATATTTATATACTTGTGTCATAGATGAAATAAAGAAAGCGAACAAAGGAGAATGGAAATATCAGTGTGAGAAATAGGTTGTTTGAGAAATGATTAATGTTGTTAACTGTGAACAATAAAGAAAAAGCAGGAGTTACTTTGCATTTTCTTCTCCTCATCCTTCTACCCAAGGCACAAGAATGGAGATAGAAAGATTTTGGCCTTTCATTTCCCTACCCAACCACCAAGTGGTGCTGTCAGGCAGGAACAGTTTAGTTGCTGGCCAGAGCTCTTGGCATGTGGGAAGATAGAGAAGCAGAAATAATGTGTCTGTTCTTTTTTTAGTTTTTTTAGAGATGGGGCCTTGCCGTGTTGCCCAGGCTGGTCTTGAACTCCTGGCCTCAAGCGATCCTTCCAAGTCATTGAAATTGCCGGTCTGAGCCATTATGCCTGGCTCTGAAAGAAGATACTTTTGAGTATATAGCACTAGTTGCAGAGGGAATGTTTGTGTATCTGTAATGGATAAATTATATGTAGGAAATACACTTTAAATCCTCACTAATGAATGAAAATATTAAACTGGTATGGAGTCATAGGATGGGCACTGGGTGTGGAGTCAGGGCTGGATTTCATTTCTAACGCCTCCACTTCATACTCACATATCCTTGGCTGCTTTATTTAACTTATTTAAAACCTAGTTCTCTTCTCTGTAAAATGTGGCTAAGAATGTCCTTCCTTGCCTCTTTACTCCAGTTGTGATCCAGTGAGATTATGCTCATGAAACAACCTTGCACTTTTCTAGTGTAAAACGGCATATGCATTTCCCGAAGTGTTATACTTATTTCTTAATCTAGAAAAGTGAAGGTGTGGGCCAGATGACTTCTGAGGGAGTTTCTCTTCTCAAATTCTGACAGTCAGAGTGGCCTAGGTTTTAAGTGATCATGTTCTTCCTCATCAACAGTTTGCTGATGTCGCTGACTCAAGAAAGAAGAACACAGAGGCCTATTCTAGGCTCTGCTCCTGATTTGCTGAACACTTTGTGCCTAGTTTCTACTTCAAGGGACAACGGAGGAACCCATGAAACACTAGGAACCAAGGAGCTTCTTAGTATTCAACCTGGCTGTTGAGTTAATGTGATCATATAATTTGTCACCTAACCTAGAACACTGAAGAATAAAAGGAGTGCTATTAATAATTACACCAGGGGAGGCCGAGGCAGGTGGATCACCTGAGGTCAGGAGTTCAAGAGCAGCCTGGCCAACATGGCAAAACCCCATCTCTACTAAAAGTACAAAAATTAGCCAGATGAGGTGGTGGGGGCCTGTAGTCCCAGCTACTCAGGAGGCTGAGGCAGGAGAATTACTTGAACCCAGGAGGCAGAGATTGTAGTGAGCCAAGATCACACCACTGCACTCCAACCCGGGTGATAGAGCAGGACTCTGTCTCAAAATAATAATAATAATAATAATAATAATAATAATAATAATAATAACACCAGTACAACAGGCATACATCAGAAGAGTTCCAGGCAAACCTGGATATCGGGTCCCCTTATTATACATAAAATGTTAAATTTCTCACTTAGGTAGAGAATAGTAAAAATGCCCCGGTTGCACCTAGGTATCACTGTTGCTGTTAGGGATAAGCAAAATGCAGGTCTGTTAGGATGCTGGAGGAAAGAACAACATATACTTAACCACAGTGATGAACAGGAGGCTGTCTTTCACTCTTAAAAATGCATAGTGTTGCAGCTCTGTGGTTAAAGGCAAGAGGAAAATAGCTTCAAATTTCCTGATCTTTCATTTTTATTGCAACTTGAATATGTAGGATAGGAATCTGTCTGGTAGACTGAGTTATGCTTGGGCCTCTGCCTGCTTTGGTTATTGTCAATATGGTTGTGCTAATGCTTAGTAAGTGTGAATATCCATTACATCTCCAACAGAGTCAATCCTATGATCAAATATAAACAGAGAAACAAAAACGGCTTGTCCTAGAGATTTCCATGGGGCACAGCCACGCACTCAGGGCTTTTCAAACCAGGTAATAGAGAAGGGGTCAGATTTGTCAAACAAATTGTATTATCAAATCTCTTTGAAAATGTCTAATGTCCTAATACACCAAGAAATGAGGCAAATAGAATTCTGATATGGGAAAATGTCTCAATATTTTCTAAAGAGAACCTTTAAACCAGAAGAGAAATGTGTACTACTAAGCTTGGAAGCAAATAACAAAAGGATCAACTTTCTAAATAGTTTGCAGAGAGGAAAAATGGCTCAAATAAGTTTAAATGGCAGCTAATAAATATTCCTTTTATGTTTTGGAGTACGTTATTAATTTTTGATTGCCCATTTAACTTCTTTTGTTTAGGAGAACATTAATTAGATTAATTAGGTCAATACGCTGAAGGATAGAGAGATGTATTTGTTGCACGGAAGAGGAAGGGTGCTCAAAAGCTTAAATGATGATAGAAATCAGTTTGGTAGTTTAAAAAAATCTAATACAGGCCGGGCGTAGTGGCTCACGCCTGTAATCCCAGCACTTTGGGAGGCTGAGGCGAGCGGATTACTTGAGGTCAGGAGTTCGAGACCAGCCTGACCAACATGGTGAAACCCTGGCTGTACTAAAAATACAAAAATTAGCCAGGCATGATGGCAGGTGCCTGCAATCTCAGCTACTCGGGAGGCTGAGGTAGGAGAATCGCTTGAACCCGGGAGGCGGAGGTTGCAATGAGCCGAGATTGTGCCGTTGCACTCCAGCCTGGGTGAAAAAAAAAAAAAATCAAATACAGATAAGCTACACATACAATGGAGAATCAAGTAGATAAAATTGTCATATTGCTCTGTAGACATCCAATCACTTTAGAACATTAAAATGTTCTTTCTAAAAATGTTCTCATTCCTAATGCCTGACTCTGAAAAGAGCTGTTCATTTGTAATTCTGGGGATGTGACATCATGATTGGTTTTTTTGAAAATATATGCTGGGTTCTACGGTATTTTTGCCTGAGCTCAAATTACATAGTAAGATACATCAGAGACCTGTGTGGTGTTGCACATGCACCATGGGTAGATTTTCAGGCTGCCCAATCACATGCCTTTCCTTAGGCCATTAGACTGTCTACTGCAAGCAGACAGAACTTCCTCAGGTTAGTTGTGTATTTTGAAAAGTCCAGAAAAGAGTCTTTGACAGAATGGAATTATCTCTTTGCATAAATATATATTAATAGATTATTATTTTTATGGTCCAACTACCATTCTTATTTTATGACTATAATTAGGTCATGGATAAAATGACCCACAGCTGGTACCTTGCAGAGCTCCAAATTATGCCAAAGTCCAACCACCCATGCTGCTTGTTGCCATGCTACTCAGTGATATGGACCTGATTTTTTTCCCCAGTTGAGTGGTTTTTATGAGCAGGTGTTCAGCTAATAGGACAAACAGAGGGTGTGCAGCTTTAGCCAGCTCATTAACATCACGAAATAATTGAAAAGGACAGATACACCAGAATGTCCAGCTCAGGGGACAGCTTTGAACCTACAATAGATCACTTTTCTGAGCATCAGCCGTGATACTGCAGAAAGAGATTGAGTGAAGCTTCAGAAGACCCGGAGTCTCCTTCCAGCTCTATCACATAGTCTCCAGGTAACTTTGGACAACTGTCTTAATTGCTTTAGACGTCCATTTCATCATCTACTATTGAAGCTATTAACCTGCCCCACCTGTCACACAATGTTGTAGGATTCCATGAGATGGATTATGTTTATGAATGGCACTATAAATTATCAACACTACATAAATACAAGGTACCATTATTAAGGTTCTAATCTAGCTTTCCCAGTGACTCAGGATATAATTGGGCAACAAAATGACATCAGGTTTTGCAATCATTAAAATGGCAAAACATTTTAGAAACTTCACTCAACCTCATGACTAATAAGATTTCTTAGAACATTTCATTTGCTTTTTCTGGGTAATCAGTAACCAATATCGAGAAATAAAATGCTTCTAGAATTTATAAAGCCAAGTTTAAGAAAATGACATTTGGCTGGGTACAGTGGTTCATGCCTGTAATCCCAGCACTTTGGGAGGCTGAGGTGGGAGGATCACTTGAAGCCAGGAGTTCCAGACCAGCCTAGGCAACATGGAGAAACCCCGCCTCTACTAAAAATACAAAAATTAGCCAGGCATGGTGGCACACGCCTGTAATCCCAGCTGCTCTGGATGCTGAGGGACAAGAATCGCTTGAACCCGAGAAGTGGAGGTTGCAGTGAGCCGAGATGATGCCACTGTACTCCAGCCTGGGCGACAGAGCAAAACTTTGTCTTAAAAAAAAAAAAAGAAAAGAAAGAAAGAAAAGAAGATGACATTGAATGCAACCACCCACTGCTAAATTTGATTGGCTAAAAAATTATTATTATTATTACTTGAGATGGAGTCTCACCTGTCTATTTTTGTATTTTTAGTAGAGACAAGTTTTTGCCATGTTGGCCAGGCTGGTCTCGAACTCCTGAGCTCGGGTTGTCTGCCTGCCTCAGCCTCCCAAAGTGCTGGGATTACAGGTGTGAGCCACCGCACCCAGCCTGACTGGCTAAAAAAAATTTTTTTAATAAAAAAAAGAAAAGAAAATTATATTGAGAAGGGGAGATCACTGAAGATTGTGCTCTTTTAGTTCTAGAAAATTATTTGTCACTCAATCTCTTATTAAAGTACAAGGGAACATGGAGAAGCTTGTAAATGTTTGAAATACTAACTGGTTACATTATGCCTCCATTTATCATGGACAGTTCAATATTCCATGCTGTGTGAATAAAACATAAAACCTCTAGCCCACTCCTTTCCCTTTCTGTTTCCCATGAACCAGATCTAAAGGGTGGTAGAACAAACATATGAGAATATTCATTACAGCATCATTTCAGAGAATTGGAGGCAAGAAAGATGTCCATTACTGCAGGAGTCAATAAGTAAAAGATACATATAATTAACAGACTATTGATAATAATGCATTAGAAATATCATCAACAACATAGATACATCTTAAAATTATAGTGTTCAGTGAAAAGAAAGAGAGAAAAGAGGGAGAGTGGGAGAGCAGGAGAAATGGAATGAGATATAAAACCTAAGAGGGGGTCTTGTGTATGCCATGAATTAAGGACTATGTTAACTCATCATACGCCTAAAGACAAACAAAAAAAAGGGCTTTAAAAAATAAAAGATTGGTGGACTGCCCCATCTTTCAGAGCTTGTCTGTGTAATTAATTCTTTCCACTATATTTTTTGTATAATGAGGGGAGTACTTCATGGCTTACTTAATGTCCTTTATACTGCAGCCCCACCAATCCTTGGTCTTGGATTTTTTCCTCAAAAGCCAAGATGAAGAGCTGGTTATTGACCTCCACGACATCCTTCCATGCTTTTCAACACCATCATTCAGTGGCTTTATAGCCTTCTCTTGTCCAAGCTAAATAACATCAGGCCTTTCTGTGTTCCTTATAGATCTGATTTGAGTGTGTGTGTGTAGTCTCGCTCTGTCACCCAGACTGGAGTGCAGTGCTGTGATCTTGGCTCCCTGCAGCCTTCGCCTCCCGGGTTCAAGCGATTTTCCTGCCTCAGCCTCCTGAGTAGCTGGGATTACAGGCATGCACCAACATGCCCATCTAATTTTTGGATTTTTAGTAGAGACGGGGTTTCACCATGTTGGCCAGGCTGGTCTTGAACTCCTGACCTCAGGTGATCCGGCCACCTCATCCTCCCAAAGTGCTGGGATTACAGGCATGAGCCACTGCACCCAGCCCTAATTTTACTATTGTTTAGTCAACTATTGTTTAACTCTTGAGTTAGTTCCAAGGACTCTCCTCCCTTTTCAGCTGTGGAACCCTGAGCCAGGTACAGTGTATTAATGAAAGTAGGGGTGGCCTCCTGCTTTCTTCCCTCCTGCTTCATAAATCCCAGTTCCAGCCATCTCCAAAGATGCTAGTCTATGTCCCAGGAAGAGGGTAAGGCATATACAATAAAGTGATAGATACTTCCAACATTAGTTATTAAATTAAATATTAGCCACTGAATTAAAGTTTTTTGTAAAACAGATTTCACTCCTGGCACCAGCAAACTGAAAATCTGGAAAGGGTTGATGGAGATATCAGGGCTAAGGAAGATTGTTTATGTACATTTCCTTAGGGAGAAGCCACAAGGAAGAAGTGAAAATACATCAACAACGACTAGACTATCTAAGCAGATCTGTCATGACCTTAAGAATCCTAGGAAATTTTCCTCATGATCCTAGATGGAATGACTAGACCTAACAGCCAAAATGACTGCCACTGGTTTCCTGCCCAGTATACACTAAGAGATTAGAACTGATCAATGTCTGCCTCAGGTTTTTGTTTCATTTCTTTCTGAACATACAAGGACAGAGTAGATCATTTGTGAAAGGTCTGGCACTGTTTTCATGTTTGGTCACATTTTATCAAAACTACCAGAAGCAAATTACAAGAAATTATGTGGAGATGGGTAAAATTAACTTCTCTACTTTTTATTTATTTGTTTGTTTTAGAGATGGGGTCTTGCTATGTTGCCCAGACTGGAGTACAGTGGCATCGTGATCATAGCTCACTGCAGCCTCGAACTTCTGGGCTCAAGCAACCTTCCCGCCTCAGTCTCCCAAGTAGCTAAAACTACAAGTGTGTGCCACTATGTCTGGCTAACTAAAAAAAAAAAAAAAAAAAATGTAGAGATGAGGCTCAAACAATCCTCCCACCTCTGCCTTGCAAAGTGCTGGGATTATAGGCACAAACCACCATGCCCAGCCAACTTCTCTACATTTAAAAGAGCTTCTATTGCTACCCAAGCATGGCCAAATAAGAGGCTGAAGCACCTGACCTTGTGATGAACAATTCCTTGAATGCCCGACATTTATACTGAACTTCTTTTTGGTTTAGCCAACATAAATATACCAGTTCTCAGCCTTGGCGGGAGGGATACAATGCTTCCCACAGGAACCCTGAGTCACGGGGAGAGTAAATGACTTGGCACAGAGGTCAGAATGAGGACTGGGGCTGACTGGGTTCAAGAGCCAGCTCAGATACAAGCTCATCCTAAGATTCCAAGCAAGTCACTTTATGCTGTTGCATAAAGTAGATTGTACTCATAGGTAACCATATAGTTCATTGCTCAGGCCAGGTATTTTTTAGAGTAAAAGGAGGTGCTATTAATAATTCCACTGGGACAATGAATCTTTCAGGCTCACAGCTGCTTCAAAATTCCATTACAGCTGAGAAAATAGGACCCAGGTTCCTGCTCACCAGACCTGTCCTCTGCTCCCCTGGCAGGAGATAGCTCAGCCTGGAGTTCTGGGGAAGATTGTTCAGCATATTGTAAAAGATAGATGTAGGCACTTTCCCAGCAAATAAAAAGGACAGCCTAACCTGCATCTGCTGTATTGCACTGTGTGTTCAAAATCAACAGCACTGGAAGGCCAAAAACACATTAGGGCCCTTGCCCAGGAAGACAGCAGATACATGCACCTCCTGCACCAGGAGACATGAGCCTTCCATTTGCAGCATCAGGCTTGCTGCCCCTCTATCAAACCTGTTCCCCTGTTCCCCAAGTGAGTGGGCAGGATGGGTATGGTCCAGAACAGAGCAGGGGCTGCTTCAGGATCCCCAGGTGATGGTTTTTAAAAGGGCAGGTTACTGCTTTATAAACCACTCCAAGCCATAGGTCATCCTTCTACCAACAATGTCATCTTTCTATAGCACTGTCCACTGTCCCTATTCACTTGATGTTTTAAAAGTCAAAGGAAGCTGGCCAGGTGTGGTGGCTCATGCCTGTAATGGCAGCATTTTGGGAGGCCAAGGTGGACAGATCGTTTGAGCTCAGGAGTTCAAGACCAGCCTTGGCAACATGGTGAAACCCTGTCTCTATCAAAACTACAAAAAATTAGCCAGGTGTGGTGGTGTGTGTCTGTGGTCCCAACTACTCTAGAGGCTGAGGTGGGAGGATTGCTTGAGCCTGGGAGGTGGAGGGTGCAGTGAGCCGAGATCATGACACTGTACTCCAGCCTGGGTGACAGTGAGACTCTGTCTCAAAAACAACAAAAAGTCTAAGGAAGCCATCAACAACATCCAGAAATTAAGCTGAGTTAGGTCATAACACAGCCTTAAAAAATGTCCAAGTGACCTCTTGAACTAAGTCATTGTGTAATGAGAGAATTTGGAAATGAAGGTGAAGGAGAAATATTCAAAGAAAAGTCATCCAAGGAAGGAAGAAATTCTATCGGTCATACAAACCTGTTTTATCAGTCTTGCAAACTTGTCATTTGTTTTTCTTTTCTTTTTTTTTTTATTTTGGAGAAACTCTGAATAACAGGAAAAAGCACAGGAAAAAGCATTTGGCTTCCAAGTAGGGGCATTAAACTGGTGTTGACTGCTGCCCTGATGCCAACGACCTAATCCGTTCCCCAGAGCTAGAGTGCCAGGGCTCCCAGGGACTCAAGATGGAGCTCGCCTTCACCCTCTCCTCCCCACTGCTGCTGTCACAATGTGTCCTCTGGCTGCAGGGCTGCTCTGGGCTCCGACTGCCTGCAGACTGCCTCCCCAGAAGGGATGTTAATTACACACCCAGCCACGCCCCTCTTCAGAGACAGGACTGGCCACAGGCAGCTGCCACTTGTTTTCAAGAACTGCCACAATCTGGTTTTCAAACTGGGCAAAAGTGCCCGAATGGGCCCATGGCCACATGCACTGGGAGGGGGTGGGGGGGCTGCCCCAGCTGCACAACTGGGTCCCCAAAGAATGAGGCTCCTGGCCACTAATACTAGGCAAGCTACTCTGCTGGTGCCAGCCTTCTGCTCCTGAGAAAGAAGCAGGTAATATTCTAAAATCCTTATGAGCAGAATTTCTTGACATTTTGTCTCCATTATAGTAACCTTAAGGTGGCTCTCCATTTTTCAGAAAGACACAGGAAATGCAGCTACTTCTGATGAGTTCAACTGCATTGACAAAAAATGGACTAATTTAGAAAAAACAATCTAACAGGGCCCACAACCTATAGATGGTTGCCTACTGGATATGGTTTGAAAAATTATACTGAAAACCCACAATCTTGGTATATTTTTGCCCAGCAAGTTGCTTGGAATTCTGACCAATAAGGAGCACATATTTTGCATAAAACTTTGATTTGCCTGATTGCCCCACTTAAAAATTCAAATGGTAACTATATATAACATTTCAAGGAACTCCTAGATATGTTATCTTGCTGGAACCTACTTACTATACCAGGGAGTGACATAATTCATTAAACGATTATTGTCTATTAACATCCTAATTTTAATTAGTTTTCCAGAGATGGAGAAAACAAGCCCTGAGAGAATAAGACCTGGAAAGTGGCACATTTGGATTGAAGGGGAGGTAAAAACCAATTGGAAACATGGCCAGGGTGGAGCCGGTGAGGCTCTGTGGTCCCACAGACACCTCTGAACTGACACCTGCACCCATACAGGTGCTGAGGGAGAGCTAAGGAGCCACAGACAGGAAGGACAGAAGTCACAACGACAAACTTCACCCACTCATGCTTTTGCCTGGGCCTGACCTGGAAGTCCTAATTAAAAGACCCTGGACTGCCAGATAGACTCATCCCAGTGCTGGGAATGCACACATGCTATTTCTTGAAAGAACAACTTGGCTGTCCCCCAGAACAGAGTGCCCAGTGTGTACACTGGGATTCCTTTCAATAATTAGAATCCTCTACTTATGCCAGATATTAATCGGGAAAAAAAGGAAGCTTTAGTTTTGAAACATCCCTTCTCACTCATTAGCACAATCCTTTAATAATGCACCTTGGAGGCCCTGAGTAATTCTTCTAGTTTGCTGCCCCGCAGCATGTCTGGGTTCCAAGGATTCGCTTGGAAGGTGCTGGATACCCTATCCTCGCTGGAGCTGGGAGTGTCCAGAAGCAGCCTCTTTCTTTACCTTTGAGCCTCTGTTGCTGTGTTCCCTGAGCCTCCCAAGCCTCATCCTACTCTCGGACTTGGTGGTCAGGTGGCATGGGGCCATCCCCATCCTCTCTTTGGCCCTTACTGTCCTTATCTGTCAAGTGAATGGTTTTGATTTCACTGGTTTTCATCCCTAGCTGCACATTAGACTCACCTGGGGAACTTTAAAAACCAATCCCAGGGCTGCACACCTGGGGATTCTGATTTAATTGGTCCAGGGTGGGGCCTAGTCACTGATTTTTTTTTTTTTTTTTTTTTTTTTGAGACGGAGTCTTGCTCTGCCACCCAGGCAGGAGTGCAGTGGCACGATCTCCGCTCACTGCAACCTCTGCCTCCCAGATTCAAGCGATTTTCCTGCCTCAGCCTCCCAAGTAGCTGGGATTACAGGCGCTCACCACAATGCCCAGAATAATTTTTGTATTTTAGTAAAGATGAGGTTTCACCATGTTGGTCAAGCTGGTCTCGAACTCCTGACCTTAGGTGATCCACCCGCCTCAGCCTCTCAAAGTGCTGGGGTTACAGGCATGAGCCACCATGCCCTGCCCCAGTCACTGATTTTTTTTTTCTTTTTTAAGTTCTCCAGGCCCCACAACCACTAGGTTAGATTATCTCCAGGGACCCTCCCAGTTCTATAAAAGTCTATGATCCTTACTGTCTGGTCTCTGTGCTTTACTGAATTTATTTTTTTCTCCATAAATACTCATCTTTTATGTTCAGCATGTTACATAGGCTGATTTTTAGAAATGCTTTTACTTATTTAAAAATTATATTGTTGGTTAGGCACAGTGGCTCACACCTGTAATCCCAGCACTTTGGGAGGCCAAGGCAGGCAGATCGCTTGAGCTCAGGAGTTTGGGACTAGCCTGGGCAACATAGCAAAACCCCATCTCTACAGCTGGGTGTGGTGGCACAAGTCTGTGTTCCCAGCTACTTGGGAGGCTGAGGTGGGAGGATTGCTTGAGCCTGGGAGGCAGAGGCTGCAGTGAGCCGAGATCGTGCTACTGCACTCCAGCCTGGGTGACAGAGTGAGATCCTATCTCAAAAAAATAAAAATAAAAATAATGTGGTTAAAGTATTGTTTGTTGGGAGTAATCAGCTATAATACTGAATGTTTAAAGTACACAATTTGATAAATCTTCCCATATAAGAAATGGTCACAGTCACAATAATGAACATATCCATCACCCTCAAAAGTTTCCTGTGTACCTTGGGAGTCCCCCCAAACATTTTTTCTCCTGCCCCTACCTTCCCAAGTAACCATGGATCTTCTTTCTTTCTTTTTTTTTTTTTTCTTAAGACAGAATCTTGCTCTGTCGCCCAGGCTGGAGCGCAGTGGTACAATCTCAGCTCACTGCAACCTCCGCCTCCCGGGTTCAAGCAATTATCCTGTCTCAGCCTCCCGAGTAGCTGGGATTACAGGTGCCCACCACCAAGCCCGCCTAATTTTTGTATTTTTAGTAGAGACGGGGTTTCACTATATTGGCCAGGCTGGTCTCAAACTCCTGACCTCAAGTGATCCGCTCACCTCGGCCTCCCAAAGTGCTGGGATTACAGGCGTGGGCCACCGCACCCAGCCACTTTCTTTTTGCTATAGATTAGTTTGCATTTTCTATCATTTTATACAAATGTAATCACTCAACACATCCTATTTTGTGCATGGACATAACATCTAATTATCTCCCTGGACTTTAGATTTCAAGCTCTTTGAGAACAAGATCCATTTTTTCTTTTCTCTTCCTCTTGGCCTTCAACTTATCTTTTCTCAGATATAGCCCTTAATCATTATTTGCTTGATTGACATAAGACCTTCATGAACTTAAAACCAAGCTTCAGTTTGGTGGCTAAGAAGTGCCTGCCACGTTGAAGGTTTTTAACTCGCCACCACTTCTGGAGAGGTTCCTCAGTCGGCAGCTTCAGCCCAGTTAAAAAAAAATAATAATAAGCATATGAGCTTCATTTAGGTCCGTGGACTTCTAGGAGTCCAGAAAGTGAGAGTCAAGGTGTGGGTTGGGGTGTGGGGTGGAAGGGGAGGCTCAGGAAGCGAGGAATGAATACCTGAGAAAGGTCCTTGGCTTTCACCAGATTCTTGATACAAAGGGATAGACTATGGAATTAATGCCCTGCTCTATTCCTATCTGCTTTTCATGAATCTGTTGTTTAATTATAAATCCTTTACTATCTGCTCCTCCCTTCTCCTCCCTTCCCACCTCCCCAGCACCTTCGTTTTGTTCTCTGCCTGCCCTGGTTATACTTAACCTTACTTAACTAAACACACTACAGGGCCCTGTCCAGTAGCAGTGCCACTTCATGGGAACTGTTTGCATTCCTTTTCTCTTTAAGAGCTTCTTATCTGAACTATGTGATAGATTGTACCTTTTTATTCAATGATTCTTATTCCACTTTACTTAACAGTTTACCCTGAATACTTGGATGCCACTCACATATCACAAACCTATACTTTCTCTAAACCCCAGAGCCTGGGATTCCTTTTCATCTCAAAAAAAAAAAATCACTGTTTTTGTTGTTATAAATAAGTATTATGAGAACCAGAAGTAACAATAAACTGCAAATTCAAAATCAAGCCACTTCTCCATCCAGAGACAGCTCCCTCACTTCCCCTTGTCAAACACAAAACATATTTTAAAACGATATTATGTCTGATTTTAGATAAAAGTCTGGGATGTAGAATAACAATAATCTGCTTCTAAATGAGAAAATCATAGGCATCTGACAAATGCTGGTTTCAAAGTTATCTTTCCAAAATAGAAGCGAGTAAGAAAAACATCTCACCTGCTTGGCCAAAAGACCAACACCAACTCCCCTTCCTCCAAATTCCCCTCGACCCCATGCAGTTTTGTTTGTAAGGGACTGATGTCTTACACCCAGCAGCATTTCCTAGCTTCTGCTTGGGGGTAAGCTTGTCATTCCTATTCTCCCTTTCACCTCTACCGTTTTCCAACAGATGAGCAAATACGGTAACGATAGCATTTTGGTCTAGTTCCTGCACAAACTCATTCCTCTGCATAAAAGGCAGACCTTTGAAAGGTACTTACGTGGAAGAGGCAAAGGCAAGCGCAAGCCCTGGGTTTGGAAGCTGTGTTTGCTGATGCCAGCCTGCTTAAATAGCTGGGCTGGCTGACGCAGGCTGCTGATAGCACGTTTATTTACGCCTATGAGCACACACTCGAGCAAGGACCTGAAAAACCTGCAGCGTGGGCAGGAGGTAAACCACTGAAAGTATGCCGAGGTTACGTCTCTCCTGGTTATTCAGGTTTGATGTTCAGGCTGGGACTTCTGAGAGTCTCATGGAACTTTCTCGTCACTATCTTCTCGTCCCTGACCTCTCTCCTAGCCAAGCAAGCTTCTTCACCAAGATAGGATAAGAGAGATGTGGCTGAGAGAAGACGGGGAAGAGAAAAGGGACCCTGAGTCTTCTCATCCACTTCCTTACTTTGAGCGAGTTTCCAGTTAGATGTTGCCTCATTTCAAAGCGTAGATCTGGTGCGGTTGATTTCACAGCTCTGAGAGCTGGATGCCAAGCTAAGAGCCTGGACAATTGCCCAATTAATGAAAGGTTGTTTTCTTTTGGGCACAGAATGTACACATAAAGAACAGTTAAAAGGGAGAGATTCGGGCTAGGATGATACAGTTTTAGGTCTCCCTCAAAAACGATTCTCATTTATTTCCCCTGCATCTGTACTTTCCTCTTACCATCCCCTCCCCTTCGTTAATGAAATTCCTGTCTAAGAGGTGAAAGATTCCCCATGGGCTTGCGAATAAAAAGCCAGTGTGTGAGCAAGTCTGTGGGAAGATGCATGCAGAGTGTGACAGAGAGTTTAGGGGCTCGTGTGACAATCCGTGGAAATGTTTCTAAAGGCGAGGGTATGTGTGTGGGTGTGAGGACCCGGCTGTTGGATGTTTACGTATTTTATTAGCTAGATACGGGAGCTAATACTCAATTGCAGTGCACTAAACATTATTAGGTGGGTATGATTTTGAGGGAATGAGGGAAGGGAGACAAGGTCTGGTGAGATCATCTGTGGGATTATCTGTGTGTATTTGCTGGTTTGTAGCACAAACCGGTAAGTGCCATCCAGAGAGCCACACCCTATATTATTCACTTCAGCAGAGAAAGAGAAAGCCCACTTGAGTCTCTTGGGAACAGTAGCCATATGTGAAAGAAGAGCAGCGCTCATTCAGAATACCTCTTTCCCTCTTGGAAAAGGGGGTGACGGTTATAAAACATGTGTGGGAAAGAGTAGAGACAGGGGGCCCAGGTTAACCCAACCTTGGTTACCAGAGGAATTCTTTTGTTTCCTGCCTAATTCAATGCCTAACTTCTGACCATTCTATGGCCAAATCTGGATTCTTGCTGCCACGATTTTTTGAATGGGCAGGGTCTATGTCTTGTTTATCATTTGATACCCACAGCATTATTATTATTATTGTTGTTGCACAAATTATTACTATGACAGCACAAATTATTATGATGATGACAATGGTGATGATCCATAATCTAGTAAGACTGACTGTGTGTCAGGCTCCATGTAAGGACTGTACAGAGAGTTTGTCTGCTTATTTAATATGTAATACAATAACCCTATGAGGTTGTATTGTTTTTTGTTTTTCACTCAGGCTGGAGTGCAGTGACACGATCTTGGCTCACTGCAGCCTTGACCTCCCGGGCTGAGGTGATTCTCCCACCTCAGCCTCCCAAGTAGCTGGGACCACAGGCACACACCACCAGAAGTGGCTAATTTTTTGTAAAGACAGTATTACACCATGTTGCCCAGGCTGGTCTCAAACTCCTGGGCTCAAGGGATCCTCCTGCCTCAGCCTCCCAAAGTGCTGGGATTACAGCCGTGAGCCACCATGCCCGGCTGAGTTAGTTTTTTTTATTATCGTTATTTTACAGAAGAGGAAACTGATACTCAGAAAGACTAAATAACTTTCCCAAGGTCACAGTGAATGGTGGGGGTGGAATTTGAATCCAGTTCTATCTGATTCCAGAGTCAGGGTTTCACTCAGGACTGGCTTGAACCAATACTTAGAAAGTTGCCTAAGAGTGTTTTCACCTATCCTTAATTGTGTTTTTGTTTATCATCTGTCTTCCAGAATGTGATTTCCATGACAACAATGACCTTTCTGCATTGTTTACTCCTGTGATCCAGAACAGTGCCTGGCACTTGGTAGGTGCTCAATAAATATGTGCCATCTGTTCAGTTTCTAAATTCCCGTGGAGGCAGTACAGCCCAACAGATAGAGGTCCTGGCATCAACAGAGTCTCATCCTGGTTCAGATGAGACATTTCTTTTTCTCTTGCATAATGTGTCAACTTCAAGCTGTTTCTCTTTATCCGGTGTATCATGGAGATTAAAGAAAAAGTGATTGAAACCATGAAGCAGTTTTTACATCACTTGACTCTGCAGGTAGCAGGTATATGGTTCCGGTTGATTGGGGGTGCAGTGATGAAACCAAGACCTCTAGCTTTTTCCATCTTTCATTTTGTAGCTCTCAGTGTGACAGCATTGTCTCTCCTCATGGTGGTAAGATGGCTACAGTAGCTCCATTCATCATATCTTTAAACAAAATATCCAAAGACAGGTAAAAAGTGTCCCAGGCTTTCTTTCTCCTAAGTGTCTTTCCTTGTTAGAGAGGAAAACCTTTTCAGAAATCACTAGGAGTCTTTCACTTATGTCTCCTTGCTGAGCACTGGGTTGTGTCAGCCAACACATTGGCTAAATCCATCATTTTCAAAGAGGAAAGGGATCAGGCTGATCATGGTTCCTCTCCTGGGTCTAAGGGAAGAATCCACCTTCTCCAGACAAATTGCTCTGATCATCTGAACAAAATCAAGATTCATTTATTAGTGAAGAAGCAGAAATGTGCTACCCACAGTTTTGCCAATCTAAGAGATCCTTTAAAATACAATAACCTAAACTTCTTTCATGCTTGGGCACCAGTCCAGCCATGGCAATTGGGTTTTACTATATCAGTTCTCTCTTTCTATGCTTTTTTTTTTTTTTTTCCCAGTGAGATAAGTTTGCTTTGGCTCTCAGTAAAATTAAGAGTATTTCAACAGCCTGCAAATAAGGGAGGTAGCTGGCCACTAATTTTTTTCCTGCAGGTTTAGATCCTAGGTCTTTATATCACCACCGATTTCCAGGGACTATCACACAATCTGTCAGCCTCTTGTCTTCTCCTGTGCCAGATGGGATTGGATGATGCTGTTGATTTCTTAGAGAAGTTGGGTCCAATAACACAACTAATTATAAAAACATGACTCATTTTCCTGCTCCTCCTGTTGTCTATTATATTTCAGTGGAATTCCAGGATCCCACATGTTTGCCTCTGCCTCTGCCTGAGAGCTCCAGCTAGTGCCTGGGTTATGTAAACTAGAGACATATGGCTGAGATGGTAATTCTCACATAGTTCTTTTTCCCCTGGTGATTAACAAACTTCAAATTACCACCCACAGTAAGTGTTATTTTTCTTCTATTTGCTGTTCTAAACCTTTTCCTTGCCACAGGTTTTGGGAACTCTTTTCTTCAATGGCTCAAATCAAGAGAATTAGGAGGAAGAATGGGGTCGTGG
Source organism: Homo sapiens (assembly GCF_000001405.40). Classification (NCBI taxonomy): domain Eukaryota; kingdom Metazoa; phylum Chordata; class Mammalia; order Primates; family Hominidae; genus Homo; species Homo sapiens. Next base: position 56,684,796 of record NC_000004.12, read on the forward strand.
GATGTTCCTCCGCAAGAGAGGAACAATGCCTGGGGGAGGAAAGGGCTTCAGTAAGTGTTTACTGTGACTGGACAAATGGTGGAAAGGAAAGAGTGTGGGCTTCTCAATCCTGCAGACTTGCATGAGGTCCCACTACTTCTGCTTACCACCAATTTGATCAAGGGTAACTTATATAACTTCTCTCTGTTTCCTCATCTGTAATATGGGACTGATGAGAATTATCTCACAAGTTCGTTGTAAGGACTAAAGATATGTAAAGCACTTACATAATACCCAGAACATAGTAGGCGCTCCATAAATGGGTAGCTACTGCTAATAGTTACAAGAAGAAGCTGGATTTTCCTATCCTTGGTCATCTTTGTGGAACCCACACAAAATATGAATAGGGAGCATGCGGACCTGAGAAATTATGCAAAGAGAGAAAAGCCATTTCTTGGGGAACACAAAACTACCAAGGACATTTCAGTAAATTCACAGTGAAGATTCTAAGCCTCCCAAGGGCCCAAATCTGACCTATACAGAAACAAATGAGGAAGAGGGTAGCCAGAGGATAGAGGCGAGCTTGCTGAGAATTCTGCCCCCAAGGTGTGAACTTGCAAGCAGAGAGGCCGAGAATTTTGCAGATGCTGTGGCAGTTCGAACTCCCAGAGAGCCCTTCCTGGCCCAACCTGGCTGGCACGTAGAACAGTGTGGGAAGCAGAAGAGGATCAGCCAATGGCAGAGAACCTGGACAAAGAAAAGGATGCCAACCGACTGAGGATAGAGACATTTCCCTTGGCTCCTCCTGGCAAAGGACTTCTCAGGTTTCCTGCTGAGAAGGGAGTGGAAGCTATGACATAATCACACTCTGTATTCTTTGTAGTTTGTTGTAGGCATGGTAATTATTAAGTCATCCTTTCGGTTCACTGTATATACTAGATTCTTTTTTTGAGACAGAGACTCGCTCTGTCACCCAGGCTGGAGTGCAGTGGTGCGATCTGGGCTCACTGCAACCTCCACCAGCATGTCCAGCTAAAATAGTTTTCTATATATATATACATATATATATACACACACACTCACACACACATATATGTTATATATAATGTATTATATATAATGTATTATATTGTATTATATATAATGTATTATAATGTATTATATATAATGTATTATATATTATATGATGTATTATATATTATATAATATATTATTTGTATTATATATTATATAATATATTATTTGTATTATATATTATATCAATATATTATATATTACTATATATTAATGTTAATATATATTAATATTAATATATTAATATATAATATAATAATATAATATATAATATATAATATAATATATAACATATAATATAATATATAATATAATATATATATAGTATTTTTAATGGGAACAAGGTTTCATTATGTTGGTCAGGCTGGCCTTGAACCCCTGGCCTTAAATGATCCGCCCCCCTTGGCCTCCCAAAGTGCTGGGATTACAGGCATGAGCCACTGCACCTGGCCTACTGTATATACTAGATTCTAGGTGTGGATTCTACCATCTTTCTAATTCATTTGTGGTCCTATGGAGTGTTAGGTGAGTTGATGACCGCGAGTTAGATGTTGCATCCCATCAACAGCGTCTGTGCCTGGGTAGGGTTGTCACATCTGGTGTGGCCCCTGTTGCGTTTGTTCTTCTACTTAAGAAACACAGTTTCTTCTCATTCCATTTAGATTCATCCAGGGTTTAATGAATGAGGAGGCCTCAAGTATGGTTTTCCTTCCTGATCCCCTTCCTGTGATTGGCTAGAGAAGGGGATGGCCCTTGGCAATTGTGAGGCGGGGGGCGGGCAGGCATCACTCATCTGTGGAAGGAGTTGGGGAGGAGGCCTCTTTCTTCACTCATGAATGAATGCTTCACTTCACTGCTGTCAGGTGGGGCTGCCTGAGAAGCAGTGTGGTGACATTCTCAGGAGGGGTGGGGGTGGTGCCTCACCTAAGAGGTGGCCTCTTCCATGACTGATAGAAAGATGTTGCAGACTGGGGCCACCTGGCCTGATTGTAATCCCCTAACACATAGGGTGAGGACAGAGTCCTCACACCCACTACTGAAATTTCAGGGATGGGCCCTGTGCTAGTAGAAAGCAGGGGGTGGGGAGCTGGGGACAAGAAAAACAAAATCATTTGGTTAAAAAGCTTGCTTGACTGGGCACCAAACCCAGGCACTCTGGTTTCACAGTCCATGGTCTAATCACTGCACTGCATGGCCTTTGTAGCTACTTCTGACAGTGTCACAGGAGCCCTAGGTAGGAAGGAAGAGTAGGTACCACCTCCTCTGCACGGGGTGCCCCCAACCCCAAGTACTGTTTATTTAAGACACTGACTTTTGTGAATGATTTTACTTGGATACAGAGAGGGGAAGGAAAGGAGGACTGAGCTAACAAAAATATAGTTTGAAGACAAAACAAAAGAAAACAAAAACCTGTGTGCCTGACATGACGCAGTGGAGAAAGAAAGGGCTGAAAATTATTTGGGCTAACATCATGGAGAAGCTGAAGGAAGAGAAAGAGTTTTGATTCAAGTCTAGACTCTTTTCTTCCTCCCTCCTCTACTGCAGAGCACCAAGGAAGACTCACAAGGCTCATGGGTGACCTAGAAAATCTCACCTCTCCTCTCCATGTCTCAGGCCCTCATCTGTATAAGGAAAAAGTTGAGCCAGTTGATGAACCAGAGGTGATGTCTCTGAGATCCATTCGGTTTTAATCTCTTGTCCTCCAAGGGGAGAGGGTCAGGGGCAGGTGAATGTGGAGGAGGGCCTCGGAGCAGCCACATGAGCAGGACAGCTGCTCCCATTCAGGGCTGAGAAAGCCTAATGCATGAGTGCAGCTTTCCCAACTGTTTGTTCCAACATTGAAACACTACTTCCACCCCCATGCCTCCCTCCCAGTTCTCTCCCCAACCACCTGGCCTTCCCCAGACCTTTTAGGGTCCAGGAACTAGAGGGCAATACCTGCCACAGTGTGTGTGTGGGCAACCAGGATCTGCTCCAGCCACAACCCTCTCAACAGTGTTTGCTCAGTGCCTGCCTTTTCACTGCAGACCAGGGAGACATCCTGAAAGAGAGAACTGGAGTGGGCTAGTAAAGAAGGAAGGAAGGAAGGAAGGGAGGGAGGGAGGTGGATAGAGAGGGAGGGAGGTGGAGAGGAAGGAAGGAAGGAAAGAAGGAAGGAGGGAGGGAGGGAGGGAAGGAGGGAGGGGGAAGAGGAAAGAAGGAAGAAAGGAAGGAAGGAGGGAAGGAAGGAAGGGAGGGAGGATGAGGAGAAGAAGGAAGGAAGGAAGGAAAAAAGGAGGGAGGGAGGAAGGAAGGGAAGGAGGGAGGGGGAAGAGGAAGGAAGGGAGGGAGGGAGAGAGGGAGGGAGGTGGAGAGGAAAGAAGGAAGGAAGGAGGGAGGGAGGGAGAGAAGGAGGGAGGAAGGGAAGGAGAGAGGGGGAAGAGGAAGGAAGGAAGAAAGGAAGGAAGGAGGGAAGGAAGGAAGGAAGGAGGGAAGGGGAAGGGAGGGAAGAAGGGAGAGAGGGAGGGAGGGAAGGAGGGAGAGAGGGAAGGAGAGAAGGAACTATAAATCATCCTTGAAAAATGTCTAAAGATTTTGATTTCTGCTTTTGGCAAAAATATGCTGTCATCAGCTTTTGTTAACCAATTCAGTGAAATTCTTCTCTATGTATTTCAGGAAAGCCCTGCCTCCTTCGTGGCCCATCTCTGAGGTTTCTGCAACCAGGCAAGCCCTGGCAGTTCTGTGGGTGATAATTTAGGGTCCCTTGTAGAATGTCTTCTGATGTGGCACATTATATAAATGGTTGTGCACACGCTTGCATCTGGCTTTCACCTCTCTAGAGAGTCATCTCCCAAACTAGTCTTTCTAGTGGGCTCTGAATAACCTGCAAGAGGGTCTTGGGTTGATCCTGTGAGGCTGACACCCCTGACTTTGTTCTCTGACAGAGGGAAATGGCCCCATCTGTGCCAGAGCCAAATCTCAGACTGAAGACAACTTAGTATGGTGTCAGGGTTCAGAGGAAAAGGCTTTGGGGACAAGCTGGACCTGGTTCAAACCTAGGGTGATCAACTTTCTTAGTTGTCCCGTAACTGTCCTCACTTTGGCACTGCAAATCCTAAATCCCAGAAAATCCCTAAGTCCTGGGTAAACCCAAATGCTTGGTCACCCTATTCTAGCTCTTTCAGGCCTTAGCCAGTCATTTCCCTTCTTTGAGCCTTAGTTTCCTCATATGTGAAATGAGGGGAATGATAACAACATCAAATGGTATTTGAAGACTAGGGTCAATATGCATTCAAAAATTGTTCATCAAGAAAGTTAGAAGTTTAGGTGACAAAATGGTCTTTCTGTTTCTGTTCTGAGAAGGAGTAGATGTCTCCTCTCCCCAGTGTGTTTTGACTGTTTCAAGTGGAGGTGTGAGGACAGCACTTGAGGATTCTGGAACACTCTTCAGGAAGCCTTGCAGGCCCTGGCAATTGATGAGCATGAATTAAGGGCTCTCCCAGCTCTATGATTATGTGGTTAAGTGTAAATGGCAGAAGCAGCTGCCTGCTTGCAGAAGTCACTTTTAGCAGCTACCACTTGCAAATCACAAATAAGAGATTATGAAATCTTTTCTTTTAGGCTTCTTTGTTGCCCCTTGGCTATTGTCTGCAGAGATTCTTAACTAATAGCCATGTTCAGAATGACTGTTTGCCAGAAACCACTGTTTCATGGCTGAAAAATGAAAAGAAGTTAATGTTTTCTAAGGACTCCATTGCAAGGCAGTTGCAGGGTGAGAGTGGATTTCACAGGCATCTTAATTCCTGGCAGTAATGGCTGAGGGCTGTCTTGGAGACCAGAAGTGGCAGGCAAGAACTCCCTTAACAAAAGAGAGGCAGGGGGATTATTTATTCAAATGCCCTGATAGAAGAAGGCCTAATCAAAGACACCATAGAAAACAAGCCACAGGCAGATAGGGAATATTTGGAACATGAGAGTGTCAAAAGGATCCAGGCTTTTGCTAAAGGAAAGGAAATGACTAGGGGAAATGGCCTTTTTATAATTGAGCGGAGCTATGTCAGAGCTATGCGCCAAGGGTTGGGGATTATTCAAAGTGCAAACACCTTTATTATCCTGGTCCTCCCACCCCCATCACAAATGAAGTAAGAATCATTAGAATCAGTGCCAGATTCTGACTGAAAATAGAGGTCTTCAGAAGTTGGCAAATTCAACATGCAAGACTGGCACAAGTGATAATGAACTTGTTCTTGGCCACGGCAGTTGATGACACAATTTTGCATAATTAGAACACCTTTGGAAGTAGGGCGTAAAAAAGGACCCTCCAATCTGGAATTGACTGATTTACATAAACATTAGTGTGATTAGTGGTTTCAACTCTTAAGGTACTTCTTGTCATTCACATTCTAATTGATAATAAATAGGGCAGAATGCCAAGGGGAGCAACACTCACGGTGCTTAGTGCCATAGAAAATTGCCCACGAGTCCGTGGGGAAGTCTGCAAAGTAGGTGTTTCTAGGTTACCAAAGTCATCTTATTTTCTTGTGCTTTCCATCCTTTCCTAGAGAAAATTAAATTCTAGAACAGTTAATTTTAAAGTCAAGAAATTTCATTATCAGAATAATGCATTAAGGTGTGTCTGCTATCTATTGCTGCCTAATAAATCACCCAAAAACATAGTGACTTAACAACAGTCATTTTTAACCTCTCCCAGTTTCTGTGGGTCAGGCATTCAGAGAGGGCTCAGTGGGGAGATTCTGGAGTCCCCCAAGTGGTTGTCAGAAGAAAGGCTGGAGCCAGAACAGCAGAGGAGCTGAAGAAGCTGCAGTCTTGCTAGGCACCTCTGTCTTCGGAGGTGGTCTCTCCATGTGGTCTCTCTATAAGAGCTAGTTTGAGCCTCTTCACTATATGGCAGCCTCAGAGTAGTGAAATGCTCCAGTGCAAGTATTTCAGCTCCCAACACAGCAGCTGCATCAACTTTCGTGACCTGGCCTCAGAAGTTTCTGTTGGTTACAAGGGAGTTACAAGCCCACTTAGATTCAAGAGAAGGGGAATTTGATATGACTTCTTAATAGAGAATGGTGATATTCTAGAGGGGCAATGTGGGGTAAGAGATATCACTGTGGCCATCTCTTGAAAATACAATATGCCATCAGGTGTAAATAATTGATGATCATAATATTTTAAGGAAATATTTATATTTTAAGAAAATAATATATTAACCCAAGCAAATCTTTAAACTAGTAGAATAGGTATTGAAGAACCAATCAACTGCCTTCAATCCCTTCTTCTCATTACCTATTTTTTTTTTTTTTTTTGAGATAGAGTTTTGCTCTTGTTGCCCAGGCTGGAGTGCAATGATAGTGATCTTGGCTCATCACAACCTCCGCCTCCCAGGTTCAAGCGATTCTCCTGCCTCAGACTCCCGAGTAGCTGGGATTGCAGGCATGTGTCACCACACCTGGATAATTTTGTATTTTTAGTGGAGATGGGGTTTCTCCATGTTGCTCAGGCTGGTCTCGAACTCCCGACCTCAAATGATCTGCCTGCCTCAGCCTCCCAAAGTGCTGGGATTACAGGCGTGAGCCACTGTGCTTGGCCACCTGTGATTCTTTAGACTAGAACAACTGGATGTAATATAAGTCTCCTAGGGCTGCCATAACAAAGTACCACAGACCGAGAGACTTAAGCAATAGAAATGTATTGTCCCACAGCTCTGGAGGCTTGAAGTCTGAGATCAAGGTGCTGTCAGGTTTGCTTCTTTCTAGGGCTGTGAGAGAAGCTATGTCTATCCCTTATCTTCTGTGGTTTACTTTTAATCTTTGGCATTCCTTATTCTGTAAAATCATCTCCCTGATCTCTGCCTTCATCTTCCCAGGGTGTACTCTCGGAATGTGTACATCTGTGTCCAAATTTTCCCTTTTTATAAAAACACCAGTCATATCAGATGAGGGGCCCAGCCTAGTTCGGTATAATCTCAACTCAACTAATTACAACTGCAATGGCCCTATTTACAAGTAAGGTCACATTCTGAGGTACTAGGGTTTTAGGACTTCAACATAATGATTTTTAAAGGGACCCAATGTGACCCATATCATACCTCTTATTTTCTGAAGGAAGAAGCTTCTTTTGATATGGTTTCTGGGAGCATGAATTGGAATAGGTAAATTTTCCAATTTTATATCTGTCTTTTCCTTTTCATGACACTCGACATTCTCTCCAGCCTCCTAAATACCTTCTTTATATTTTAAGTAAAGGTTTTCATTAAGATGATTAATGTCATTAGAGTATTTTAGGATTAAATATTCCTTTAATTAAAATGTAATTATCAAATGTTGGCTATGGGGCCTCATCCCTTCCCAAACTTTCCATAGTCCTAGTGCCCCTAGTTAAATAACTTCAGGTTGCCTGGGATTTTTTTTATGACTATCCCCTCGTAACCTGGGATTCACCTATGCAGCAACCTAGTTTAGTAAAGAGGCTTAAAGAGCAATTTATTGACTTTGGGGATTTGAGATTGTTCTGTCTCAATTTATTTCCTTTGAATGTTTATAGAAAAAAAAAAGCACAACCAACTGCTCACTGGGGAAGCCACAAATACTTGGCTTTCCTGCCCTGGCACTTATCTTGTACTTGATGTTTTCAAAATACCAACTAATCATTAAATAGCCAGTTCCCACTACATCTTTATGATACGAGAATTCTTGCCATTTTCAGTAAAGGAAATTGAAGTAGAAAGCACCAAGGTGACCTGCGCAAGGTGACAGAACAAATCAGAAGCAGATCCAGGTGGCTGCATTTTATGAACTAAAAGTTTGTCCTGTGTAAACCCAGAGACAGGCTGTCACAGCCTTATCCCTTTCTCCTCTTCCTGAAAGCCAAACGCCCACTTTTCCCCTTGCTCTGCAGTCCTTGGAGGAGCAGCACACAGGCAAGCATGAGCAGACGCCAAGCACACAAGGACCATGGCCAGCAGATGCCCACTGGGAGCAGGCATGTTGTTAGTGCTTGTAAAGCTCCCTGGAGATCTCAGAAATCTTTTTTTTTTTTTAATTGATCATTCTTGGGTGTTTCTCGCAGAGGGGGATTTGGCAGGGTCATAGGACAATAGTGGAGGGAAGGTCAGCAGATAAACAAGTGAACAAAAGTCTCTGGTTTTCCTAGGCAGAGGACCCTGCAGCCTTCCGCAGTGTTTGTGTCCCTGGGTACTTGAGATTAGGGAGTGGTGATGACTCTTAATGAGCATGCTGCCTTCAAGCATCTGTTTAACAAAGCACATCTTGCACCGCCCTTAATCCATTTAACCCTGAGTGGACACAGCACATGTTTCAGAGAGCACAGGGTTGGGGGTAAGGTCACAGATCAACAGGATCCCAAGGCAGAAGAATTTTTCTTAGTACAGAACAAAATGAAAAGTCTCCCATGTCTACCTCTTTCTACACAGACACGGCAACCATCCGATTTCTCAATCTTTTCCCCACCTTTCCCCCCTTTGTATTCCACAAAACCGCCATTGTCATCATGGCCCGTTCTCAATGAGCTGTTGGGTACACCTCCCAGACGGGGTGGAGGCCGGGCAGAGGGGCTCCTCACTTCCCAGTAGGGGTGGCCGGGCAGAGGCGCCCCTCACCTCCCGGATGGGGCGGCTGGCCGGGCCGGGGGCTGACCCCCCAACCTCCCTCCCGGACGGGTCGGCTGGCCGGGCGGGGGGCTGACCCCCCCACCTCCCTCCCGGACGGGGCGGCTGGCCTGGCAGGGGCTGACCCCCACCTCCCTCCCGGACGGGGTGGCTGCCGGGCGGAGACGCTCCTCACTGCCCAGAAGGGGCGGCTGCCGGGCGGAGGGGCTTCTCACTTCTCAGAGGGGGCGGCTGCCGGGCGGAGGGGCTCCTCACTTCTCAGACGGGGCGGTTGCCGGGCGGAGGGTCTCCTCACTTCTCAGACGGGGCGGCCGGGCAGAGACGCTCCTCACCTCCCAGACGGGGTTGCGGGGCAGAGGCGCTCCCCACATCTCAGACAATGGGCGGCCGGGCAGAGACGCTCCTCACTTCCCAGACGGGGTGGCGGCCAGGCAGAGGCTGCAATCTCGGCACTTTGGGAGGCCAAGGCGGGCGGCTGGGAGGTGGAGGTTGTAGCGAGCTGAGATCACGCCACTGCACTCCAGCCTGGGCACCATTGAGCACTGAGTGAACGAGACTCCGTCTGCAATCCCGGCACCTCAGGAGGCCGAGGCTGGCAGATCACTCGCGGTTAGGAGCTGGAGACCAGCCCCGCCAACACAGCGAAACCCCGTCTCCACCAAAAAAATATGAAAACCAGTCAGGCGTGGCGGCGCGTGCCTGCAATCGCAGGCAGTCAGCAGGCTGAGGCAGGAGAATCAGGCAGGGAGGTTGCAGTGAGCCGAGATGGCAGCAGTACAGTCCAGCTTCGGCTCGGCATCAGAGGGAGACCATGGAAAGAGAGGGAGAGGGAGACCGTGGGGAGAGGGAGAGGGAGAGGGAGAGGGAGGAGAGGGAGAGGGAGGAGAGGGAGAGGGAGATCTCAGAAATCTTAAGGCGAACTTTTGGGACATGAAACCCTGAGTCAGAAGATGGGACTCCAAAGCAATCTCTTTTGTACTACAGGGTGGTAAGATCTGGGAAATTTGGGTCACATGAACAATAATGAAAAAGATGTTGAAGGTATTCCTTCTGGTCCTAAACTGTAATCCTCTTGATCATAGGATCTATTAGAAACAAGCTCCCTGAAATCCTTCGGTCTAGTCTTAAGCCAGGAGGCATTAATAGCAAACTTTAAGGACTTTCCTTAACTCTAGGAAGATGCTACAAGAAAGAATCATAGGCATTAATGTGGCTGCCTCCCCAGAAATGCTGGGAGGCACCAGATCACCTTTCAGTGTTCGCAAAGTTCTCATTTTTTTTCCTCTGGTGAAAAAAGATTGCATATAATTGGCTGGTCCTATACTTGAGTGAGGGGGAATTCAATGGGATGGAAACTATCTTATTTAAGGTGCTCATCCAGACCAGCATTTTACACTTAGGCAGGTCATTGAAACAAAATTCATCCTCAAAATCACATTCTCCTCTCCTGATATCAAGCTTCTCTTTCCCTAATTTTGTCTTTACTCATTTACTTTTTAATTTATTCCTTTTTTTATTTTTTTGAGATGGAGTCGTTCTCTATCGCCCAGGCTAGAGTGCAGCAGTGCAATCTTGGCTCACTGCAACCTCTGCCTCCCAAATTCAAGCGATTCTCCTGCCTCAGCCTCCCGAGTAGCTGGAATTACAGGCGTGCCACCATGTCTGGTTAATTTTTATATGTTTAGCAGAGACGGGGTTTTACCATGTTGGCCAGGCTGGTCTTGAACTCCTGACCTCAAGTGATCCGCCTGCCTCGGCCTCCCAAAGTGCTGGGACTACAGGAGTGAGCCACCATGTCCAGCCTACTCATTTACTTTAAAGCTGGGATTGGTCTTTCACTCAGCAGAGGCATAACTGGTGAGGTGTGTTTTGCTTTGGTAATATGATTCTCATGTGGAGTAAAAGACAAAGTGGACCTCTTTTCGGGCAAGAATATAGTAAGTTGAAGCTTGTCTTTTTCACATCAAAATGCCATCTTGGTCTTGCACCCCTAAATCCTAGGCATAAAGATCGAAGCATTTAGGTTTATTTGCATAGTCAAAACTAAGAAACTCATCCTATTTCTCATTTAATCTTGGCCATTAGGAATCTCAGAGTCAAATTTAGTGCTGAGTTTCACTAGCGTTCTTAGTTTAAGTTTTCAAGCATAAACTGTCTTAGTTCAGGCTGCAATGACAGAATACCATCAACTGAGTGGCATAAGCAATAAACATTTATTTCTCTCAGTTCTGGAAGCTAGAAAGTGTAAGATCAAATTATTAGAATATTTAGTGTGTGGTGAGGGCCATTTCCTGGCTCCTAGAGAGCTATCCTCTTGCTGTGTCTTCATATGGCAGAATGAGGGCTAGAGAACTCTCTGGGTCTCTTTTATGAGGACACTAATCTTATTCATAGCATTCCAACCTTGCAACTGACTTACCTCCCTAATGCCCCATCTCCCACTTCTGTCACTTTGGGGGGTTAGAATCTCAATCTATGAATTTTGCAGGACACAAGCATTTAGCCCATAACAAAAACTTTTACATACACAACTTTTATTATGATCCATATCTTAATGACTTTATTTGTAAGGGTTTTTTTAAACTACAAGCTGCCTTAAGTCTTTTTAAAAAACAATTTAAACATGGTATTAATAATAAAATATATTTTTAAAATCAATATAACATTAAACAATGAGAATGTCCTTAAAAATCAGTTTGTTTTGTCCACAGGTTGATCAGGAAACACTGAAAAATGACAACCAGTTCTGGTATTCACCCAGGGCACACCCATCCTGCCACACTGGAAGTTAAGATATTGAACTTTCTGTATGAGTTGTTTAAAGCTGCTGCCCTAAAGGACATGAACAGACACTTCTCAGAATAAAACATTAATGCGGCCAACAAACATTAAAAAAAAGCTCAGGCCAGGCGCAGTGGCTCATGCCTGTAATCCCAGCACTTTGGAAGGCCGAGGCGGGTGGATCACGAGGTCAGGAGTTCAAGACCAGTCTGGCCAAGATGGTGAAACCCCGTCTCTACTAAAAATACAAAAATTAGCTGGGCACGGTGGCAGGCACCTGTCATCCCAGCTACTCAAGAGGCTGAGGCAGGAGAATCACTTGAACCCGAGGGAGGGGGGCTCAGAGGTTGCAGTGAGCCGAGATTGTGCCACTGCACTCCAGCCTGGGTGACAGAGCAAGACTCCGTCTCAAAAAAAAAAAAAAAAAAAAAAAAGCTCAACATCACTGATCATCAGAGAAATGCAAATCAAAACCAAAATGAGATACCATCTCATGCCAGTCAGAATGGCAATTATTAAAAAGTCAAGAAACTGCAGATGTTGGCAAAGTTGTGGAGAAAAAGGAACGTTTTTACACTGTTGGTGGGAATGTAAATTAGTTCAACCATGGTGAAAGACAGTGTGGCGATTCCTCAAAGATCTAGAAGCGGAAATACCATTTGACCCAGCAATCTTATTACTGCGCATATACCCAAAGGAATATAGATCATTCTATTATAAAGATACATATATTCATATATAAAGATGTATGTTCATTGCAACACTATTTACAATAGCAAAGGCATGGAATCAACCCAAATGTGCATCAACAATAGACTGGATAAAGAAAATGTGTTACATATACACCATGGAATACTATGCAGCCATAACAAGGAATCAGATCATGTCCTTTGCAGGGACATAGTTGGAGCTGGAAGCTGTTATCCTCAGCAAACTGACGCAGGAACAGAAAACCAAACACCACATGTTCTCACTTATAAGTGGGAGCTGAACAATGAGAACAGAGGGAGGGGAACAACACACACTGGGGCCTGTCGGGTGGAAGTTGGGAGAGGGAAAGCATCAGAAAGAATAGCTAATGGGTGCTGGGCTTAATAATACCTGAGTGATGGTTTGTTCTGTACAGCAAACCACCACGGCACACGTTTACCTATGTAAACTGCACATCCTGCACGTGTACCCTAGAACTTAAAACAAAAGTTTAAGGGGAAAAAAAGCTGCTGCCTGAGCCTCCAAAGTACCTTCCACAGCCACTTAACTCCACCCCTTGCCTGAGACCACTTCCTCATCCATCCTCCCAGGATCCAGTAACCAAAGAGGACCTAAAAGACCAGCTCCAGGCTATGACCAGTAGCCACTCTCACAGATCAGTGCTTCAGCCATTCTGATTGTTAAGTATATTATAACACTCCCCCTTAAAGGGAACTTTTTGCTATTTTTGCTTCCTGTTATTGCAAACAATAGCTTTGCTTATTGGTAAAAGTTCTGGGTAGTGGCAAAGAATACAGACCCTGAAGCTGGGCTGCTTGGATGCAGCCTGGTTCATCCTCACCTAGTTCCTGTGACTTTGGTGAGTTCTGTGTCTTCTGTATACCTCCTTTCTTTGTGCGCTGAAGGTGAGAGTGATATCCACCTTGCAGGACTGTTGAGAGGAGTAAACAAGTGAATCGATGTAAAGCAGTTAAAGCAGTACCTGTTTCAAGCACAGTGTGTTAGCCATTATGATTGAGCATCTACTTCGTGCCAGACGCAATACTAAATGATTTGAGTTTGTTATATAATTCGCAAGTACTCTATCAAGTAGGTATTGTCATCCCTAGTTTAAAGAGACTAAATCTCAGGGCAGTTGAGATGTGCTCAAGGTTACAGTGCCAGTGACGGATGGAGCAGATATAAATTCTACCTCTTTGACCCAAAGGCCATGCTTCCTCACTGCCCTAGGTTCTTCTCTGGTGGAAGTGGCACCTTGCAGCAAAGAAGAAAGAGGAGATGGCTGGCTGCTCACAGGTATCTGGTGACGGCTAGTAAGTGAAGATGCTCAGTGGAGACAGAGACCTCATGGAGGTGGGGTGGCAGATGGAGCTCCCCTTTACCTCTTCTGCTTCTATTTAGAATAAAATTCTCCCATCACCCAGGCTGAAAGCCTGGCAGTCATCCTGCCCCTCCCCCTCCTCACTCCCAGACGAAGTCACCAAGTGCCCCGGTTCTGCTCATGTGATGTCTCCTACCTTCCTGCCATTCCATCCATGCCTGTGCTAACACTCCACTTCAAGTTCTCATTACGTCATGTCTAGATCATTTCAAAAGCCTCTCAACTAGTCTCCCAGCCTCTGGGCCTCAGTCATCACTCCCAAAACCACCACATTATTCTTAAAGACACTGCTGCCATCATGTGATTTCACCATTCAAAACCTTCCAATGACTACTCAGTGTCTACCGAATACAGTGAAGCTTTTTAGACAGACATTCAAGCTCCTTCATTTAATTCTAATCTTCATTTCCAAATTGCTCTCTCTGGACTCCCGGTAAGAATCCTGTGATTTAGCCAGGATTATTTACCTGTTATTCCTTAATTGTGCTATTTCTTTCCCACCTCCAAGCCTTGCCCACTCCACTCCCTATGGCTGCACAGTGTCTTCCTGTCTTCTAAATCCTGTAGGTCCATCATGACCCAATTTGGCCCCATCCCTGCTTTGATACCTCCCCTGACCGCTCTGGGGGACTGGAACCTCTCAGTATCTAAGTGATACCGCTCACTTGGCACTTCACCTCCACTGCCTTATGTTATGAATTTGTTTTTTATTTGAATGTGCTCTGCTTTCTCAGTTACACTGTGAATGTCTTACAGCCAGAGGGGGAAGGAGATGATGGCAGGAGGGCTCTGACATGGGAAGGCTGTGGGACAGACTGGCGGGCAGGCTCTTGGGATCAGAAATCAGGCAAGCTGGGTTTGAATCACAGCTCTGCTCTAACTAGGCACTCTTTGCCAAGATACCTCATCTCTCAATGTTCTCATTCATACAATGGGGATAATGATTGTTCCTACCTCGAAGAGCTGTTGTGAGGATTAAATGAGTTAATACATGAAGAACCCTTGCCTAGAGCCCAGCACACAGATAAAGTTTAATTACTATTAGTTATCATTGTTTTCACTATCAGACAAGAAGAAAGGGTTTATGATATGCTAGACACCATATAAATGACCTTATTTAATTTATACAGCAACCTGATGAGGTAATAGGGCCATGCTCATTTTAGAGATGAGAAAACTGAAGTTTTGAGAAGTTTGATCACATGGCTAATAATTCAGCCTAAACTCAGCCCTCTCTGGGTCCAAAGACCATTGCTTTCCACAAAGTTAATCCACTAAGTTCCTGAGATTGGGGGAAATGGCTTGTACTTCTTTGTAATTCCTTCAGTATCTCATAGATTGCACAAAAAAATTGCTGCTGAATGGCTGGGAGATTTCTTAGAAGATCTCAGCAGCAAGTCCTTTATGCTGCTGTGGATCAAGATTGCTATCTGCCTACCACAATTTCCTTTCTCTCTCTCTAAATAATCCCAGTATTTAGCTGGGCACATAACTGCCTAAAACAGGGATCAGCCATTCTGTACAGACAGAGTCAAATTTCGGTTTTGTAGGCCATATGGTCTCATTAGAACACTCAGTTTTGGCATGGTACTGCAAAAGCAGCCATAGACAATATGTACATGAACAAGTGTGGCTGAATTCCCAAAACCTTTACTTACAAAAACAGATTTGTCCTGTGGACTGTAGTTTGCCGACCCTTCCCCTAGAGTGCAGACACACTGGCTGCCTCAAATTAAGATGTCCATGATGGTTAATTTTATGTGTCATCTTGGATGAACCACAGTGTGCCCAGATATTTGGGTAAACATTATTATGGGTCTTTCTGTGAGAGTACTTTTAGATGACACTAACATTTACATTGATGGACTTTGAGTAAAGCAGACTGTCCTCCATAATGTAGGTGAACCTCATCCAATCAGTTGAAAACCTGAATAGACCAAAAAGAAAAGAATAGATCATAAAGCCTGAATAAAATAGAATATTTTATTTTCCTCCCCTGAGGAGAGAATTCTCCAGCAGCCTGCCTTCAGACTTCATCTGCAGCACTGGCTGTTTCTTATTCTACAGAGGACTAGAACTAGGACACCAGCCTTTCCTGGGTCTCCAGCCTGCCTGTTCACCCTGCAGATTTTGGATTTGCTAACTTCTGTAATAATGTGAGCCAATTCCTTATCATCTTTATACACACACACACACACACACACACACACACACACACACACACACACATCCATTGGTTCTCTTTCTCTGGGGAAACCCTGACTAATACAATGCTATTTCCCAGCTGCCCTTGTGGCAAGATGTGTCCATGTGACTATGTTCTGGCCAACAGAATGTAAGTGGCAATGCTGTGTGATAACTTCCAAGAAATTTCCTTAAATGAGAGGAGGCATATGCTCTTTGGCCTGTCATCTCCCCTTCGCCCATCCTGCTGTTTGGAAGGCAGATGTGATGACTGAAGGGCTTCTGTGGACTGTGATACAGCCACAAAGCAGAACCCCAGAGCAGCCTAAGCTGCTTACACTGTCAGAGGCATTCTAACCAAAGTGACTCCATCTTTAATAGGGGCTGGGTAAAATGAAGATGAAACCTACTGGGCTGCATTCCCAGGAAGTTAGGCATTCTTAATCACAGGATGAAATGGGAGGTGAGCAGGGCTCCTGTCACAAGATACAGGTCACAAGGACCCTTCTGATAAAACAGAATGCGGTAAAGAAGCCAGCCAAAACCCACTAAAACCAAGATGGCTACAAAAGTGACCTCTGATGGTCCCCACTGCTCATTATATGCTAATTATAATGCATTAGCATGCTAAAAGACACTCCCACCAATGCCGTGACAGTTTACAAATACCAGGGCAACGTCTAGAAGTTTTCCTATATAGTCTAAAAAGGGGAAGAACCCTCAGTTCCGGAAATTGCCTGCCCCTTTTTGGGAAAACTCATGATTAAGTCACCTCTTGTTTAGCATGTGATCAAGAAATAACCATAAGAGTAGCCAACCAGCAGCCCTCAGGGCAGCTCTGTCTGTGGAGTAGCCATTATTTTGTTTCTTTACTTCTCTAATAAACTTGCTTTCACTTTACTTGGTGGATTCGCCCTGAATTGGTTCTTGTGCAAGATCCAAGAACCCACTCTTGGGGTCTGCATCAGGACCCCTTTCTGGTGACAATACCAGGACTTTTATATGAGCAAGAAATACAGCCCAGTCTTGTTTAAGCCATATTTAATGTTCCCATTGCAGCTTAACTTAATCCTAACAGGCACCATTCCTGTCAGTCTGGTGCTAGAAATAGCAGCACTTCTCTTTGGCGGCCATGAAGAAATTCATTTATAGTATTTTACAAAAATTATATTAAGAGAGAATAACCCAATTTAAATCTTTCCCACAATCAGCTGTCTCTTTAGAGTCAGCAGGAGGACATGAGATTGAGGCATGAGAGAGAGAGAGAGAGAGAAACAGAAATAGATTCTTTCTAAACGGATGGGGGAGGGGCAGAGCCAGACCAAACTCAGAGACTCTAGGCTGACACAACTGATAATACCCTGGGGACACTGAGGTGGGGGTTGGGTGTGGGGAGTGGTGAGGGGTTCACTGCTGGCACTGTTCTCATCAGGGAATGATGTAGCTGGCATCAGAAATGGATGTTTCCAGCTGTGTAGACCTTAAGCCCAGCCTCAGGTCAGAAATATGACTGGAGCTGACTATGGATGTTTTTTTGGTCATAATTCAGCCATCTGCATTAAATCATGACCTTGATCTATCCTTTGTGTATCTTCACCTTAAAAGTAAATAAAAGGGAAAAAGAAATATAGTAAGTAAGTGGTCAAATCAGTAGCCCAACACCTCTCACCCTACCTTCTTCTTACTTGCTGGAGTAGCTTATTCTTTCTATAGAGTTGAGAATTCTAGCTATTCACATTTTGAGCTCCCTTGAGGCTAGGACATAGATATAAGACTGATTTTGTCCAATTTACCTGCAAAATCTGCTGACTGTCTTATGAGAATTCCTTCTTCACTGGATGTGATCTTGTTACCATGTGATGCCTGGAACTGCCGCAGCCACCTTGTAAGTGTGAGGGAGACATGGCAGACATACTGAGGAATACAGAGTCAACAGATGGAAAATATCTGGATTCTTGATGACATCCCTGACCTTAAAATGTTGGACTGCATCCAGGCTTATTGCTATGTGAAATCATAAGTCTTTACTGTTTAACTATTTTTGTTTAGTTATTCTGTTACTTGTGGCCAAAAGCATCCTTACTGATCCAGTAGCCAAAAGCATTTTAGCATTCTAAGCTGTAACATCCTATCTTTACAGTCCACCTTAGTCCAAACAAATACTCACCCTTGTTAGCATGTTACTGCTCCATTTTCTGATTGGAAAGTATGCTCTATCCACTTACTGGAAGATGATGCAGCTAGGCCATCTGAGTTCGAAACCTGGCTTTACCTGTATGACCTGGGGAAATTATTTAACTACTCTGTGCCTCAGCTTCCTTATCCATTAAAAGGGAAAAACAATCATCCTACTTCATAGGATTGTACTGAGGATCAAAAGGATTGACACACATAAAGTACTTAGAACAGTGCCTAGCCCACATCATAATAATCAATAAGTACACACTAGCTTTATTATCATCCTCCCTAGGAGTACACCCTTCTGCAGGCTTCCAAGGCAATTTGCTGTCAAACTGTTCACCCACATTTTCCTTTGCCAAGCACTCCTGGGAATAGCTGAAATGTGAGACAGACATGGCCAATTCAAGTCTCTTGCTAGCCTGCATACCACCAGATTATCAGAAAAGAAGTTTGGCCATTGGAAAGTCTGGAAATACATCTAGAAACCAAAATTCCCTATACTCCCCAGATCCCCTACTTCTGCATGTCTGTCACCCCATGCGTGCTCTGAGATGCAGGTAACAAGGACCCCTCTGGGTTGGTTTCCCACAGGCCTCTGGGATGTGCCCTCCAATGAGACCTTAACCCTGAATGTGTCTCTCATACATCTACAGTCCTAGTGAATAGAAAGGAGAAACCTTACAGATCTGACATCACTATTACTTTTGACTTTAATACCTGCAGTTTCTCCCCCTCTTTAACTTTTTTGCTGGGCCAAGAATCTCTTCTAGTCTCCTCTTGAGACACCCGTTTTCTCATCATCCCAGTATTGTACATGCCTTGTCTGGCTGCCATCCCCCCGGGACAGCAGAGGCTGTTCAGCTCCTTACGTTTGCATTGCGCTTGTCAATCCAGGCCAGTTTTCAGCAAATGCCTCTGTATAGCTCATCTGTAGAGCCCTTGGCAGCTTCCAGAATATTTTAGCCCAAGTTATTTAATCTTCATAAAAATCTTGTATGGTGCATGTTTTTATTCCAAGCCAGGCTCTTCGGGGCTTTTTGCTTTCCTGTAGAGATCAGCAGCAAAAAGAGGTGAGACAAACATTTTTCATTTTCTTTCCTATACTGATCTAAGGTGCTAAGGACCTTGTCTGCAGTTACCTCAGCAGTGATTATTCTGGCAGAGAGAAAGCAAAGACCTCGCAGAAATCAACTGAAGTCTACCTGAAACTCGAGGACTTGGCTTCGGAAGGAAAAACAACAAACTGGTACTTCTCTGGATAAAAAGATCTGGTTCTGATGTCTAACTGGTGATCCTATCTAGAATCAAGTGACAGGGAGGAAGAAGGCTCTAGAAATTAGCTGACTTAAGTACTTCCTGATGTTAAATCTTTCGCCATTTCTATGAGTCCAAAGAAGCACAATATTTGGATCTCTTCAGATTAAATCTGCTCTGTTGATTTGTTCATCAGTGAGCCTCTCAAACATCTACATTGGCAACAACCTTCTCAGGACACGGCCCGTCTGAGAAGCTCTGGTGGGTGCGGGCTGGAAGGAGGAGCTGCAGGCCTCTGCATGTGGACTGGGACCAGACAGCTCTGCCACCTCAGTGTCTGTCGGCGCTGCCAGACTCACGGAAAAGTTCCTTTCATTTCTCACATTTTATTCAGTGCCAGCTTGGGAGGCCTGTAGAGGGTTCAGGGGCCCAGCTACTGTGCTAACCAGAGCACTATAAGTGACAAATGCTGTTTTTTCCTTTTTATCTCTTTCTTTCTGCCTTCCAGGAAGATTTAAACAACAATAACAACAACAACAACACCAAATAACTCACTTTTTACTTTCAAGCACACCCTGTTCCTTCACAAGAAAAAAAGCCCACAGAGCAACTCCATAAAGTCTCTATTCAGCACTCCTTGTTGGTTTTTGGCTCAGGGTTCAGCTAACTCATTCCCAGAGCACACAGCAGCAGGGGAGGTGGGGTTCACAGCAGAGAACAGTAAAAAGATCTCCAGATTTCCTGAGGATTCCAGAATGCACTGGAAAACCACTAGTGTTTCTGGATGAGTGGCATGGAGCACAGCAGTGACTTTATTACCTATTTCACCCCCTTAAATTGGAGCTTGCCCACATCAGGGCTGGCCAGCCACTCCAACCCATTCCTGCCTATACACATCCCCCGTCTGAAAGGGCTTCCTTGGGGGAAACTGGGCATCTTCCTTTGCCATCCCTTGAACAGGCTTTTGTAGGTGGCTTTTGCATTCGTGATTCCTACCTTAGAAGGAGATACCTAAGCCATCCTTCTGGCTGCTCGGGGCAAAAACTTTGGCATCATCCTGGACTCCACTTTCTCACATCCCACTTCCAATACACTAGCTTAGCCGGTCAGCTCCACATTCAAACTTATTCAGGATGTATCAGTCAGGGTTCAACCAGAGAAACTGAACCAGTAGGAGAGTCATATTAAGAGGAATTGCCCTACATATGTTACCAGTTGGGGGTGTCCAGGTTCTTGGCATCTTGAACGAAGAATTGGACAAAACACACAAACAAACCAAGGAAAGAATGAAGCAACAAAAGCAGAGATTTATAGAAAACAAAAGTACACTCCACAGGGTGGGAGCGGCTGAGCATAGGGGCTTAAGAGCCCGGTTACAGAATTTTCTGGGGTTTAAATACCATCTAGAGGTTTCCATTGGTTACTTGGTGTACGCCCTATGTAAATGAAGAGGCTAAAGTGAGGTTACAAAGTTATGTATTTGGTGTACATTCTATGTAAATGACGAGTGTAGTTCCTGTCATAGCTGAAGTGTTTCCATTTGATTTAGTTCTAGGAAGCCCTGAGGTTCCCTGCCTCCAGGCCCGATTCTCCTGCCTCACATAATCATGGGGCTGGTTAGGCCAGTGGGAAATCCATAGGGCACACCGTCAGAAAGAGCAGGTTGGAACTCCTGGGCATGAGCGGAATTGCCATCCACAGGCAGAATTTCTTCATCAGGGAACGCTCAGCTCTTCTAGGGCCTTTCAATGGATTGGATCAGGCCCACCTTCAATCTAGGATTATCTCCCTGGCTGAAAGTCAGTTGATGAGGGACTTTAATCATGTCCGTAAAATGTCTTCACAGCAACACCCAGATTAGTGTTTGACTGAATAACTGAGGACTGTAGCTTAGCCAACTTGACACCTAAAACCTATTGTCACCTTATCTAGCCTTGACTCTTCCAGAGTCACCCCCCACCTTGGTTGAAACTACCATTATTTGTCCCCTGAATTATCGTGTTAGCCTCTACACCAGCTTCCTGCTTCTTGCCCTATCCTCCCTGGCCTTCCTCCTCCCACTCCCAACTATTTTCAACAGAGCAACTAGACTGACACATTCTTGGCTGCAGAGTGAGCAGTTGCTCCATTGCTCAAAGCCCTTGTGGTGGACAGAATGATGGTTCCTCAAAGATGTTCACATCCTAATCCTTGGAACCTGTGAATATGTTACCTTACATAGCAAAGGGGACTTTGTACATGTGCTTAGGGTATGGACTTTGAGATGAGGAGAGTATCCTGGATTATCCAGGGGAGCCCAGTCTAATCACATGAATTGTCAGCAGTAGAAGAGGAAGACAGAAGAATGGGTCAGAGGAATGTGACATGAAAAGAGCCTGTCCCTCCATTGCAGGCTTTGAAAATGGAGGAAGGGAACCACCAGCCAACTACAAGGGAAAGGGGACCTCAGTTCTACAACTGCATGGCCCTAAAGTCTGTGAATAAACCTAATGAGCAGGAAACAGATTCCCATCTAAAGCTCCCAGTGAGGAAGCAGCCCTGTTAACAGCTTGATTTTAGCCTGGTGAGACCTGTGTTGGACTTCTGGTCTATAGAACTGTAAGATAACATATTTGTGGGTTTGTTTTGTTGTGTTTTGTTTTTTTGAGACAGAGTGTTGCTCTGTTGCCCAGGCTGGAGTGCAGTGGCTCAATCTCGGCTCACTGCAAACTCCACCTCCTGGGTTCAAGTGATTCTTCTGCCTCAGCCTCCTGAGTAGCTGAGATTACAGGCACCCACCACCACACCTGGCTAATTTTTGTATTTTTAGTACAGACGGGGTTTCACCATGTTGGTCAGGCTGGTCTCGAACTCCTGACCTCGTGATCTGCCCCCGTCGGCCTCCCAAAGTGCTGGATTACAGGCGTGAGCCACTGCGCCCAGCCTTGTGTTGCTTAAACCACTAAATTCATGGTAGTTTGTTATGGCAGCAAATGAATACAGCCCTTCAATGACTTCCCATCCTATTCAGAGTAAAAGCCAAGCTCCTCAGCATCTTCCCCTGCTCCTTTCTGACTTCATTTCCTACCACTCTCCCTAACTCACACCCTCACCCCTGCTCCACTCCCCTACTTCGGGTCCTGGGCCTGAACTAGAGTGAAGCTAGTGAGTACTTGCTTCAAGATGCCAAAACCTCAGTAGTCAAGATCAGTAATATTTTAATGCAACATCAAAATTAATGTGAAAAAAATCCATGATATACAAATCATAAAAATTTGAAAGAAAGACAAGATCCAACCCTGCACTTGCTCAACTCGCCTCTTCTGCCTCCCTCTAATTCCAAGCCTGATCCTTGCTGCTCTCAAACTTCCAGCCACACTCCAGTGGCAGCGCTTTTCCGGTTGGTTTTGCCCCAGATATCTGCAAATCTTCCTCCCTCACCTGCTTGGGTTTTTGCTCAAATGTTGCCTTCTTAATTAGTCCTCCCTGGCCATTTATTTAAAATCTCAGAGTGCCCTCATGTATTAGTCCGTTCTCATGCTGCTATAAAGAACTACTTAAGACTGGGTAATTTATGAAGAAATTATCAAGGTTTAATTGATTCACAGTTCAGCATGGCTAGGGAGGCTTCGGGAAACTTACAATCACTGTGGAAGGGGAAGCAAATGTGTCCTTCTTCACATGGCAACAGCAGGAGAAGTGCCAAGCAAAAAAGGAAAAGCCCCTTATAAAACCATCATATTTCATGAGAACTCACTCACTATCATGAGAACAGCATGGGGGTAACTGCCCCCATGATTCAATTACCTCCCACTGGGTCCCTCCCGTGACACTTGAGGATTATGGGTGAGGATTCAAGATGAGATTTGGGTGGGGATGTGGCCAAGCCATATCACCCCACCAGCACTCCCGGACCCCTTCTTGCTTCGTATTTCCCCAAAGTACTTAACATATCTAACATATTTATTTAGTACTTTTTGTTCACTGCTGTACACTAGGACATAACAGTGTGTGGCATGCAGTAGGTGTTCAATAAGTATTTGTTGTAGGAATGAAGGAAAGGAGGAAGGGAAGAAGGAAAGGAGAAGGAAGAGAGGAAGAAGGGAAAGTAAGGGAGGGAGGCCTCTGCCAATGGGGCAACAGAGCATATGTATGCAAGCAAGGGAGAACTTTCCCACTGGCTTATTGAAGCTGAAAATCCCTGAAGAGCTGCAGTAAATTTCAGTCTGTCTGTTTAAGAAAACATTAATTTATAATAGCAGGGTTATTTTTTCTTCTCCCAAAAGGGAAAATGCCATCAAGAGCCAGTGTGTTCTATTAGATTAATTAGCAGATTTGGATTAGCTATGTGCTTTCTTTTCTAGGAAATTAGCTAAATTGTTTCCACTGAAGCTGGAAATGTTTGACCTCCTGGCAGTTTGTCCAAAATCCTTTGAAGTAGAGTATCTGCAACTCTGCGTTTAATAATGCTTGGAGATTTTATTCTCTTCTAGTTCTCCCTCAACAATTAAAAATTCCATTCTGATGATCTCATCCCTTTAATTTTTCTTTTTTCTTTCTTTTTTTTTTAGATGGAGTCTCTCTCTGTCACCCAGGCTGGAGTGCAGTGGCGCAATCTTGGCTGACTGCAACCTCCACCTCCTGGGTTCAAGCAATTCTCCTGCCTCAGCCTCCTGAGTAGTTGGGATCACAGACATCCACCACACCTGGCTAATTTTTGTGTTTTTAGTAGAGACCGGGATTTACCATGTTTTACCATGTTGGCCAGGCTGGTCTTGAACTCTTGACCTCAGGTGATCCACCCACCTCGGCCTCCCAAAGTGCTAGGATTACAGGGGTGAGTCCCCATGCCTGGCCACCTCCCTTTAATTTTTTATGAGTGGATTCCAACAAAGCTATTGTTAAAAATCTGTGGAAATTTGTACCATAGATAAATAGAATTTTCTGTGGTAATAGCAAGAAACATTGTAATAGATATATTTTAGTATAGATTGGGATGGAAAATAGGCCCAAGTGTTACCAGAATTCATTGACTAACACCCATGTGATGCAGGGGTTGACTTGAATACATGAGTTGGAATGTAAGCAGAGTGAAGTTCAGGTGCATACTAAATTATGTGGATTGTGAGCCAGGGTGGCCAATGTGGGCATGTGCAGGGCAATGAAGCAGTGGAGCCAGGTTAGGAGAGAGAAAGGAGCGGTGCAGAGGGAGGAGGAGTTGGGGGAGGGAGAGAAACTCAGAGAAGAACATGAGAGAATAGCCTCCTGTTCTTAGAGGAGGAAGAAATATGATGAAATGAAACAGCAACTGTAGTAGGAGTTAGAAAAACTGGAGCCAAACCTGGAAAATCTTTGGGTTAAATCTATGCTTGGCTCCTTACTCACTGTGCCCCCTTGTCCAAGACACTTTACTTCTCTGATCCTTGATTCCCTGAAAAATTTGTAGTACTGTTTGGGGAGGCTAACAGTGACACTGACAATGATGCTGTGGCATGATGAGCCCAGGGTGGTAGTGTAGGAAAGAGGAAAGCTGATCCAGCCGGGCCATCTGAACTGTGTATGAATGAGCTCAACTCTCGGCTCATGGTTGGTGCCTACTTTTGCAATTTGACAAATAAAAAAAAGATTGCCATCATGCAGATGATTATAGTCCTTTTGCAGATGCATATTATGTATGGAACAATCACAAATCACAGTGCACACACATTTTGTGGGTCACTTTTTCAGATAATATTATATTGTTGGCATTTTTATTGTTTGTAATTGCCCTTGTAAAGATTTTAACTGCACTCTGTGTGTGTGAGAATGTGTGCGTGTGTGTGTGAACCCCCAGAATATAGTGGCTATTGAGTCAGGATCTGGGTTTGAATTTTAACTCCACCACTTACTGTCTTGCTGTCTGACACTCAACATCACCTATGCCTCATATTCCTCACAGAAAATAACAGAACTTGCTTCAAAGGACAACTGAGATAACTAAAGGCAGTAATGCATGCCAAGAACAGAGGATAGTGTTTGGTAGAAGCCCTCAATAAAATATTGGCTCTTATTATTACGAAGTTTTACAGTTTGTAATAATTTTAACACGCTCTCTTTCCCTAAGTGGCCTGAGATAATCTGTGAAAATGGTTCGCTATTCATGTGACCTGGAGAACCCCACAAAATCATGCAAATCAAGAGGTTCCAGTCTTCGTGTTCACCTTAAGAACACTCGTGAAACTACCGAGGTCATCAAGGGTATGCGTATATGAAAAGCCACGAAGTATCTGAAAGATATCACTTTACAGAAACAGTGCGTACCATTCTGATGTTACAATGGTGGAGTTAGCAGGTGTGTCCAGGCCACGCAGTGGGGCTGGACACAAGGTCAGTGGCCCCCAAAGAGTGCTGAATTTTTGTTGCACATGCTTAAAAATGCAGAGAGTAATGCTGAACTCAAGGGTTTAGATGTAGATTCTCTGGTCATTGAGTATAACCGAGTAAACAAAGCACCTAAGATGCGCCCCTGGACCTACAGAGCTCATGGTTGGATTAACCCATACATGAGCTCCCCCTGCCACACAGAGAAGATCCTTACTGAAAATGAACAGGTTGTTCCTAGACCAGAAAAGGAGGCTACCCAGAAGAAAAAGATATCCCAGAAGAAACTGAAGAAACAAAAACTTATGGCACAGGAGTAAATTCAGCATTAAAATAAATGCAATTAAAAGGACTAATAATAATAATAATAATATGAACACTACAGAAATGGGAAAATTCTCCATAATTTCATCCACGCCACTCAAGATCCTCACTACAACTGTTTGGTGTGTATTTCTCCTCTCCCCCTACCTCCCCACTTTTATTTTTATACATTTACTAGCCCATTATATTATTATTTTCTTTTCTTTTTTAACCACAAACCAAACAACAACAGAAGAATATTATATATACCACCTTTAAGTTGTTATTTTCATGGCAATGTTTATAGATTTAAACCTTTCTTTTCAGAGGTTGCATGAAATTTCATTCCACATATTGATGACAGCAGCAGCCCATCTGGAGCCGCTGCTGCAAAGACACTGGCTGCAGCTGGGGAGACGTGGCTGGGGCTGTTCACTCCGCAGAGGTGATGGGAGCTGGGAACAGGCAGGAGCCCCACCCCCTTTTGAGTTGGTGGGGCGGGAGACCCACACTCCCAGGCACAAATGCAGCCGCCCAGCTGTGGCTGTGGACCAGGACGTCCCTGTGCTCTTGGGGGCCTGGGAAGCCCCCCTGCCCCCCAGACTCAGAAGTGCCTGCTCCCACTGCCTGGCCTCTCCCCACTCCTGGGACCCACTCCAATTCTGGAGCAAAGTTGTGGCCAAGCCTACATGCAGTCAAGATCCAACTGGGTGCGTGTATGCTTGGGGCAGTACTAACGCGCCAGCCCTCTGCCACCCCAGTCCCCTCTGGACTTTGGGCACCAAAGAGCATGGGAGGGAGGCCAAGGTGAGGGCTGAAGGTGGCTCAGCTCAGGCCTGCAGGCACCCCTTGGCATGAACAGCCTGAGTGCCATGAGCAACAGCAGGAGGCAGACAGGCTCCTGGGCAGAAAAGGGTGGGTCCCCATTGAAACCCCACCTTCAAGGCAGGGATGGCCAGAAGCCTAGGGGCTGGGCTGCCAGTTCCACGGACCCAAGTGAAAACTTACGGTGTTTTTTTCCTGGCCCACCCAGGGCCACCCATGGACCAATCAGCACATACTTCCTCCCTTCTGAAGACCATAAAAACCCAGAACTCAGCCAGACTCACAGAGACAACTGGACAACCTGCCTGTAAAGAGGAGCTAACCATTCTTGGTCTTCTCTCTACTGAGGGCTGCAGAGACAATGGGGGACCTGCCTGCGGGAAAGAGTTACCCACTTTGGGTCTCCTGAGAGCTGTATTGCCACTCAGTAAAGCACCTCTTCATCTTACTCATCCTCCAGTTGTCCATTTACCTCATTCTTCCTGGATGTGGGACAAGAACTCAGGACCCACCAAATGGCAGAACTGAAAGAGCTATAACACAAACAGGCCTGAAACACACCCGCCTGCCTCGCCCACATTGCAGGCAACGAGAAGAAGAGAAGACGTGTGGTCTTTCAGGGAACCCAGACTTAGGGGCTCCCTGAGCCAGGGCTGTGACACCCTCTTTGGGGTTTTGTGGTTCCTGGTGTCTCCAAGCTTTTGAGCACCACCATGTTCTCTGGCGCCTGCAGTGGAAACTACTTTTGGTATGCCTGGTCCAGCCACAGCCTGGCACAGAGCCAGTGCCTGTGCCAATGCCTGGAGCTGCCTGCCCTGCCACAGCTAGCATGCCTGGCTGTGCACATGGCCAGACCCTGTGCTTGCTCACACACCCCTTGGTGCTCTGCACCTGGCTCACCCTTGGCAGGCATGGGATCCAGGCTGGTAGCACAAGCCAAAGGCAGCCTTCTGGGCCAAGTGAGTGGAACAAGCCCAGTGGGCCTCAGCAAAACTTAGGCAAAGGTGCCACCAACCACAGAGGTTTCCAGCTGACAAGGTGACACCCCAAGGATCCTGTGAAAATATGGAGGTAGTTTATTTAACCATTCCTATATTGAAGGACATTGGTTTATTTTTAATGTTTTTCACTAGTACAAACAGTACTGTAAAGAATATAGATTGTGCATTTTGCTATCAATTTACAAAAGTGTTTCTATAGAAGTGGACATGATGGGAGGGAAGGTTCCAAGATGGCCGAATAGGAACAGCTCCAGTCTACAGCTCCCAGTGTGAATGACACAGAAGATGGGTGATTTCTGCATTTCCAACTGAGGTACCAGGTTCATCTCACTGGGGCTTGTCAGACAGTGGGTGCAGGACAGTGGGTGCAGCCCACTGAGCATGAGCCAAAGCAGGGTGAGGCATTGCCTCACTCGGGAAGCACAAGGGATCAGGGAATTCCCTTTCCTAGCCAACGGAAGCTGAGACAGATAGCACCTGGAAAATTGGGTCACTCCCACCCTAATATTGCACTTTTCCAAGGGTCTTAGCAAACAGCACACCAGAAGATTATATCCCGTGCCTGGCTCGGAAGGTCCCACGCCCACGGAGCCTCGCTCATTGCTAGCACAGCAGTCTGAGATTGAACTGCAAGGTGGCAGCGAGGCTGGGGGAGGGGTGCCTGCCATTGCTGAGGCTTGAGTAGGTAAACAAAGCGGCTGGGAAGCTCGAACTGGGTGGAGCTCAAGGAGGCCTTTCTGCCTCTGTAGACTCCACCTCTGGGGGCAGGGCATAGCTGAACAAAAGGCAGCAGAAACTTCTGCAGACTTAAATGTCCCTGTCTGACAGCTTTGAAGAGAGTAGTGGTTCTCCCAGCATGGAGTCTGAGATCTGAGAATGGACAGACTGCCTCCTCAAGTGGGTCCCTGACCCCCAAGTAGCCTAACTGGGAGGCACCTCCCAGTAGGGGCCAACTGACACCTCACACGGCTGGGTGCCCCTCTGAGAAAAAGCTTCCGGAGGAATGATCAGGCAGCAACCTTTGCTGTTCTGCAATATTTGCTGTTCTGCAGCCTCCGCTGGTGATACCCAGGCAAACAGGGTCTGGAGTGGACCTCCAGCAAACTCCAA
This sequence comes from Homo sapiens, assembly GCF_000001405.40. NCBI lineage: Eukaryota > Metazoa > Chordata > Mammalia > Primates > Hominidae > Homo > Homo sapiens. The sequence continues at coordinate 56,713,534 of NC_000004.12, forward strand.
CAGACCTGCAGCTGAGGTTCCTCACTGTTAGGAGGAAAACTAACAAACAGAAAGGACATCCACACCGAAACCCCATCTGTCCATCACCATCATCAAAGACCAAAAGTAGATAAAACCGCAAAGATGGGGAGAAACCAGAGCAGAAAAGCTGAAAATACTAAAAATCAGAGTGCCTCTTCTCCTCCAAAGGAACACAGCTCCTCACCAGCAACAGAACAAAGCTGGATGGAGAATGACTTTGATGAGTTGACAGAAGAAGGCTTCAGATGATCAAACTTCTCCGAGCTAAAGGAGGATGTTCAAACCCATCGCAAAGAAGCTAAAACCTTGAAAAAAGATTAGACGAATGGCTAACTAGAAAAACCAGCATAGAGAAGTCCTTAAATGACCTGATGGAGCTGAAAACCATGGCACGAGAACTTCATGATGCATGCGCAAGCTTCAGTAGCCGATTCAATCAACTGGAAGAAAGGGTATCAATGATTGAATATCAAATGAATGAAATGAAGTGAGAAGAGAAGTTTAGAGAAAAAAGAGTAAAAAGAAATGAACAAAGCTTCCAAGAAATATGACACTATGTGAAAAGACCAAATCTATGTCTGACTGGTGTACCTGAAAGTGACGGGGAGAATGGAACCAAGTTGGAAAACACTCTTCAGGATATTATCCAGGAGAACTTCCCCAACCTAGCAAGGCAGGCCAACATTCAAATTCAGGAAATACAGAGAATGCCACAAAGATACTCCTTGAGAAGAGCAACTCCAAGACACACAATTGTCAGATTCACCAAGGTTGAAATGAAGGAAAAAATGTTAAGGGCAGCCAGAGAGAAAGGTTGGGTTACCCACAAAGGGAAGCCCATCAGACTATCAGCAGATCTCTCGGCAGAAACTCTACAAGCCAGAAGAGAGTGGGGGCCAATATTCAACATTCTTAAAGAAAAGAATTTTCAACCCAGAATTTCATATCCAGCCAAACTAAGCTTCATAAGTGAAGGAGAAATAAAATCCTTTACAGACAAGCAAATGCTGAGAGATTTTGTCACCACCAGGCCTGCCTTAGAAGAGTTCCTGAAGGAAGCACTAAACATGGAAAGGAACAACTGGTACTAGCCACTGCAAAAACATGCCTAATTGTAAAGCCCATCAACACTATGAAGAAACTGCATCAACTAATGAGCAAAATAACCAGCTAACATCATAATGACAGGATCAAATTCACACATAACAATATTAACCTTAAATGTAAATGGGCTAAATGCTCCAATTAAAAGACACAGACTAGCAAATTGGATAAAGAGTCAAGACCCATCAGTGTGCTGTATTCAGAAGACCCATCTCATATGCAGAGACACACATAGGCTCAAAATAAAGGGATGGAGGAAGATCTACCAAGCAAAAGGAAAGCAAAAAAAGCAGGGGTTGCAATCCTAGTCTCTGATAAAACAGACTTTAATCCAGCAAAGATAAGAAGAGATAAAGAAGGCCATTACATAATGGTAAAGGGATCAATTCAACAAGAAGAGCCAACTATCCTAAATATATATGCACCCAATACAGGAGCACCCAGATTCATAAAGCAAGTCCTTAGAGACCTACGAAGAGACTTAGACTCCCACACAATAACAATGGGAGATTTAACACCCCACTGTCAACATTAGACAGATCAACGAGACAGAAAGTTAACAAGGATATCCAGGAATTGAACTCAGCTCTGCACCAAGCAGACCTAATAGACATCTACAGAACTCTCCACTCCAAATCAACAGAATATACATTCTTCTCAGCACCACATCACACTTATTCCAAAATTGACCACATAGTTGGAAGTAAAGCACTCCTCAGCAAATGTAAAAGAACAGAAATTATAACAAACTGTCTCTCAGACAACAGTGCAATCAAACTAGAACTCAGGATTGAGAAACTCACTCAAAATCTCTCAACTACATGGAAACTGAACAACCTGATCCTGAATGACTACTGGGTAAATAACAAAATGAAGGCAGAAATAAAGATATTCTTTGAAACCAGTGAGAACAAAGACACAACATACAAGAATCTCTGGGACACAGTTAAAGCAGTGTGTAGAGGGAAATTTATAGCACTAACTGCCCACAAGAGAAAGCAGGAAAGATCTAAAACTGATACCCTAACATCACAATTAAAAGAACTAGAGAAGCAAGAGCAAACACATTCAAAAGCTAGCAGAAGGCAAGAAATAACTAAGATCGGAGCAGAACTGAAGGAGACAGAGACACAAAAATCCCTTCAAAAAATCAATGAATCCAGGAGCTGGCTTTTTGAAAAGATCAACAAAATTGATAGACCGCTAGCAAGACTAATAAAGAAGAAAAGAGAGAAGAATCAAATAGACACAATAAAAAATGATAAAGGGGATATCACCACTGATCCCACGGAAATACAAACTACCATCAGAGAATACTATAAACACCTCTATGCAAATAAACTAGAAAATCTGGAAGAAATGGATAAATTCCTGGACACATACACCCTCCCAAGACTAAACCAGGAAGAAGTTGAATCCCTGAATAGACCTATAACAGACTCTGCAATTGAGGCAATAATTAATAGCCTACCAAACAAAAAAAGTCCAGGACCAGACAGATTCTCAGCCGAATTCTACCAGAGGTACAAGGAGGAGCTGGTACCATTCCTTCTGAAACTATTCCAATCAATAGAAAAAGAGGGAATCCTCCCTAACTCATTTTATGAGGCCAGCATCATCCTGACACCAAAGCCTGGCAGAGACACAACAAAAAAAGAGAATTTTAGACCAATATCCCTGATGAACATCAATGCAAAAATCCTCAATAAAATACTGGCAAACTGAATCCAGCAGCACATCAAAAAGCTTATCCACCATGATCAAGTGGGCTTCATCCCTGGGATGCAAAGCTGGTTCAACATACACAAATCAATAAACATAATCCATGACATAAACAGAACCAAAGACAAAAACCACATGATTATCTCAATAGATGCAGAAAAGGCCTTCAACAAAATTCAGCAGCCCTTCATGCTAAAAACTCTCAATAAACTAGGCATTGATAGAATGTATCTCAAAATAGTAAGAGCTATTTATGACAAACCCACAGCCAATATCATACTGAATGGGCAAAAACTGGAAGCATTAACTGACACTAGACAAGGATGCCCTCTCTCACCACTCCTATTCAACATAGTGTTGGAAGTTCTGGCCAGGGCAATCAGGCAAGAGAAAGAAATAAAGAGTATTCAATTAGGAAAAGAGGAAGTCAAATTGTCCCTGTTTGCAGATGACATGATTGTATATATAGAAAGCCCCATCGTCTCAGCCCAAAATCTCCTTAAGCTGTTAAGCAACTTCAGCAAAGTCTCAGGATACAAGATCAATGTGGAAAAATCACAAGCATTCCTATACACCAATAACAGACAAATAGAGAGCCAAATCATGAGTGAACTCCCATTCACAATTGCTTCAAAGAGAATAAAATACCTAGGAATCCAACTTACAAGGGATATGAAGGACTTCTTCAAGGAGAACTACAAACCACTGCTTAATGAAATAAAAGAGGACACAAACAAACAAATGGAAGAACATTCCATGCTCATGGATAGGAAGAATCAATATCATGAAAATGGCCATAATGCCCAAGGTAATTTATAGATTCAATGCCATCCCCATCAAGCTACCAATGACTTTCTTCACAGAATTGGAAAAAACTACTTTAAAGTTCATATGGAACCAAAAAAGAGCCCTCATTGCCAAGACAATCCTAAGCCAAAAGAACAAAGCTGGAGGCATCACACTACCTGACTTCAAACTATGCTACAAGGCTACAGTAACCAAAACAGCATGGTACTGGTACCAAAACAGAGATATAGACCAATGGAACAGAACAGAGCCCTCAGAAATAATACCACACATCTACAACCATCTGATCTTTGACAAACCTGACAAAAACAAGAAATGGGGGAAGGATTCCCTATTTAATAAATGGTGCTGGGAAAACTGGCTAGCCATATGTAGAAAGCTGAAACTGGATCCCTTCCTTACACCTTATACAAAAATTAATTCAAGATGGATTAAAGACTTAAATGTTCGACCTAAAACCATAAAAACCCTAGAAGAAAACCTAGGCAATACCATTCAGGACACAGGCATGGGCAAGGACTTCATGTCTAAAACACCAAAAGCAATGGCAACACAAGCCAAAATTGACAAATGGGATCTAATTAAACTAAAGAACTTCTGCACAGCAAAAGAAACTACCATCACAGTGAACAGGCAACCTACAGAATGGGAGAAAATTTTTGCAATCTACCCATCTGACAAAGGGCTTAATATCCAGAATCTACAAAGAACTCAAACAAATTTACAAGAAAAAAACAACCCCATCAAAAAGTGGGCAAAGGATATGAACAGACACTTCTCAAAAGAAGACATTTATACAGTCAACAGACACATGAAAAATGCTCATCATCACTGGCCATCAGAGAAATGCAAATCAAAACCACAATGAGATACCATCTCACACCAGTTAGAATGGCGATCGTTAAAAAGTCAGAAAAAAAACAGGTGGTGGAGAGGATATGGAGAAATAAGAACACTTTTACACTGTTGGTGGGACTGTAAATGAGTTCAACCATTGTGGAAGACGGTGTGGCAATTCCTCTAGGATCTAGAATTAGAAATACCATTTGACCCAGCCATCCCATTACTGGGTATATACCCGAAGGATTGTAAATCATGCTGCTATAAAGACACATGCACATGTATGTTTATTGCGGCACTATTCACAATAGCAAAGACTTGGAACCAACCCAAATGCCCATTAATGATAGACTGGATTAAGAAAATGTGGCACATATACACCATGGAATACTATGCAGCCATACAAAAGGATGAGTTCATGTCCTTTGTAGGGACATGGATGAAGCTGGAAGCCATCATTCTCAGCAAACTATCGCAAGGACAGAAAATCAAACACCGCATGTTCTCACTCATAGGTGGGAATTGAACAATGAGAACACTTGGACACAGGAAGGGGAACATCACACACTGGGGCCTGTTGTGGCATGGGGGGAGGGGAGAGGGATAGCATTAGGAGATATACCTAATGTAAATGATGAGTTAATGGGTGCAGCACACCCAACATGGCACATATATGCATATGTAACAAACCTGCACGTTGTGCTCATGTACCCTAGAACTTCAAGTATAATAATAAAATAAAATTAAAAAAAAGAAGTGGACATGTTGGAGCAAAGGACATAAATATTTAAAATTTTAATACATGCTGTTAGATTTCCCTCTAAAAAAGAAACACAAAATTTTCAAACCTTCATCAACCCTGGATATTATCCAATTAAAAACTTTTTCTTTTGCCAGTGTAATGGACAAAATATATTTTGTTTCTTTTCATTTCATTTCTTTAATTACAGGTAAAACTGATCATCTTTTTGCATTTCTTTTCCTAATTATTTATTCCAATGTAACCATTTTTTGTTGGGTTGTTTTTGTTTTTGTCATTTTTGTTTTGTTTTGTTTTGTTTTTTGAGACGGATTATCACTCTGTCGCCAGGCTGGAATGCAGTGGTGCAATCTCGGTTCACTACAACCTCCGCCTCCCAAGTTCAAGTGATTCTCCTGCCTCAGCCTTCTGAGTAGCTGGTACTACAGGCACCCACCACCACACCTGGCTAATTTTTGTATTTTTAGTAGAGACAGGGTTTCACCACGTTGGCCAGGACGGTCTAGATCTCTTGACCTTGTGATCCGCCCACCTTGGCCTCCCAAAGTGCTGGGATTACAGGTGTGAGCCACCGTGCCCAGCCTTTTGTAATTGATTTTTAAGTACTCTCTCTCTCTTTCTCTCTGTGCGTGTATGTGTGTTTACATATATATACATAAAAATACACACCATATACTATATATATGTATATACTATATATATACACACACACACTATATATATATATATGCATACACACTATATATATATATACTCACACACATACAATGGATATAAACCTTTTGTTATTGTTTTTAAGATATTTCATCCCAACTTGTAAGTTTTTTCTTTAACTTATTTATGCCTTTGAAATGAATCACCATTTTTTTAAAAAATTTCATTTTTATGTGGTTAAAGTCATATATTGTTTCCTTTATAAGTTCTTTGTTTCGCAGTTTAGTTTAAAAGGTCTTCTCACTTAAATATGATTTAAAAGAATTTTGCTATCTTTTATTTTAGGGTTTTACATTTTTGGAGTTTAAATATTTAGTCTATCTGGAATTACTTTCATACATAATATAAAATTAGAATCTAAGGTTTTTTTCCCCCATGGGCTAAACATCATCTTTAATGACTACATGAAATCCCTTAACTAGCCAGGAACAGTGTCTCATGCCTTGTAATCTCAGCATTTTGCGGGGCCCAGGCAGGTAGATAGCCTGAACTCAGGAGTTCAAGACGAGCCTGGGCAACATAGTGAGCCCTTGTCTCTTAAAAAAAAAAAATGAAAAAATTAGCTTGGCATAGTGATGCACACCTGTAGTCCTAGCTACTTGGGAGGCTGAGGTGGGAAGACTGCTTGAGCCCAGCAAGAGGAGCTGGGACCATGCCACTACACTCCAGCCTGGGCAACAGAGCAAGACCCTGTCTCAAAAAAAAAAAAAGAAAGAAAGAAAGAAAAGAAAAGAATAAAAGTCTTCAATTCCTTCCAAGCTGCTGGCCACTGGCTGGCCTCAGCTCATAACCATCTGGACCTCTCCAGCATGGCAGTTTGCTTCATCAAAGCTAGCAAGAGACTGGACTTGGTGGCTCATACCTGTAATCCCAGCACTTTGGAGGCCGAGGCAGGAGGATCACTTGAGCTAAGGAGTTCAAAACAAATCTGGGCAACATAGAGAGGCCTTGTCGCTACAAAAAATGAAAAAATTAGCTGGCCATGGTGGTGTGCACCTGTCCAGCTACTCAGGAAGCTGAGGTGGGAGGTTCCCTGGTAGATCAAGACTGCAGGAAGCCATGATCATGCCTAGCCTGGGAGACAGAGTGAGACTCAATCTCAAAAAAAGAAAAAAAAATCCCTAACCTTCAGTTTGTGGCTCATCACAGAGCCCCTTCTCACATTGTTGATGGACTTCTTGTTGTGACAGGTGCTATCTGAACATCCACTAGGTGGGACATCAGGTGATGCCTAAATTTATGTTTCTCTAGGATTTAAGTTCCTTTTAGTGTCTCTCTGAGTTTCTGCTTCTTATCTGACAATGGGCTTCTCTGTGTGACTGACACTGGGGCCTTCATCTCCTTGAGGTGAGGTCAGTCCAAACAGGAAGGTGATTATACCCTAATCACCTCTACTTGATCATCAATATCTCAATTGGACACAATAAGTGCTAAGTTATACAAGAGACACAGTCATACAAAGGTGGGGGTTGGGGAGACTTTCTGATCAAGATAATATGAATATTTTAATTATCTCTTGAAACATATTGCCAAATTACCTTCCCAAAGAGCAAAGTTACAATTTATAAAGCCACTGACTGAGAATGCTAATTTCTTCAAATCCTTCCAGTGTTAATATCATCCTTTAAAAATGTTTGCCCACTTATTGGGTGTGATATTATGATTTTATATTTTATATATATATATATATATATATATATATATATATATTTGTGTGTGTGCATATGTGTGTGTGTGTGTGTATGTATGTATATGTTGGTTTTGCCCATGGTTGCTAGCTGATAACTCCCATAACCATTGTTATAGCCATTTGTTATAATGTTGGGGCACTTTAGGCCTCAGAAGCAGGCCTCAGGAAACAAAATCTTCCTCTCTGATCTTCTGTTCTCTCTTTCTCTTGGGAAAATAGAGAAGTAAGGACTGAGTAGAGCCCCTGAGGCCTTAACTTGTAATTCTACAACAGGTTCTCCCATCTCTAAACTTTTCCTTCTTTTAAGTTGACACTTAAACCCTGCAGTCTGCTGTCTGAGAACAGTTGGTGCTCACTAGACTTTCCATGAGCTCTTGCCTTAGTTTGAGTTACCCCAAATGCAGAGTCTGATAGAGGTACTTGTTGCAGGTGGCTCACTGAGGAGGGATCACCTGCAGCAGGAGTGAGGGAGCAGAGAGTGTGATGTTGAGAGGGAGGATGTGTTACAAGGTGAGAAAGGTACAGAATGCCTCCTAGAGCTATTCACCTAAATGAAAGGATTCACCCCCTAGTTTTCATCCCTAGGGGTTACAAATTGCTGAGAGAGATATTAACTTCCCTGCACTTAGTTGGGTTGTGCTATGGCTTGAATATGTCCCCCAAAGTTCATGTGCTGGAAACTTTATCCCCAGTGCAACATTGTTGAGAGATGGGACCTTTAAGAGGTGATTAGGTCCATTATCAAGGGAGTGGGTTTATTATCTCAGTAGTGGTGTCCTTATAAAGGGTGAGCTCAAACTCCTTTTCTCTCTCTCTTGCATGCCTTCTGCCACCATGTGATGCCTTCTGTCATGTTACAATGCAGCAAGAAGGCCCTTACCAGATGTGGTACTTTGATCTTGGACTTCCCAGTCTCCAGAACCATGAGCCCCCCAAAACTTCCATTGCTTGCCAATCTGTAGCATTCTCTCATAGCAGCACAAAATAGACTTAGACAGACTTGTGGGCTCCAGGGTGCTGGAGAAGAGCCTGGGGTGGAAAGCTGAAGAACAGGCTACCTCATGCAGAGAGGATGCTGTCAGTGAGAGCAGCATCTGAGCTCCAATAGGGCAACTGTCCACTGTAGCCACGGCTGAGATCAGAGGTGGCCAAGGGGATGTGATGTGTTTGTTACAGTGCTCCTACATTGCCCTGTCTCTCTTGCAGCTAGGTTGTGGTCATGTAATTCTTCAGTCTACATGGAGGACTCTGCCCTGGAGAGTACATCAATTCATATCAGACCTGTGTGAGTAAAGAATAAACCTTGGTTGTGTTAAGCAACTTGCATGTTGGGATTTATTTGTACTGTGGCATATCTTGGTATCAATTTACTTTCATTAAATCAAAAGTCATGCCCCAAAACAACCAGGATTGGGAGAGGAATAGACATTGCCCCTATACCATTGCACTCTATAAATGGACCAAGCACCAGAGTAGGCAAGTGAGAATCTACAAACTGAGGGACGACATCTTAATCTCCTGGGATAAGTTTTCTATTGAAATTGATATGGCAAACCTCAACATCTTTTGTTATATACAAATACCCTTTCCTTATGTTCTCTTTTCATTAAGTTTCACTTGACATTTTTATTACAGTTCCTGAAACCAGCATACACCGTGAAGGAGCAGAAGACTTCCCTGCCCCCTTGACGTAACTCTGGTGGACAGAGCTGGTGACGAGGTCTATAAATATCAGATACAACTGGTCAGGGGTACAGTTCACCTAGTGGTGCATGTGGAACCATAGTTCTTGTTCTCTCCTCTTTATGGGACAATTTATAGACAATTAGAAGATTCCCCCTTGGAGCTATCACAATATAGATTGTCAGAAAAGGCTGTTTTTTTTTCCAGCCAGCAATTAGTAGTCTGGAGTTAGAGTTCTCTTGGCAGGTTAAAGGATCCAGTAAACTGCCCCTCTTCCCTGGATCTGCTGGCTCTCTTCACTTTGCTAAGGCTGGCCTTAGACCCTACTTATCCAGAAGCTTGATTTGAGCTGAGCACTGTGGGTAGCCCTGAGCCAGGGGCAACTTGGATGAGACCTCCGCCCCCAAGCTCCCGGTCTGCAAACTAGTAAATGTGAAACCAGTCCACAAGACTTGCACTTAGCAAGTCTAGTGCCTAGCTGAGATCAGCATGCTGGAGGACTGGGGCCTTTATGGGGTGCATTTGTCTGTTCTCATACTGCTATAAAGAGCTACCTGAGACTGAGTGATTTATGAAGAAAATGACTCACAGTTCCACAGGCTGTACAGGAAACATGGCTGGGATGTCTCAGAAAACTTACAATCATGGCAGAAGGTGAAAGGGAAGGATGCACATCTTACCACGGTAGAGCAGGAAAGAGCAAGCGAAGGGGGAAGTGCCACACGCTTTCAAACAAGCAGATCTTATAAGAACTCACTCACTATCACGAGAACAGCAAGGGGAAAACTGTCCCCATAAACCAATCACCTTCCACCAGGTCCCTCCCCCAACATTGAGGATTATAATTCAAAATGAGATTTGGGTGGGGACACAGAACCAAACCATATAATAGGGGAATGAGAAGTGGAGACAAAGAAAAGCAGCCAAGGAAAAGCTTTGGTGGAACTTGGGTGTGTCTCTGGATGTCTGTGGAGTGATCTTTCATCCCAGCGTGTCAAGCCCTTTCATGTTATGCATTTTTATGCATATTGTTTCTTTTATCCTCTCAACAACACCCAAGAGGCAGTTATTATTACCTCCTTTTAAAGATGACTTAATTATTCTAGGATTGAGTAAATAAAGAAATATATTGTGGATAATGAAAGCAAGGTATGACTTAGAGGCAGTGACGTGTACAGCTCAGATCTTAAGTACACAGCTTGATAACTTTTTCCATGGACACTTGGGTAATCACTACCCAATCAATATTTTCAAGTGTTCAGGTCAAGTGTGGTGGTTCATGCCTGTAATCCCAGCACTTTGGGAGGCTAAGGAAACAATATATATATTTTTTAGCACACTCAAAACTCCCTTGTGTCCCCTCCCAGTCATAAATTCCCAAACATAACTATTATTCTGACCTCTAACACCATAGATTATTCATTTTGCCTGTTCTTGAACTTCATATAAATTGAACCATACAGTACATGTTCTTTTGTGTTTGGTTTCTTTCACTCATTGTATCTGTGAGATTCATCCATGCTATATGTGTAGTGACAGTTTTTTCTTTTTCATTGATGTGAAATTTTTCATTGTATAGAATATTATCTAACCTACTACTGATGGACATTTGAATTGTTTCCAAGTTTTGACCTTATGAAGGAAGCTATATGGACATGTTTGTGCATGTCTGTTGGTGGATATAAACACTCACTTCTCTTGGGTGTATATCTATGGATAGAACTGCTAGATCATAGGATTTATGAATATTTATTTATTAATTATCATTATTTTTTTGAGACGGAGTCTCACTGTGTTACCCAGGGTGGAGTGCAGTGGCGTGATCTTGGCTCACTGCAACCTCTGCCTCCCAGGTTCAAGAGATTCTCCTGCCTCAGCCTCCTGAGTAGGTGGGACTACAGACATGCGCCACCACGCCTGGGTAATTTTTAGTAGAGACAGGGTTTCATCCTGTTAGTAGAGACAGGGTTTCACCCTGTTGGCCAGGCTGTTCTGGAACTCCCAGCCTCAAGTGATCTGCCCGCCTTGGCCTCCCAAAACGCCAGGATTACAGGTTTGAGCCACCGCACCCAGCTGACATATGAATATTTAGCTTTCGTAGGTATTGCTGATAAATGAATATTTAGCTTCAGTAGGTACTGCCAAACAGTTTTCACTCTCATCACAAGTGTATGAGAGAGGCGCGGTGGCTCATGCCTGTAATCCTAGCACTTTGGAAGGCCGAGGTGGGCAGATCACTTGAGCCCAGGAGTTCAAGACCAGCCAGGGCAACATGGTGAAACCCTGTCTCTACTAAAAATAGAAACAATTAGCTGGGTGTGGTGGCGTGCACCTGTAGTCCCAGCTAGCTGGGAGGCTGAGGTAGGAGGATCACATGAGCTCAGGAAGTCAAGGCTGCAATGAGCACAGAGCACCCCACTGCCCTCTAGCCTGAGCAACCGAAGAGACGCCATGTCCCCCCCAACCAAAAAAAAAAAAAGGTGTATGGGCAATTCAGTTGCTACATAGTTACCTAGTCTGCCAACATGGTTTTGTCCTTCTAATTACTGATTTGTCTTGATTTGTCAATTACCCTTCTACAAAGAGATACAGATATTTGTTAGTGAATTACAAAACTCCCTGCGATGGAAAATTCTCCATAGACTAACAGTTAAAGGTTTAACTTAAATGTTCGATTCTGACCCTAAAGGTAAAAAGAATTGAAAAATAAGAGAGATCAATGTAGACATGGAGAGAATTGAACCTTTGGAAAGGTTGAAATATGCTGGGCTTTGACCTGTCGGTGGTATTTGAATAGAGGGAGAGGAAAAGGGAAGACAGAGCTTAAGCAAAGAGAAGTGGGAAAGAGTTGGGACTAGAGCAGGAAGAAAGATGAACTAACTTGGCAGTGGGTGACCCTGGGGAGGAGCAGGGCATGTGGTTGGATTGGTAAGGACCAGCCAGCCTCGGGGACTTTGAAGTCAAGGAGTGGGCTTGGGATTTGGGTGATTGGGGTGGAGGAGGGGAATGGGGTGTTACCAAGTGCATACAGCCCCGAGTAGGAGTGAGATATATTAGATGAGAGTCAACTGGTCTCTCACCCAGTCTGTTTCCTCCTATTTCTCACAGTGAGGAGTATCTTACTGTGATGAGTGTGATAGGTATTTTTCTTTCATAGGGCCACTGAATGCAAGGAAGCTACTTCATGTGTTTCCCAGCTGAAGAAATAGATATGTTCCTGTGCTGAAGAGAAAACCAGATGTGCCAGATTAACTGAGAAATTGAATATCTGCATATGGTCCTGTATAGGCATTTTAAGGACTTTTCAGGGGGCAAATCTTGACTTTATGTGATTTATACTGCAGGAGATGACTTCACCAAATTAGAAGTTTTTGTGGCAGGTGTGCATGTACAAAGAGATGAACATAAGTCGGGGCTGCAGGCTCTGAGAACAAAGAGAAATAGCTTCACTTCTCCTGGTCTCCTTCTAGAGCTCCCAATGTCAGGGCCCATTTGTCTCTCCACCTGTGGACTCCGCCCTGCACTATTCATTTGCCTATTCACTTATTCATTCGGCAAACTTTCTTTTTTAAATTTAATTTTATCTTATTATTTTAAGTTCTGGGGTACATGTGCAGGGTGTGCAGGTTTGCTACATAGGTAAACGTGTGCCATAGTGGTTTGCTGCACCTATCAAGCCATCACCTAGGTATTAAGCCCCACATGCATTAGCTATTTATCCTGATGCTAAATAGCTCACCACCCCACTGCAGGCCCCAGTGTGTGTTGTTCCCCTCCCTGTGTCCATGTGTTCTCATTGTTCAGCTCCCATTTATAAGCGAGAACATGTGGTGTTTGGTTTTCTGCTCCTGTGTTTGTTTGCTGAGGATAATGGCTTCCAGCTCCATCCATGTCCTTGCAAAGGACATTATTTCATTCCTTTTTCTGGCTGCATAGTATTCCATGGTGTATATGTACCACATTTTCTTCATCCACTGTCATTGATGGGCATTTGAGTTGATTCCATGTCTTTGCTATTGTGAACAGTGCTCATTTAGCAAACTTTCACTGGATGCCTAGTGAAGGGCCAATCATTGAAATTTAAGATAAAAACACAGGGTTTCTGCCTTCAAGGAGCTGCCAGACAAGCAGAGAACACTAACTTGGAAGAGTTGGATGCAAAGAAGGTGTAAAAAGTGCTATAATAAAAGTAATGCATAGGACAGTAGGGCACATCGATTTTATCTGAGAATGTCCAGGAAATGTGTGAGCTGAGTCTTGAAGGATTACTTTGGAGTCCACCTGGTAGACAAGGTCGAGCAAGGGCCTTACAAGCAAAAGGGAGCAAGCCACAGTATGGCAGGAAGACTCCAAATCCTGTGGGCAGAGCATAGAGTTTGTGTGCAGAAGCAGCTACAGATGAGGCTGAGAAGTAGCCGGGGTCAGATTACGAAGGGTTGCAAACACCAAGTGAATGAATATGGACTTTACTGGGTGGACAGTGGGAGGCAGCACTACAGGATTTGAGCCAGAATGTTACAGTTCAGCAATGAGAAACACTGCACTGGTACCGGTGTGAAGGACAAAGCACAGGGAGTGAGCCTAGATACAGGAAGATCAGTTTGAAGGTTATTACATTAGACCTGGCAAAAGAAGATGCAAGCTTAAAATGAGCCCAGGACAGTGATAATGGAGAAAAGGAAATAAGTATTTAGGAGGTAAATTCTACAGGACTTAATGAGATTGGAGGAGGTCAGGGAAAGCCAGGGGGAAGAATTTGGATGACCCCATATATTGTCTGGGTGGATGATGGTACTGTTATTTAGGAGAGGAAAGATAGGAAAAAAGGAAGGTTTGGGCAGGACAAGAGAAGGAAGAGATGGAGGAAATGAGTTTAATTTTTGTCGTTTGAGCTTCTAATTTAGTGAAGTCATCCCATACTGTATAAATCACATAAAGTTAAAATTAGCCCCCTGAAAATTCCTTAAAATGCCTATATAAGACAGTGTGCAGATATTCAATTTCTCAATTAATCTGGCACTTTTGGTTTTCAGCACAGGAACAGATCTTACTTACCATTCAGTACTTATTTACTTACTTATTGTTCAATGCTCTTCCCAGATCTAAGTGTCTATGAAATATGTAAGTAGCCCTACAGTGTGACTTTCGGAAAGATTGTTGAGCTAGAGATGTAGATTTCAAATCATTAGAAGTGATTAAGGAATCATGAAGTCTGGAACAACCAGGAAGGACTGTGTGAGGTGAGAAGAAATTAGAGACAAGAACAACGCCATGGAGAACCCCAGTCTTTAAGGGGTGTGTGATGAAATGGCACCCCAGTGAAGGAGGTAGAGGAGCAATTTCAAAGATGAGAACTCGGCCGGGCGCGGTGGCTCACAGATATAATCCCAGCACTTTGAGAGGCCGAGGCGGGCAGATCACTTGAGGTCAGGAGTTCAAGACCAGCCTGTCCAACCTGGCGAAACCCCGTCTCTACTAAAACTACAAAATTAGCCGGGCATGGTGGCGGGTGACTGTAATCCCAGCTACTCAGGAGACTGAGGCAGAAGAATCACTTGAACCCAGGAGGCAGAGGTTACAGTGAGCTAAGATCAGGCCATTGCACTCCAGCCTGGGCAAAAAGAGTGAAACTCTGTCTCAGAAAAAAAAAAAAAAAGATGGGAATTCTTAAGCCAGAAGAAGCTCTTAACTGTGTGAGGGTGATTTCTTATTCGTGGTGGATCCACTCTATATAGAAAAGTGTCCAGCTCATAGTTGTTGCATGAATGAATAAACAAACGAAGAGACTGGTGTCATAAAGATAAGTAGGCATTTCCAGAAGGTACATACTCCAGTGCTGGAGGGAGGCCAATGATGCAAGATGAGAACGAAGTGTTCCCAGACAGATCTGCAGTTGAAACAGGAAGCACTAAAACAGCCTCAGCTGCCAGCCATCTTGAAGGGCGCAGCCTGAGTCACTCTCCTCCCCATTAGGACCTGGGGTGGGACCAGGGGATGCTCTTTCTTTCCTTTTTTTTTTTTTTTTTTTTTTTTTTTGCGTCTCACACTGTCACCAGGCTGGAGTGCAATGGCACGATCTCGGCTCACTGCAACCTCCACCTCCCAGGTTCAAGCGATTCTCCTGCCTCAGCCTCCTGAGTAGCTGAGATTACAGGCGCGTGCCACCACGCCCGGCTAGTTTTTGTATTTTTAGTAGAGACGGTGTTTCACCATATTGGTCTGGCTGGTCTCAAACTCCTGACCTCGTGATCCACCTGCCCAGCCTCCCAAAGTGCTGGGATTACAGGCGTGAGCCACCACGCCTGGCCGGGATGCTCTTTCTATAGTGGCTCTCTCCCACAAGCCCTCCCCTACTTCCACCCTGATGTCCTGGAGCTGAACCTCTGCCCTTAATCCAACTCCCAAGTTCTTACTTTGGTACATGGTTGTATTAGTTATCTATTGCTGTGTAAAAAATTACTTCTAAACATAATGGTTTAAAACAGCACGTATTTATTATTGCAGTTTCTGGGGTCAGGAATCTGGACAGGATCCCTTAGCTGGGATCTCTGTTTCAGGATGTCTCACAAGGCTGCCATCAAATTTTCAACTGAGTCAGGATCCATTTGCAACTCACTCAGTGGTTCCTCAGGGGTTACTGAACCGAAGGCCTCAATTCCTTTTAAGCTGTTGGCCACAGCCTGGCCTCAGTACCTAACCATAGGGGCTTCTCCAGCATGGCAGCTTGCCTCATCAAAGCTAGCAAGAGGCTAGGCATGGCAGTTCACACCTGTAACGCCAGCCCTTTGCGGGACTGAGATAGAAGGATCACTTGAGCCAAGGAATTCAAGAACAACCTGGATAACACAGCAAGCCCTCATCTCTACAAAATTTAAGAATTTTAGCTGGGCATGATGGCACAAGTGCATGTGGTCCCAGCTACTTGGGAGGCTGAGGTAGGAGGACGACTTGAGCCCAGAAGGACAAGGCTGCAGTGAGCCATGATGGCACCAGTGCACTCCAGCCTGGGCAACAGAGCGAGACACTGTTAAAAAAAAAAAAATCTAGCAAGAGACTCGAAGAGAGTTTGCGAGCAAGAGTGAAGTCACAACCTTTTGTAACCAAATCAAGAAAGTGAGACCAGGCGCAGTGGCTCACACCTATAATCCTAGCACTTTGGGAGGCCCAGGCAGGTGGATTGCCTGAGCTCAGGAGTTCAAGACCAGCGTGGGCAACACAGTGAAAACCCATCTCTACTAAAATACAAAAAACTAGTAGGGCATGGCGGCGTGTGCCTGTAGTCCCAGCTACTCAGAGGCAGGAGAATTGCTTGAACTCGGGAAGCAGAGGTTGCAGTGAGGTGAGATCATGCCACTGCACTCCAGCCTGAGTGGTCCCCAATGAGCCCCGCCTCCAGGCACTCACCCCTGTGTGATTTGCTCACTGTGAATGTGGGCTGCACCTGGTGACTTATCTGTAACTCATAGAATATGACAATGATGACCAGATGTCACTTTTTTTTTTTTTGAGGTAGAGTCTCACTCTGCCACTCAGGCTGGAGTACAGTGGAGCAATCTTGGCTCACTGCAACCTCCGCCTCCTGGGTTCAAGTGATGCTAATGCCTCAGCCTCCTCCCAAGTAGCTGGGGTTACAGGCATGTGCCACCACGCCCAGCTAATTTTTATATTTTTAGTAAAGACAGGGCTTTACCATATTGGCCAGGTTGGTCTCGAACTCCTGGTCTCAAGTGATCTGCCCACCTCAGCCTCCCAAAGTGCTGGGATTACAGGCATGAACCACCGTGCCCAGCCCAAACTTTCCCTAAACTTAAGATTTGCTCTGCTGAAGATAATTCTTCTGACAGTTGTCTTCACCACCTTGGTTGAACCAAGACAGAAAAATCTCATAACCTTAGATGTCCCTGTACTAATAATAGCTAATGCTTCTATAGCGCCAATTACATGCCAGGCTTTGCATGAGCTTTCTATGAACTTTACAAATAGTAACTCATTTAATCCTCATAACAATTTTCCGAAGTAGAGGCTCTCATTAACTTATTTTACAGACAAAGCAACTGAGCCACAGAGAAGCAAGTACTATATCTTGCCAAAGGTAACACAGCTATTGAGTGGTGGAAGTAGGATTTGGGAGCTGGGAGTTTGGTTCCAGAATTCCTGATGTGAACCATTATGCTATTCAATAACCCACATATAAGCTGGAATACAATACTGTCCAGTCTGGCACACTGTGACATTAAAATAAAACATTAAAAACATAGGCCAGGCAGGGTGGCTCAAGCCTGTAATCTCAGCACTTTGGGAGGCCGAGGTGGGCGGATCATGAGGTCAAGAGATCGAGACCATCCTGGCTAACACGGTGAAACCCCGTCTCTATTAAAAGTACAAAAAATTAGCCGGGCGTGGTGGCAGGCGCCTGTAGTCCTATCTGCTCGGGAGGCTGAGGCAGGAGAATGGCGTGAACCCAGGAGGCGGAGCTTGCAGTGAGCTGAGATCGCGCCACTGCACTCCAGCCTGGGCGACAGAGTGAGACTCCGTCTCAAAAAAACAAAAACAAACAAACAAAAAAAAACATAGCTAAGCAACCAAAACAAAATTCCAACATTTAATTGGCATTAAAAAAGATTTAACCTATAACCTACAGCAGCACATTTTGGTTCTCAGAGCCCTTCATTTGGTAGCTTTCCTCTACGAATGTTCCCTGAAACCCAGCCCAGATTATTTTTTATTTTCTTTTTTCCATACTTCTCTCTTAGCTCCTTATGATATAAATTGACTTTGTCTTCTGGCTTCATTCTTTAGTATCCTGTTCATGTAGCCCCTTTTTATACACAAAAGGGTGATCCTAGAATTGACCCAAGCCACCAGGAATTTTACCCCTTGTCCTCCTAACTCTCAAGTCTGCCTTCTCTATGTCTATTTCTGTATCATAAGAAAAACAGAGAACCAGCAAAGACAGAATTCTCTTTGGAGAGTAGGGAAGAGGGAGAAGCTGAGCAAATTAGGAGAACTTCTCTTTAGCTGCTGGGGATGGAGGAGAGAAAAGACGGTCGAATGGGAACACATAGCTAATTATCCTTGTCTTTGTCACATTCCCAGAGATGCATGACTGAGGTGCTATGTCCTTATCATTGCAGACAGGGGGCCAGGCAGAGTGGGGCTGACCCAACAGCACAGAGGGCCTTGGGCGTGGCAGGGAAGCTTACTTCTGCAATCCAGCTCAGCCTGGTGTTTCCTCTGAAGCAGCGAACGGGGGGGGGGAAAGCTCATGGAGGGCCGGGGAGGGTGGCAGATGCCTCCAGCTCTCCAAGCCCTGCTGCCAGCCTCAGACCCAGGATCCACGCTTTGCTTCCAAGCCCGGAGTCTGTTCACAGAAAGGCTGTGAGAGCCACTCCAGGAAAGATTAGAGCCACACTTCACTTTCTCTCAAGGTAAAACAAGGGAACAGACTTTTAAATCCTGGATGTGATGGCCACCTCAGCAAAGCATCTCCATAGGCCCTCTATCCATTCCTGCTGCCCACAGTCATTCATAATTTCTGCCCAGACTCACTTCAACTGTCCATGAAGTCACCCCCAACTTTCCACCTCTCTCCAGTCTCGGTCCAGGTCACATGCCACTGTCAGTCTAATCTTCCCAAATACCAGTCTGATCACACCATTTCCCCACTCAAAATTCCTCAGTTACTCCCCTTTCCCTGTAAGTTCCTTGCCTAGACCTCAAAAGCCTCGAAGCTCCCTTTCTACACATGTTTTTCTTTTCTTCTTCTTCTTTTTTTTTTTTTGAGACAGTCTCCGTCACCCAGGCTGGAGTGCAATGGCCTGATCTCGGCTCACTGTGACCTCTGCCTCCTAGGTTCAAGCAATTCTCCTGCCTCCGCCTTCTGAGGAGCTGGTACTACAGGCATATGCAGGCATATGCCACCACATCTGGCTAATTTTTGTGTTTTCAGTAGAGACAGGGTTTCATCATGTTGGCCAGGCTGGTCTTGGACTCCTGACCTCAAGTGATCTGCCCGCTTCAGCCTCCCAAAGTGCTGGGATTACAGGGGTCAGCCATCACGCCCAGCCTAGACATGTTTTTACATGTTTCCTGTGATCCATCTAAAATCGATGATGTCGATTGCCACGCATGCTACATTCTTCTGCTTCCATGATCCTGTCATTCCTCCTGCGCCTGAAACCTTCCGATTCCCTTGGCTCCCCTCTCCCTCACCTACCAAATTCAAAGACCATCTAAAAAGCTGCCTCCCCTGAGAAAGATCTGCAGATAATTACAGCTGAGTGTGAATTCTCCCCCTTTCATTTTCCGTATCATTCATTGATCCTCTTGGTCTGGCATTTTTCTTATACTACCATATATCCATATATCCCCCCCAATTATTGGAAAATATGTTGAGAGAAAAGGTGTTTTCTTGCTCAACTCTGAACTTCCTGCAGTGCCCGGCAAAGAGCCTTAATCATGTGCATGCTTAACATTTAATAAATAGTAATTGATTTGAAAAAGTCTGCGGGACTGATATATGTCCTGTTCTAATTTATCATTTCACGTCTCTTCCTGGAACAGGTGGGGATGGTGCAAGACACACTCCTTTGAAGAGGGAGGGCATGGGGGATAGCATGAGACAGGGCCTGACCTGGGCGGTCATGGCCACGTACATTCCATAGCTTGATTTCATCAAAGCCCATGAACATCTAGTCTTGGGTATTACCTAGTGAGCAATGCCTTTAACCAGCCTGACCTCATGCTTTTCAACCCTGTCACCCACCACCATCAGAGGGGGTGTGGCACAGGGCATGTCCAACAGGAGAGACAGTTACATCGATTCAAGTCTACAAATATCCATTCAGTACCTACTTTGAGCCAGGCACTCTGCTAAGTGCTGGGGACAGAAGAGTGAACAAAACAGATATGGCATGGGGACCTTCAAAATATAATTTCAGTAAGAGTAGCTGCCAATACTGATAGTGACTACAGCAGGCCCTGGACTAAGTGTCTTACATGCATTCTCTCTCTTAATCCTCACAACAATTTCTACCATCACCCTTCTGTAGATGGGAAGACGGAGGCTAAAAGAGGTTAAGTCTTTTGCCCTGGATTAGCAGGTGGTAGAGATAGGATTTCAACCTAAGGTCGTATGACTTGAGTTCATTCTTAGAAGCACCACCTTTGCCTCCTCAACATGTTATTTTTTTTTTCCTGCTCCCTTTACTCTCTGAGTCTTGCAGTGCGGCTTTGGGTGAGACAGATATAAAATTGACATAAACAATTTTGTCTTCCTTTGCCTCTGGAGATTCCGCATGTGTATAATCTCTACCCAGATTTCTCCAACATTCTTTTGCCTACAATATGTATAGACAAGATAGCCTGTGGGCAGAGGCAGTGGCTATTTGCTCATATATTACAATGCATCTCTCCCACCTTCCTCTGTCCTGATACTCTCCACTGTGTGTTTTATCCTTTTCTATTGTGTGAGTTTTTCAAGTCTTCTCAAACCCCTTGTACAGCAAGTAATGCACAGGTGAAGAAAATATGCCTTGTGGCCAGGTGCGGTGGCTCATGCTTGTAATCCCAGCACTTTGGGAGGTTGAGGTGGGTGGATCACCTGAGGTCAGGAGTTTCAGACCAGCCTGGCCAACATGGCAAAACCCCGTCTCTACTAAAAACACAAAAATTAGCCGGGCGTGGTGGCACACACCTGTAGTCCCAGCTACTCGGGAGGCTGAGGCAGGAGAATCACTTGAACCTGGGAGGCAGAGGCTGCAGTGTGCCAAGATTTGAGAGACTCCGTCTCTCAAAAAAAAAAAAAAAAAAAAAGGGCTTGAACCTATTGGCTGCTCAACATGTCACATGAATGTAGAATAATCAATGCTTAATGTGTGGAGGAGACTTAGAGGATGTCTTATCCAGGTTTCACTTTGCTCCTTAGAGATGTTTGTAGGGTGTGTTGCGGTCCCTGCCCCCACTGCTTCTGGATCCTCTACCTTAATGTCCTTTGTGTGTAGAGCTTCCTGGAATATTTCCTCCAAAGATGAATTCTCTGGCTAAAAGAAGTTCAATTTCTCATTGGAACGTCTGTTCACTGCTGTTGGAATGTAAACTGGCAAAGCCACTGTGAAAAACAGTATGGCAGTTCCTCAAGAAACAAAATTGTATGAATTGCCATGACCATAGAAATAAACCATAGAATTGCCATATGATCCAGCACTTCCACTTCTGGATATATATCCAGAAGAATTGAAAGCAGGGACTGAGATGGATTCACACACCCACATTCACAGCAGCATTATCCACAATAGCCCAAATGTGGAAACAACCTATGTGTCCAGCAGCAGATGAATGGATTAACAAAAGGTGGTAACTACAAACAATGGAATATTATGTAGCCTTTAAGAAGAAAGAAATCCTGCTATAAGCTACAGCATGAATGAATTTTGCAGACATTGTTCTAAGTGAAATAAATCATTCACAAAAGGATAATATTGTATGCTTGCACTTATATAAGGTACCTAGAGTAGTCAAATTCATAGAGATAGAAAGTAGAATGCTGGCTTGGGTGCAGTGGCTCATGCCTGTAATCCCAACTCTTGGGGAAGCCGAGGAGGGAGGATTGTCTGAGCCCAGAAGTTTGAGACCAGCCTAAGCAACATAGTGAGACCCCAACTCTACAAAAAAAAAATTTTTTTTAAATTAGCCAGGCATGATAGTGCATGCCTATAGTCTTAGCTACTTGGGAGGCTGAAGTGGGAGAATTGCTTGAGCCCAGGAGGTCAAGGCTGCAGAGAGCCGAGATCATACCACTGCACTCCAGCCTAGGTGACAGAGTGAGAAACTGTCTCAAAAAAAAAGAAAGGAAGAAGAGAAAATAGAATGCTAGTTGCCAGGGCCTGAGGGCAGTGAAAAAGTAGTTATAATTTAATGGGTATGTGTATTAGTCTGTTTTCAGGCTGCTGATAAAGACATACCCGAGACTGGGCAATTTACAAAAGAAAGAGGTTTGATTGTGAGGAAAGCCTCACAATCATGGTGCAAGGGAAAGAGAAGCAAGTCATGTCTTACATGGATGGCAGCAGGCAAAGAGAGAGAGTTTGTGAAGGGAAACACTCGTTTTTAAAACCATCAGATCTCCTGAGACTTATTCACTCATGAGAACAGCACAGGAAAGACCTGCCTCCATGATTTAATTGTCTCCCACTGGGTCCCTCCCACAACATGTGGGAATTATGGGATCTGCAAGATGAGATTTGGGTGGGGACACAAAGCCAAACCATATCAGTATGGAATTTTAATATAGGAAGATGGAAAAAGTTGTGGAGATGGATGGTCGTGATCATTGCACAACAATTTGAATATACTTAATGGCCACAGAACTGTACACTTAAAAATGGTTAAAATGGCAAATTTTATGCTATGAATATTTTACCATATTTTTTAAAATTTAGGCTGGGCAAGTGGCTCACACCTGTAGTCCCAGCACTTTGGGTGGCTGAGGTGGGAGGATCACTTGAGTGCAGGAGTTTGAGATCAGCCTGGGAAACATAGCAAGACCTTGTCTCTACTAAAAATTCCTTGGGCATGGTGGCATGCACCTGTAGTCCCAGCTACTCAGGAGGCTGAGATGGGAGGATGGCTTGAGCCCAGGAGTTTGAGACTGCAGTGAGCTCTGATCACACCACTGCTCTCCAGCCTGGGTGACAGAGAGAGAGAGACCCTTGTCTCAAAATAAATAAATAAATAGATTTAATTTTTTATTTTATGAAAAAGGAACCTGAGTTTCCAGGCAAACTGGCTTGTCCAAAGTTACTCAGCAAAGTGAGTAACACAGTTGGGACTAGACCCCAGGGCTGCTGGCCATCAGGCTGAACATCCTCATTAAAAGATAGTCTCGCCGGGCGCGGTGGCTCACGCCTGTAATCCCAGCACTTTGGGAGGCCAAGGCGGGCGGATCACGAGGTCAGGAGATCGAGACCATCCTGGCTAACACGGTGAAACCCCGTCTCTACTAAAAATACAAAAAATTAGCCGGGCGTGGTAGCGGGCGCCTGTAGTCCCAGCTACTCGGGAGGCTGAGGCAGGAGAATGGCGTGAACCCGGGAGGCGGAGCTTGCAGTGAGCCGAGATCGCGCCACTGCACTCCAGCCTGGGCGACAGAGCGAGACTCCGTCTCAAAAAAAAAAAAAAAAAAAAAAAAAGATAGTCTCACTGGGTGTGGTGGTTCATGCCTGCAATCCCAGCACTTTGGGAGGCTGAGGCAGGCAGATCATGAGGTCAGGAGTTCAAGACCAGCCTGGCCAACATGGTGAAACCCCATCTCTACTAAAAATACAAAAATTACCCGGGTGTGGTGGCATGTGCCTGTAATCCCACCTACTCTGGAGGCTGAGGCAGGAGAATTGCTTGAACCCGGGAGGTGGAGTTCAAGTGAACCGACATCACGCCACTACACTACAGCCTGGGTGACAGAACAAGACTCCATCTCAAAAACAAAAGATAATCTCTCCCCTCTAGGACGAGGGGTCTAGCAGAGACGCCAGGGGAACTCCTGGGATCATCACCCTCTAGAATCAGGAAGCATTTCCACAGTAGCCCTTCTTCCTTGTCTGTGGCCTTGCTGTCTTCATTCCACTTTTGCCTCCTTTTTCTCCCTGAACTGATGCTCTTGATTGTGAAGGCATGTAACATCCTCATGGCAAGGCCCTGGCAAAGCAAATGGAGGTGGAATGGGCTCCAGTGGAAAATGTATGTCTGGATGGGAGTTTTTCTGTTTTTACCACCTCTCTTGGCTCTCAGCTGCTGGGATTTCATGCAAAGTGGCATTTCCAGCACTAGGTTGGCTCCTGTTGTGAGAGTTTTGTTTTCCTATGTGTACCTCTCCTGGACTTGAGGGTCGCCTCCCATGGACACTGCCAGCTGCCGTCCTCCCGGGGTTCTGCCCATGCAGCCTGAACGGTACCTCCATTATTGACGGAGTGTGCCCTGGCAAGCTCTCAGGGCATGTCCTGTCTGGCCTGAGAGAGCGCACACACTTGGGAAACAGGTTGTTTCATCAGCTGCAAAAACTTCTGCTCCCCTATTCTAATCAGTGGACCAGATGAGAGTCCTCAGAGAGACCTAAGACAAGCCTTTTTTAATTTGGTCTTCGAATCCTGATGGACAGAAGGCTTAACCTAAGGTAGGAAAGCAAAGACCGGGGTTGAGAGTTTGAAAAACCACTCTGACCATGGAGATAAACCTTCCACAGGTAGTTCAGGTAGTGCCATACAGGGAAACTATTTTTTTCAATATTTATTAGGCATCAACCATGGGGCAGACACTGTGCTAAGAGCTGGGGTTATGCTGACAGAATGAGAGAATCAAGCCCTCTGCCCTCATGGAGCTTACAGTCTAGTAAGTTAGGAAGCCAATAATAAGTAAGGAAACAACTAAATAGACAAGAACATTATAGACTGAAGTGCTAGGGAGATGATGGCAGGTAAGTGTGGCTGGAAGAGTGGGGTGAGGCTGCTGCCTTGCATAAGGTGGTGAGAGAAGGCCACACAAAGAAAGTGAATCTAAGCTGAGACCTGAAAGATTACAAGAAGCCAAATATATGAAGAACTGGGAAAGCAACATATGCAAAGGCTGCAGGACAGAGAGGGGACCAGGAGGGCCACCAGGCTGGAGCACGGGAAGCGAGGGAGAAAGAGGTCACAGCCAGGACATCTGGGGCCTGGTGGGCTACACTAAGGACTTTGGCTTTTATTCTGAGGGCAACAGGAAGCCACTAAAGGTTTAAACATAAATGGAAATGATTCTGAACAGACCTCACCTCCTTGACTGAGACCTCTCTACTCATTTCTCTGACCATTCGACTCTCCAACTTACTGGGCCCTAGTTTTAAATAAGCCCTTCTCTTCACTCCTGCTAAAGGGGTAGAAATTGGGCTGTCACTGGCCAGGCATGGTGGCTCATACCTGTAATCCCAGCACTTTGGGAGGCCAAGGTGGGAGGATCACTTGAGTCCAGGAGTTTGAGACCAGCCTGGGCAACATAGAGAGACCCCCTCTCTATTAAAAAAGAAGGAAGAAGAAAGAAGAAAGAAGAAGGAGAAGGAGGAGGTGGAGGAGAAGAAGAGGAAGAAGATGAAGAAGAAGAAGAGGAGGAGGAGGAGGAGGAAGAAGAAGAAGAAGAGGAAGAGGAAGAAGAAGAAGAAATTTAAAAACAGAAAGAAATGTGGTTGTCAGAAATTCCAGAGGCTGAATGGACTGTGCCCCCAGTTAAAGAAACTTTCATAAGTTTCCATCCCCTCGTCTGCTTTTAGGTGTTGGAACTCAGTGTGAAAATCCTCCTCCTGTCTGAGGTCTGACAAAGCAGAAGAGAAACTTGAGATCCTATCACTGATCTCACCACATCTGGAATGAAGATCAGGGCCTCAGACATTTAAATGAAAAGTCCAGATTTTCTTCCCAGCCTCCTCCCACCACACAACTGAAGTTAAGCAACAGGCATGCAACGGGTGGATGGCACATTCATCATTTTCTTCATTTACCAAAGCCACAATTAACTTTAATTAAAACTCACCCATCTGCTCCCCATTACCCCACCCCCACCTACAGAGGAAAACCCAGCTCACTCTCTACCTGTAACCCAGAAAAACAGAAACTGTTTTATGGGAGTGCATGGACCCAGAGCCTGTTTATGGAGTAATCATCTGTGTTCTGATCCCTCATTACACTGGACGGAGCCACTGGGCAAGAAAAACAGGTTGACATCTGAAAGAGATGCTGGGAAGCCTGAGATTCTGGTCTGTTTTCCTTCCCACTAAAGGATTGTCTTTCCCAGGTCCTTAAAGCATTCCTGGTTCCCACTCTACTTCTTTCTTTTCTTTCATTGGTTACACGAATATTTCTTGAGCTGTTAATATATGTCGGGCAAAGAGTTCTTGTACAAATCTTTTCTGGTGTGGTGGAATGAAAGAGCATGAATTGTAAAGTTGGACAACCTCAGTTTGGGGTCCAAAAAGTTTCGCTTTCCTGGAGCAAGTTATTTTACTTCTCAAAATGTTGGTATCTACTTTGGCAACCTACAGGCTGCTTTGAGCATTGACTATGACAATGAATATGAATGCTTTGTAAATTATAAAGTGCTTCAAAATGATGGCTGTTTTTTGAGGCTATTGCATTGGTTTGTACATGGATCTGCCTGTGGTCACTCACAACCTATGTATTGCTAAGGGAAGCTATTGGAGATCAAGTTTTACATTCATGTGCCCCATGCAACACCCCTTGAGCAGCCCTAACAATATGTTCCTATAGCCATGTGATTTTATACAATTTGGAAAATAAAAGTATTTTAACAGCATTTGTTTAAGATCACTGTCTTTCCTCTCTGACCTTCTCACCATCAGCGTTCTATTCAGTAGTGATGAGTTGGTGGCAGGCATTTTTGGCATCTGACTAAGGACAACTTGAGTTGGGGATACATGAAGTTTGGATTGAGTGGCATATATTTATGTGGTTTGCAGTCGCTTTTATGTTTAGTTAGGCTATTACCAGCCCTCTTGGTGTAGGAATGACTTCCAGAAATATTCCTAATCCCATTGAGCCAACTCATCTAGTGTCATAACACCAAAGTGCAGAGCCAAGGGTCAAATTGTGGTATGAACGTGTCCAACGGTGCCCACCACCAGAAATATATGTAAGTAATGGAGGGAAAATACAGTTTGAAATGTCTGGAGCCAAAAGCTAGTCTTCAGAAAATGCTTCCAATCATCAGAGGTATACAGTTTTAAATGGAAGATTCAGTTCTCATTGATACCTGGTTAAAACAAAAGTTTGCTACTATCAGAAATATACTTGATAGGAGAGTGTACACAATTATTAACACATAATACACATATATATTTTGATGGGAATGTCACAAAATAGGATTGGTCACAATTCCTGGATTTGTAGGGCATAAACTGTAGCAGTATCACCAACAGCAAGCCCATCTGTGTGGGAAGTCCCACATTTTATGCATCCAATCAGATCACATCACCTCTTAGCACATCTGATGCTCTTGGGCTGACGAGGTCTGTTCATTGACGAAAAGGCACACAACATTGACACAGAAATGGCAAAATGGCCTGAGGAGTTTTCTTATGTCAAAACTCCTATACATATTCATTAATAAATCAATGTAAGTAATAGTAATTTGATTACATAATTATAATTAGATTAATAATTATAATATAGTTCAACACAAGTACAATTTAAAATTGCTCTTCTGAGGCTGGGCCCAGTGGATCACGCCTCTAATCCCAGCACTTTGGGAGGCTGAAGTGGGCAGATCACTTAAGGTCAGGAGTTCAAGACCAGCCTGGCCAACATGGTGAAACCCCATCTCTACTAGAAAATACAAAAATTAGCCGGGGAGGCTGTGGTGGGCAGATCACTTGAGGTCAGGAGTTCAAGACCAGGCTGGGCAACACAGTGAAACCCCGTTTCTACTAAAAATACAAAAACTAGCCAGACATGGTGGTGGGTGCCTGACATCCCAGCTACTCAGGAGGCCGAGGCAGGAGAATTGTCGGAACCCAGGAGGCGGAGGTTGCAGTGGGCCAAGATCACGCCATTGCACTGCAGCCTGGGCAACAACAGCAAAACTCCATCTCAAAAAAAAAAAAAAAACAAGTGCTCTTCTGTATATTTTAATTTCAGATTAGTTTTATATATTTTTAAGAATTATTAATCATATAAAAATTACCAAAAAATTTATAGAGGTGTGTTGGACAGATAATGAATAAAAATATTAGTTTTTAAAAATGTGTTGATGTTTGTAATATCTGCCAGCATTTCTACATTTGAAAAATTACTATTATTACTTCACTTATTCCAAATGAATATTTATTTTGAATAAATAATAAATATTTGTGTATTATTTATTAATAGTAAATATTTATTAAGTAATAAATATTCATTATTTATACATACTTAATTTTATATCTTTTTTTCTTAAAGAGAATCCCCAAATTGTTTAAGCCCCAGGCCCTTCAAAGCCTGGATCCACTCCTGCTTGTATTTGGTGCTAAATATGGTTGCTCTGCCCCACTTTGCTGTAGACATGAGTCGAGGATCCATGCCCTACTCACTGCTCCACCCTCCACCATAAGCTCTAAAATCCAAGAATACACATTGCAGGTCCCAGCACCTGCCACCCAAGAGAAGAGACTGGGCATCCCAGAATCTGCCTAGGCAAATGTATTAGTCTGTTCTTACACTGCTAATAAAGACATACCTGAGACTGGGTGATTTATAAAGAAAAAGAGATTTAATGGACTCACAGTTCCACATGGCTGGGGAGGCCTCACAATCATAGCAGAAGGCAAAGGAGGAGCAAAGGCAGTTGTTACATGGCAGCAGGCAAGAAAGCATGTGCAGGGGAACCGCCCTTTATCAAACTATCAGATCTCGTGAGACTTACTCACTATCACGAGAACAGCACGGGAAAACCCGCCCCCATGATTCAATTACTTCCCACCGGGTCCCTTCCAGGACACATGGGGATTATGGGAGCTACAATTCAAGACGAGATTTGGGTAGGGACACAGCCAAACTGTATCAGCAGAGATTCTCATTAATGGGTTCTGAGCATTAGGGCTAGTATAGGAAGCCAAAAGAGGGTAAGGAAGCAAGAAAACTGCAGAGATTACCAAGCACATTCCTGTCAGATAAAAACCACACAGTGCCAGCTCACAATGAAGATATTAAAAGACTATTTACACATCTCCACCCGGAGTATTAGTTCAAGCAGCAATAACTAACCATAAGGAAATATCTCTGTGGTGGAGAATGTTAGTTGTCCACCAAAATCTATCTCCTTTTCTTCCAGAAATGTAGAGTTTAAGCCAGGCCATGGATACTTAACTAGAGATTCCACTTCCCAGCCTCCTTAGTGGCTGGCTGTGGACACATAACTAAGTTCACCAATGGAATGTGAGCCAGAAATGTGTGTGACTTGTGCCTGGCTTGCTTTTAAAAAGAAATTGCTTCCTTTGTCTTTTTCCCTTTTACCTCTCTGTGATGTAAAGTGATGACTTCCCAGTCATCTTCAAACACATGGATGAGGCTGGGTGCAGTGGCTCACACCTGCCCAGCACTTTGGGAGGCCAAGGCGGGTGGATCACCTGAGGTCAGGAGTTCAAGACCAGCTTGAACAACATGGTGAAAACCCATCTCTACTAAAAGTACAAAAATTAGCTGTGCATGGTGGTGCATGCCTATAATCCCAGCTACTCAGGAGGCTGAGACACAAGAATCACTTGAACCCGGGAGGCAGAGGTTGCAGTGAGCCAAGATCACACCACTGCACTCTAGCCTGGGTGACAGAGTGAGACTCTGTCAAACACACACACACACACACACACACACAAACACACACACACAGAGATGAGAACAATGCACAGAAATGCACAGAGCCAGAAATTCCCAAACTTCTCAGTTCACAGCACCCTTAGTGTCTCAGTAATTTTATCACAGTGCTCCCTGGCCAAAAGAAGTACCCAACAGTTCTGTGTATTGAGTAGTTTTATCCAAACAACCTAATAAGTTCGTGTATCCTAACAACTTAATGTCAAAAACTGTGAGGGGTCTGAGATTTCATCCTACTTGTAAACTAGCAAGTTAGTCTGCCACAGTTTTATGGATGCTGGCAGAAGACACAAGACTCCTGGGTCAGAAACTAAGGAATTTATTACTCTTGGCAGTAGCAATAGCCAGAGTGTCCTCATTAGCTCTGCTTTTCTGAGCCCTGATTCCTACAGTGCTATATGAAGAGGGACATATGGCACCTGCAGACACAGTGGGTTGTATTATAGGAGAGGTAGCCTGAATCTCAGGTTACCAAGCTTTGGTAATATGAATCTTTTATAATCAGCAGTAAGCCTGCCTGATCTTTGCCCTGGAGGGAGACATTATCTTTATTACTAGACAGTAAACAGACCTGCTCTTTACTCCAGAGGAAGTTGCTATCTCTGCCTCCCGAGGCTATTAGCTACACAAACATCTTGAAAATATAGTCTGGATCAAAGGCAGCTAGGGCCTTTGCTTATGACATGTGCAAGCCCATGAGAAATCCATGGAGAATTGTCTCCCAACACTTAGTAGTCATTTGCAAAAATAATTTACATAAATTGAAATAAAAACATTTTATTTTACTTTTAAACAACTGCAATTACTTTGTAATGGGAATGTGCACCTGTTGGGCACTGTACAAGTCCTCAGACCTTGGATTCACATTGGACACTGCCACCTTTATTACTGTTTCACACTGATTTTCTCATAATACTTACTTTTTGTCATAGCAACCACCAAAGACCTAGCTTTACAAAAACACGATGTCATCAAAAGGAAAGTAGTGCTAACTAAAGTTGATACTGTGAACTACCTAGTAGCTAGTAGTTTTTGTGGCATGTCAGATGTTGAGGATCACTGTGTCTTTGTTAAAAATTTGAAACATTCCATGGTGCCCCTAGCAGTTCACTGAAGCTCCCTGGGACAAGTTGGTACACAGTTTAGGAACTGCAGCCCTAAGCAATGGTGGAAGAAGCAATTGATCCTGAATGGCCTCATAAGTAGAGCTGTCTTGATAGCCTAGACTAATCAAATTGTTATATCAAAGAGAAATACATTTTTATCCTTTTTAAGTCTCTGAATTTTTGAGTCTCTTTTTTGCAGTAGCATAGCCTTTATCCTAACCAATGCAATCTCCTACATAATTTTGGCTGAGCCATACGATGTAGTTTTTCGTGATATATGTTCTCACATTGTGGGAAAAAATGTTTCCTATGTATTTCTTTTGTCTCTTCAACCTCAGTCATCACCTCAATCAACATTTATTGAGTCCCTGCTATGCTCTGGCACTGGGCTAAGCATCCTTCCAAGATCTAAATCCACTTCTATGTCACTGAGAACTAAAAATAAAATCCTAAGCCCTCAACCAACTGAACAGACCCCCTCTTGGCCAAGGGGACCCCAGAGAAACCTTAAAAACTTGAGTTCCCAGCCATGATGGGACAGGAGGCCAGATGGGCCTCATTGTGCTCCCCTCTTCGTGTAGTTTAGACACCACAGCTGACCAGCATTAATGTTAAATTCGAGATCATAAGACTCACAGAATAGACTCTTTGTGGCAATAAGATACCAAAGTATAAACAGGACCTAAGGCCATGCCAGAGAAAGGTTAAGTCACACACCCCTTACACTTAAAGAATAAACTATGTTTTGACTGCCACGGGACTTTTCTTTTTCTCTATCAGCTAAGCAAGTACTGTCCTTGAGATAAGCAATATTAAAAAAATTCAACTCCCTCACTGCCAGATGCTAAATGACCACCCCCCCACACACACACCCGTTTTACAAGCCACAACTACAGCTTTGATTGGACAATACACTAATTTCAGTAACTTTCTCCTGATAAGAGACTACTGACTGTGGACTGGTTCTAGCTGGTTTACAGAGGCTGGTCACTGAGTGCCTTCATGTCCCTGCTTCACCTTTTGATGCAGAGGGTCTAATTGTAATGCATTTAAATGTTGTCTTCTCATTTGTTAAAAGTGAACATGGATCTTATGTAACATATATGTTTATTTGGTAAACATGCATTATGATCTCCTCCATGAATATTCATAGCTCCTCCTGTAACCTGGTGAATACATATACCTGGCCAACACATTCAGCATAAATCCCTGTTCCACCCTCCCCTTCCTTGAAGTGCTTGCTAACAATCTCTGCCAGAGGCTACACTTTGCAGCCTGTGAGGACAGCCACCTTACGGGCTGTAACCCTTTATAGAAAATGTGGCACATGTACACCATGGAATACTATGCAGCCATAAAAAATGGTGAGTTCATGTCCTTTGTAGGGACATGGATGAAATTGGAAATCATCATTCTCAGTAAACTATCGCAAGAACAAAAAACCAAACACCGCATATTCTCACTCATAGGTGGGAATTGAACAATGAGAACACATGGACACAGGAAGGGGGACATCACACTCTGAGGACTGTTGTGAGGTGGGGGGAGGGGGGAGGGATAGCATTAGGAGATATACCTAATGCTAGATGACGAGTTAGTGGGTGCAGCGCACCAGCATGGCACATGTATACATATGTAACAAACCTGCACATTGTGCACATGTACCCTAAAACTTAAAGTATAATAATAATAAATTTAAAAAAAAAAAAAGTCTTTTTTCTGACCAGGTGCAGTGGCTCACACCTATAATCCCAGTACTTTGGGAGGCCGAGGCGGGTAAACCACTTGAGCCAGGAGTTCAAGACCAGCCTGGCCAACGTGGTGAAACCCCATCTCTACTAAAAATACAAAAATTAGCCAGACATGGTGGTGGGTGCCTGTAATCCCAGCCACTCAGGAGGCTGAGGCACAAGAATCATTTGAACCTGGGAGGTGGAGGTTTCAGTGAGTCAAGATCGCACCACTGCACTCCAGCCTGAGTGACAGAGTAAGACTCTGTCTCTGGAAAAAAAAAAAAAGAATTTTTTCTAAATGTATAAATTATGTGATTCTTTAGTTGACATTACTCGGTCTCCTCAGCTGCAGGCTCAGTCACTCTTGATCCTTAAACCAATTCTAAGCAAGTCCCTTACCCATTTACCTAGTTGGGTCTGGAAGTAACATTGGTGCCTTACTCCCAGGAGTAGCTGGTGTGCCCAGAGATGAGTTCCTGGGAATGCAAGTAAAATGAAGCCTCTGCCCTCCACTTATCCCCCTCAACCCCCTCAACATCACTAGTTTCCCAAGTTCCTGTACAAGGCTTCTCTCTCTATGACCTAGACATAGTCCCCTGCTGGGACTGAAGCTCCAGCTCACTCAGCTGGGACTAGGCATGTGACATCCTCTTGCCATTTCCCTCTCCCTAGGGGCTGGCACCATTCCTCCTTAGCCCCAGAAGCAGTCAGAATACTTGGAATCTGAACACC
This sequence comes from Homo sapiens, assembly GCF_000001405.40. NCBI lineage: Eukaryota > Metazoa > Chordata > Mammalia > Primates > Hominidae > Homo > Homo sapiens. The sequence goes on from NC_000004.12 coordinate 56,746,833, forward strand.
AGCACCCATTGAAGGTCAAGTGTTTCCAATGCTCAGTGGCTTCAGTTGCCCGCATCACTTATTGCATCAGATTCCCACGATTCAAATACAAACTTGCCATATGACTTTGGAAACGATTGTCCAAACTGCTGTCTGGAGGACAGCCCTTCGGCTGGATGAGTTTGCCAGCCCCATCCCGGCATTTCTCATGAGGTTATGAGTGTTTAGTTCAAGTCTGCCTTGCCCTGAAGCCTCTACGTTCCTTCTGGCATCTGCTGCTCTCTGGACAATTCCAGCACCAAAACCTGGATCACAAACTTTAGCGCTTACTCTCCTATCTGCTGATTATTTCTATGATATTCTTAACTTCCCAGAGAAAATGCAAGGCAGTGAATTTTTTTTTACTTACTAATTTTTAATTGTATTATACAAAGATCTCTGACATGCAAATAAAGACCCTAAACATTGTAGCATCCAACATGTCAAAGTAAGATGTAATCATGTTATGTGATGGTATTATAGTCAGAAGATCTTGGAATACCAGAATCCTGCACTGGACTTCCCTGCCAAGCTCACTGAAGGAGAATATGCACAAGGGACAAAGCAAAGTAGTCAAATCCACACCTAATGTCATTAATAGGTTCTCGGAAACTGCAACTTTAAGTGAACAATATATAACAGAAACCAATTTTACCATGTTTATTTTTGCATTTTTTTTAGTAGAGACTGGGTTTTACCACGTTGGCCAGGCTGGTCTCAAACTCCTGACCTCAAGTGATCTGCCCACCTTATCCTCCTACGTGCTGGGATTACAGGCATGGCCTGTTTCATTACAATGTTGATAAGAAAAAAAAAATCGCACTGCCCTTTAGGTTGATCTTTGATCCCCATGCTCTTCCTTCCCCACTTCAGTGGTGCTCTGGAAGCTGGAACCCATGATCTCCAAATGCTTAGGATAAAGATACTGGATGCCTTCCTTTCACAGGAGTTAACAGTGACAGCATGAGATCATCAGGTATTTCAGTAGAAACCTAAAAAATAGAAACAAATTAGGAGCAAAGGAGGAAAGGGGGCTAAAGTTTGTTGAACACCTTCTGAAATCAACAGAACAAAATCTCATGTGGGAGTGAGATTCCAAAGCAAATATCTGGGGCAAAAGTTGCCTATTGCCAAAATGAGTCTTGAAAATTTCTTAAATAACTCAGAAAATACTGCACACATAGAGACGTGTATATATTCTCTTATGCCAACATGTACGTATAAATGTAAAACACACTTCTTACATATATAATTAAAATTACATATAAAAACATATATAACTAAAATTACATATTAAAAGCGTATTTCAGGGCCGGGCGCAATGGCTCGCATCTATAATTCCAGCATTTTGGAAGGCCAAGGCGAGAGGGTCACTTGAGCCCAGGAGTTCAAACAACATAGTGAGACCCCATATCTACCAAAAAAATATAACAATTAGCCAAGTGTGTTGGTGTGTCCCTGTAGTCCCACCTACTTGCGAGGCTGGGGAAGGAGGGTTGTTTGAGCCCAGGAGTTCAGGCTACAGGGAGCCAAAATCATGCCACTGCACTCCAGCCTGGGTGACAGAGCAAGACTTCATTTAGAAACTAAAGCGTATTTCAGAATGTTTAATTACATAAAAGAGGAAAAAGGGGAAGAAAGGCCAGTGTTGTGGAATTCATGTAAGTTAATTATATGTATGATGTAACTCCTAAACTACTTTACATAATTTAATACTCTCAACAACACTGAAGGGTGATCACTATTGTCCTTATTTTGTAGAAAAGTAACTGGGGCTCAGAAAAATTAACTGATTTTACCAAAGTCACATGGCTACTAAATGCCACAGACAGGACTTGAACCCAGGCTTGCCTGGCTCCAAAGTCAATTTTTTCCACTTCACCACAGGGCCACTCTTCTTGACATCTGCTCCAGCAAGGGTTGGGAGGCCCCTGAACTTATGGACTTAACGATTTTGCCCCAAATTGGCTCTGGCCTTGTCCAGGTGAATATTTAAAATACATATTCTATTTATTTTATTTTTTGAGAAAAGTTCTCCCTCTGTCACCCAGGCTGGAGTGCAGTGGCACAATCTGAGCTCACTGCAGGCTTGACCAGGCTCAAGTGATCCTACCTCTGCTTTCAGAGTAGCTGGGACTACAGGCGTGTGCAACCAGGCCCAACTAATTTCTCTATTTTTTGTAGAGACAGGTTTCTCCAAGTTGCCCAGGCTGATCTCAAACTTATGGGCTCAAGTGATCCACCCGCCTCAGCCTCCCAAAGTACTAGGATTATAGGTGTGAGCCACTGTGCCTGGCCTTAATATGTATGTTAAATTATATGTAACAAATAACGTACAGGGAGATAGAGTCAGAAACAGCCTTTCCAACAAACTCAAGTTCACATATCACCTCAAATTTAGCATTTACAAAGTAAAACCCTTTTTAGTCTCACTCTGTATCCCAGGCTGGAGTGCCAAGACACGATCTTGGCTCACTGCAACCTCCACCTCCCAGATTTAAGCAGTTCTCCTTCCTCAGCCTCCCGAGTAGCTGGGATTGCAGGCACACACCACCACACCCAGCTAATTTTTGTATTTTTAGTAAAGATAGGGTTTCGCCATGTTGTCCAGGTTGGTCTCGAACTCCTGACCTCAGGTGATCTGACTACCTCAGCCTCCCAAAGTGCTGGGATTACAGATGTGAGCCACCACACCCAGCCTTCCTTTTATATTTCTTTATTTATTTTTTCTAATGGACATTGGGTATTGCTATATTGCCCAGGCTGGTCTCGAACTCCTGAGCTCAAGCAATCCTCTCACCTCAGTCTCCCAAGTAATGGGATTACAGGAACACCCCACTGCACCTGGCTTAATAGTCCTTTGATTTCACTATTTATTGCTTGCTTTCCAGCCAAAATTTTTCTGGATGGATTTTAGGCTCAACTGTGAGCCCTAGAGACTGGGCTAGGGACAGAAAATATGATGACTTTTGTCCATGTGGAATAGGAGAGCTGGAATTTGGACTCTAAATAAATCTTGAAACATTAAAGAGCTACTCGGTCCAGAAATCATGGCCTAGAAAAACTCTTCCCACTGTCCTGGGGAAGTAGATCCCACAGCATGCCAACTGTCTGAGACCTTGGGTGTTAAGAAAATATCACTTGTTGGTCGGGCATGGTGGCTCAGGTCTATAATTCCAACACTTTGGGAGGATGAGGCAGACAGATAACCTGAGGTCAGGAGTTCGAGACCAGCCTGGGCAACTATTAAAAATTATAAAAATTAGCTAGGTGTGGTGGTGCATGCCTGTAGTCCAAGCTACTTGGGAGGCTGAGGCACGAGAATCACTTGAACCTGGGAGGGAGAGGTTGCAGTGAGCCGAGACTGCACCGCTACACTCCAGCCTGGGTGACACAGTGGGACTTTGTCTCAAAAAAAAAAAAAAAAAGAAAAGAAAAGAAAAGAAAAGAAAATATCACTTGTGAGAAAACAAAGCCTAAGACCTGATTTTTACACTCCCTTTGTGCTGCAGAAACTCTAAGCATATAAGGTAACAAATTAACACAAAACTGGTCAGGACTGTTGAAACCTTCAATGATCTGGCAGAACTAAACAGGAAACTGCTCAGTAGAGACACTTTCACTGTCAGGGCCTCATGAGAAATTCACAGCAAAAACATGTTTCACTGAAGATGAGTTTACAATCTAAAATTCAAATCACACAATTCAATTTGCATCCCCTTTAGGAAGAGTTAGCAGTCACAGTGAACAGGGAACTTACAATCCAGAATTGGAAAGAGTAGAAAAATCTGCAGGATGGTGAGAATTTGATTGTTGCTTTCACATAACACATTACATAGCCTCATTATGGGACCAATGTACTAGCTACCGAGGATTCTGTTATTTGTGGAGACACACTGAGTTTGCCAAAGTGGGGAAAGAGGCCAGGTGCAGTGGCTCACACCTGTAATTCCAGCACTTTGGGAGGCCAAGGCAGGTGGATCACGAGGTCAAGAGATCAAGACCATCCTGACCAAAATGGTGAAATCCTATCTCTATTAAAAATACAAAAATTAGCCGGGCGCAGTGGCGGGCGCCTGTAGTCCCAGCTACTCAAGAGGCTGAGGCAGGAGAATCACTTGAACACGGGAGGCAGAGGTTGCAGTGAGCCGAGATTGTGCGACTGCACTCCAGCCTGGTGACAGAGCGAGACTCCGTCCCAAAAAAATAAACAAATGAAAGTGGGGAAAGAAAAATCACAGCCTATCTCGCAAAACAGGAGCATGGCAGTCATAAACCTGAGTGAGGACAATTTGACTCCCATAATTTGGAGATGCTGGGGTTCAGAAACAAATACCCCAAAATATGGTGCTTTGACATGCTGAACTGAAGAAGAAGGCTCAAGGTCTCTCTAACCTTCTCCCTCCACCCTCCTCTTGATCCCCTATCTCTCCCAAAGCACGAGGTGAAGTTGTTCTCTGAAGTTCCCTTATCTGCCCAAAGTTCAGACCTGCCAAAGAGGAAAACAATGATCTCTGGTCCCTTCCTTGAATTTTAATTAACTGAAAATTCCTATCACAGGAATAAAGACTTAAAGCCTGTCGACGCACCTGGATAGACTTTTGTCAGAAACCATCGTCTGCTCTGCGGGCCCAACAGACTTGTCCAGGCCATTTTATGTTCTTCAAGCCCATCGAATTCCTCTAAAAATCATTTACTACTCCCCTAAAATTATCTACACTTCTCCATCTCCCTTTCCGCTAAGAAGAAAGGTATATGAGCATCTGTACCCCACTGGGTTGAGGGATAATCACTCTGTGATTTTCACTCCGTGCAAGTTAATACAAATTTGTATGCCTTTTCTCTTATTAATCCACCTTTTGTAAAGTTAATTAGTTGATTTCCATTGAACTCTGAAGGGTGAAGGGGAACAAGAATTCTTCTACACCCAGGAATTCCCTTGGAGTTGGAAGCATGAGGCTCAGCCGTTTGCAACATCACATCTTGTGCCAAACAAATGCAAAGATTATCACTAGGAAGAAGCAATGATAAGGCAGGAGTGGAAGACTCTTTTCTCTATGTTTCCACATTCTATCAAAAAGAGAATGGAGGACGGGCGCGGTGGCTCATGCCTGTACCGAGGCGGGCGGATCACGAGGTCAGGAGATGGAGACCATCCTTGCTAACACGGAGACACCCCGTCTCTACTAAAAAAAAAAAATACAAAAAATTATCCGGGACTGGTGGCGAGCATCTGTAGTCCCAGCTACTCGGGTGGCTGAGGCAGGAGAATGGCATGAACCGGGGAGGCGGAGCTTGCAGTGAGCCGAGATGGCGCCATTGCACTTCAGCCTGGGCGACGGAGCGAGAGTCCGTCTCAAAAAAAAGAAAAAAAAAAAAAAAAAAGACAAAAGGAGAATGGAGACAAAAGGAGAATGGAAAGGGTATTTTCTTTTCTTTTCTTTCTTTCTTTCTTTTTTGAGACGTAGTTTCTCTCTTGTTGCCCAAGCTGGAGTGCAATGGCGCGATCTGCGCTCACTGTGCTCACTGCAACCTCAGCCTCCCATGTCCAAGTGATTCCCCTGCCTTGGGCTCCCGAGTAGCTGGGATTACAGGTGTGTGCCACCACACCCGGCTAATTTTTTGTATTTTTTTAGTAGAGACAGGGTTTCACCATGCTGGCCAGGCTGATCTTGAACTCCTGACCTCATGATCCACCCGCCTCGGCCTCCCAAAGTGCTGGAATTACAGGCGTGAGCCACCGCGCCTGGCCAGGAAAGGGTATTTTCAAATTCATTCTTTATTTGGTAAAATAAAACAAATTATAGGTCATTTTTCTGTGAACTGGAAAGAGAATCAGAGTATCTAAACTAATGGCTCATTTTTATGTGTAAAATATATAGTCAATAAGAAGCATTTGGTTCATTTTCATCATGCTGTTTATATGTTGTCTAAAGATAAAATTTTTAAACATGGTTATTAATGAACTTGAGGAGAAACTGCTTTGAGAGCAACTGAGAGCAAAATTCAGATATGAACATTTTTCTTCTACAATAATTGTACTTAAAGCATAAGCTTGCTAATAAATTACTCAGCTGTTTCCTACACTGACATCAAAGGATTAGGATATTTTATCAATGTTACCCTAAGACAATTGTTATTTCCTCTTCTTGGTAAAATGTTTATGACCCAACTTCAAAAGAACTTCAATATTTCTTCATTAGCTGGAGGTAACTTAAGTAAGTTTCTCTATTCCTACTTGTTGGACACCAGAAACTTGAAAACCATTAGGCTTGACAGGCAAAGCAGATGGCCTTGGAATTTGTCCAGGATAATGGTGCAGCCCCGGGATCAGGACTAACCTGCTTTTCAGGCTCTGCACCAATCCCTCTATGCAATCCTTCCCCAAGTCTTGTGGGCCTTTCATATGGCTTCCCTGCCCTCATGGCCCCATCCGATGGGGCATTTGGAGGTTTACTAAATCTGGTTGCTCTGTAAAACATGTAGATTTATTACAAGTAAATATATATATATATATTGCAAAATGTTCATTATAGGGGACAAGTTTTTAAAAAACTATGTTACATCTACACAATGGAATAATACTGACACAAAGAAAGGTCAAGGACACTCAATATATAGATATAAAAACCTCTCTGAGATATAAAATAAAAACACATATATGTATGTATTTTAAAATAAGATAGTATTAAAAATAATTTTTATTGGAAAATATTTTGCTAATATACTGAGAGCACTGTGAAATTCGTTCCTGTTTTTTTAGAAGTATTAATTTTTTAATTTTTTTCATTTAATTTAATTAATTTATTTATTTATTTTAAGACAGAGTCTCACTCTGTCGCCCAGGCTGGAGTGCAATGGTACGATCTCAGCTCACTGTAACCTCCACTTCCTGGGTTCAAGCAATTCTTTTCCCTCAGCCTCCTGAGTAGCTGGGATTACAGGCATATGCCACCAAGCCTGGCTAATTTTTGTATTTTTAGTAGAGACAGGGTTTCACCATGTTGGCCAGGCTGGTCTCGGACTCTTGACCTCAAGTGATCCACCCGCCTCGGCCTCCCAAAGTGCTGGGATTACAGGCGTGAGCCACCAAGCCAGCCTGTTTTTTATTTTTTGAGACAGGGTCTCATTCTGTCACCCAGGCTGGAGTGCAGTGGTGCCATCTTGGCTCACTTCAACCTCTGCCTCCCAGACTCAAGTGATCCTCCCACCTCAGCCTCCTGAGCAGCTGGGACTTTAAGCACATTCCATGACGCTCGGCCAATTTTTTGTATTCTTAGTAGAGATGGGATTCTGCCATGTTGCCCAGACTGGTCTTGAACTCCTGGGCTCAAGTAATCCACCCACCTCAGCTTCCCAAAGTGATAGGATTACAGGTGTGAGCCTCTGCACCCAGCCTAATTTTAAATTTAGGTTGTTGCTAAATGTCCCTCATAGGGGACAAGTTTTTTGAAAAACTGATGTACAGCCGGGCGCAGTGGCTCACGCCTGTAATCCCAGCACTTTGGGAGGCCGAGGCGGGTGGATCACAAGGTCAGGAGTTTGAGACCAGCCTGGCCAATATGGTGAAACCCTGTCTGCACTAAAAATACAAAAATTAGCCGGGGATGTGGTGGTGCACGCCTGTAGTCCCAGCTACTCAGGAGGCTGAAGCGGAAGAATTGCTTGAAGTCTGGAGGCAGAGGTTGCAGTAAGCTGAGATCATGCCACTGCACTCCAGCCTGGGCAACAGAGTGAGACTCCGTCTGAAAAAAAAACTGATGTTACATCTACACAATGGAATAATACTGACACAAAGAAAGGTCAAGGGCACTCAATATATGGATATAAAAGCCTCTCTGAGATATATTATAAAATAAAAAAAAGTTTGTTTTTTTTTTAGAGACAGAATCTTGCTCTGTCATTCAGGCTGGAGTGCAGTGGCATGATCATAGCTCACTGCACCCTCAAACTCCCGGGCTCAAGTGATCCTCCCTCCTCAGTCTCCCAAGTAGCTAGGACTACAGAAGCGCAACGCCATGCCCAGGTAATTTTAAAATTTTTTGTAGAGATGGGGTCTTGTTGTGTTGCTCAGGCAGATCTTAAACACCTGGTCTCAAGTGATCCTCCCCACTCAGCCTCCCAAAGTGCTGAGATTACAGGCAGGAGCCACTGCACCTGGCCAATAGCTTTTTTTTTTTTAGAAAGTAAGTTTCCACTGGGCACGACAGTACAACAACAACATTTTGTTTAGGAATTTTCTATAGTGCCCAGAAGAAGATAATCATAAATGGTGGCTTGGGGTATCTTTATTTAAAATTGCAGTCCTCTGAGGTAACTGGTTCTCCAGATGAAGAATATCCTATGGTACGAATTGGTAACATAAAAAAGGGGTTTTCACAGTAGAGTCTTCAGCCCCTTGTTGAAGTTGAGGAAGAGAGTATTTTAGGCAATGAAGGCCATTCAACAAAGCTGGCAGGAGACCGGGCGCGGTGGCTCACACCTGTAATCCCAGCACTTTGGGAGGCCAAGGCAGGCAGATCACTTGAGGTCAGGAGTTTGAGATCAGCCTGGCCAACATGGCGAAACCCCGTCTCTGCTAAATATACCAAAAAAAAAAAAAAAAAAAAAAAATTAGCTGGGCGTGGTGGCCGGTACCTGTAATTTCAGCTACTCAGGAGGCTGAGACAGGAGGTTCACTTGAACCCAGGGGTGGAGGGAGGTTGCAGTGAGCCGAGATCACACCACTGCGCTCCAGCCTGGACGACACAGCGGGACTCTGCCAAAAACAAACAAACAAAAAGAAGCAGCAGCAGCAGCTAGTGGGTAATTTGAATGCAACTTGTAATGGAATTTTATCTTATGCCAGCTACAAAGAAACCTCATCCTGCTCTCCAAATGCATTCGAGTCTGTTAGGAACCCAGGCAGCCAAGTTTTGTACATTGCGTTTACACATGCCCGTGTATCATGTTATTTCCGAGGTGAGTCCAGTCTCCCCCCGGCATTAAGATCTCCACGTGAGTTTTTCGGGGTGGCCCATCTGAAGTCTACTCCAGGAGGGCCTGAGGAACCCCGTGGACAGAACTCTCCTAAAGGAAGAGGGAACCAGACAGAACGAATTTGTGCAGAGGGGAGACAGGATCTCTAGTAGAGTTTGGTGGCTGCTGCTTGTCCGAGCCCAGGATCACCATCTACTCATGTCTGAGTCCTATGGGAGCAATAACCGAAAGAGCTCTTTCAATTGAGAACACTCACCCAATTAGAGGACAAATACACAAAAGAAACCCCTGCAGGGCATTGGGAGAATATAAACAACATTGCTCATCTTCCTTTCCTGAGACTGCAGTAACAAATTACCACAAACTAAATTCTACACAACAGAAATTTATTGTCTCACACTTCTGGAGGTCAGAAGTCTGAAATTAAGGTGTCAGCAGCACCAAACTCTCTCCAGGGCCCTGGGGGACAATCCGTTCCTACCCTCCTCTGTCTTCCGATGTCCCAGCATCGTTCCACATCTCTCAGTTTTCCATTGACTTCTCCTCTGTATGTCTTCTGTAGTATGTCTGTGTCTTGTCTGTATGTCTATCTTTTTTTTTTTTTTTTTGAGACAGAGTTTCGCTCTTGTTGCCCAGGCTGGAGTGCAATGGCACCATCTCAGCTCACCGCAATCTCTGCCCACTGGGTTAAAGCGATTCTTCTGCTTCAGCCTCCAGAGTAGCTGGGATTACAGGCACCCCGCTACCACGCCCAGCTAATTTTGTATTTTTAGTAGAGACGGTGTTTTTCCATGTTGGTCAGGCTGGTCTTGAATTCCCGACCTCAGGTGATCTGCCCACCTCAGCCTCCCAAAGTACTGGGATTACAGGCGTGAGCCACCACGTCCAACCCCTCCGTGTGTCTATCTTATAACGATACATGTGATTGCATTTGGGGTCCACCTGGATAATGCCGAATAAGCACCTCCTGTCAAGATCCTTAATTTCATCACATCGGCAAAGACCTTTTCTCCCCAGCAAGGGAACATTCACAGATTTAGGGGTTTGATGTGGATATCTTTTGGGGGGTCACTTTTTGGCCTACTGTACCACTCCTATATCCTAACAACAGAGTGAAACCTATAAAAAGGGGGCCATGATGCTGTCTCCCTACTTTGCCCTGCACTTTAGCAGCACAGGGTAGCAGTGCCAGACACTGGCAGCAGAGTCCAGGACATAACATTGAAATTGAACTGACTTAATCATAAGGATGCAAGATAAACTCCTGTGAGCATTCAGAAATATCTAAGATGAGAAGCAGAGAGGGCTAGAATCCTGCATTATTAGCAAGAGGGGACAAGGAATACCCTTCGACCTTACTATTTGACAGCTTTGTACATGAAAAAACTAATACACAAAGCCCGTGGTTGGCTTGAAGGAGGTAAGGAAGAGACTCTCTGTATCCTCTGGTTGTGACTGTTCAACCCATCCCAAGGGATGTAACTCCCAGTGCAGTGTGCTCTGACTCACAGGGAACAGCCAGCTTAGTGCCTGTCAAGGCCTTCCCTCCCAAACCCCAGGCAGCTGGATTCTGCAGGCTGGTTCTGGATCTGGGTGGTACTTTCCAGGCCCAGCCTGACACCAGTTTTAAAGGCCACCCCGGGTATCTATGGGCTCTGGGAGACGTAGGATGGAAATGACCCAAGGCCTGGGATATACACCAGGCCACAGCCAGAATGCAGGCAGTTCAGGCAGCATGTGTAGTAAATACACACTAAGATGTAATCCAGCAGGCCCCCCTGTACCACGCCCCACAGGTGGCACCAGCGTATAAAACAACCTGACAGCTACGGGCTGGAGAAGAGACACAGGCTGGCCTGGACAGGGTGTAGACATTGTTAAACACTTAGTTGAGTATCTGTGGGCAAGTCTTGAGATCGCTAAGTAGAATCTGAGCTTTGTTTCTTTGGTTTTTGGTCTTTTTTTTTTTTAAAGAAAGTACAAATACAAATTATGTGATTCCCTTTTCTCCTCTTAGACTGCCTTGCTCATCTGCTGCTTGGTCGAAGCCATTTGCTCCTCCCCCACACGCTTTGCTCATCAAGCAACCAGAGCGTTCCTGCCACCTGAGTCATTCTGTCCTGTGCTGCTCTGTCACCCTGTGAGTGTGAAGCCCCTGCTCCGGCCCTCCAGGAGGAAGGAGGCAGAGTGAAGCCAGGCATCTCTGGAGCCATGCGTTTGGCTTCAAAGTAGGAGGGACTGGGACTCTTAGGATGGAAAGTCTAGGGTAGGAGGGCAGGAGCTTGACTTTCAGCAATAAGGTAGGGAGGGAGGTGGTTTTACTGCAGAGGACTGGGTTTTACTTGCTATGAGCCTGTTTAGCTCTTTAAGAGCTGAACCTAAGTGTTTTTTTTTAAATATAGTTATTTATTTTGGGCTCCAGCTTCCTGCAGTTGCGGTTTCTGTCAGACTAGTTTGTTAAAAAAAGCACTTAGAACACATACCAGAGGACAGGAAGAAAGCAAAATACTGGCACTTTTGAAAAGTGTTGTTTTTACATGACTTGAATTTTAGTTCCTACTCAGGGTTAAAGGAAGTTCTCTTCCGAATAAAGAGTGCCTGTTGGGTGAGAGAGGATTTGCAACTGGAGTTGGAGATTCTGTGTCATTGGAGACATTTGTTCGTATGCATGGGCTTTAAAACACCAAGAAAAAATATACAGGAGAGTCCTTCCTTTTGTTATATACTAGCTGTGTTCCTGAAAACGTATATGAAAACATTAAAAAACTGATCCCTATTCAGAACGCAACAGGTGAGCTCACTAAAGGGCTCTTACCAGAAAGTCTTATAAATTGAGGCACTTGAAGGGCTGGGACTAGGGTGAGGTAAGGAAGGGGATGCCTAGACTCTCGGTAATTAGGATAAATGGTATTTTAATGCAGTATTTTAGCAAATCAAAATTAATGCAAAAGAACTGATCATGAACAATAACCAAAATATTAAGTAAAGATAGGATTCACCCCTTCCCCATTCTTTTTGGGGGTTTCAAATATTTGCAATTGCTTTATTTTTTGTTTTGAGACAGGGTCTCACTCTGTCACCCAGGCTGGAGTGCAGTGGCACGATCATAGCACACTGCAGCCTTGACTTGCTGGGCTGAAGCAATTCTCCCATCTCAGCATTCTAAGTAGCTGGGACTACAAGCAGATGCCACCACTCCCGGCTAATTTTGTTTGTATTTTGTACTGACAAGGTCTCGCTATGTTGCCCAGTCTGGTCTTGAACTCCTGAGCTCAAGCGATCCTCCCGCCTCAGCTTCCTATAGTGCTAGTGTCAGAGTCATTTGAACCAGAACAACTCCATTTTGAATAGAGACTGGGTAAAATAAGGCTGCGACCTACTGGGCTGCATTCCCAGAAGGTTAGGCACTCAAGTCACAGGATGACATAGGAGATCGGCACAAGATACAGGTCACAAAGACCTTGCTGATAAAGCAGGTTGTGGTAAAGAAGCCAGCAAAAACCCACCAAATCCACGATGGCAATGAAAGTGACCTCTGGTCATCCTCACTGCTCATTATATTGCTAATTATAATGCATTAGTATGCTAAAAGACACTGCCACCAGCGCACTGACAGTTTACAAATGCCATGGCAATGTCAGCAAGTACCCTATATGGTCTAAAAAGGGGAGGAACCCTCAGTTACGGAAATTGCCCACCCACTTCCCAGAAAGCTCATGAATAATCTACCCCTTGTTTAGCATATCATCAAGAAGTAACAATAAGTGTAAGCAGCTGAGCAGCCCATGGCGCTGCTCTGCCTATGAAGTAGCCATTCTTTATTCCTTTACTTTCCTTTCTTTTTTTTTTTTTTTTTTTGAGACAGAGTCTCGCTCTGTTGCCCAGGTTGGAGTGCAGTGCCACGATCTCGGCTCACTGCAAGCTCTGCCTCCTGGGTTCACGTCATTCTCCTGGCTCAGCCTCCTGAGTAGCTGGGACTACAGGTGCCCGCCACCACACCCAGCTAATTTTTTGTATTTTTTAGTAGAAATGGGGTTTCATCTTGTTAGCCAGGACGGTCTCAATCTCCTGACCTTGTGATCCGCCCGCCTCGGCCTCCGAAAGTGCTGGGATTACAGGCTTGAGCTACCACGCCTGGCCTGTTCCTTTGCTTTCTTAACAAACTTGCTTTCACATTACTCTGGATTCGCCTTGAATTCTTTCTTGCAAGAGATCCAAGAACCTTCTCTTGGGGTCTGGATCAGGACCCCTTTCCAGTAACACTAGGATTACAGGCATGAACCACCACACCTGGCCTAGAATTGTTTTCATCAAACCAGAATGTAGGACCACTATGTAAAGAGGCAGTGGGGGATCCATGAGGTCCAGGAGTGGAAAGGAAAATGGGAGTTTAAATCTGCTGTGACCATATGTGGGAGCCTGGACTGACATTCTCAAGGAGTACTGCTGACACATTTACTTTCTTCTTTTGTTTCTTTATGCCTGGTGGGAAGGAAGTCCTCCTCCCGGTAGAACTGCCTTTGCAAAAATTATAACAGTGAGACAATTATGGCAGTGAAGGACAGCTGATCTGGCCAACCTCCATCTTACCTTTGGACTTCAGGCTGCCCTTAATTAATCCTAGGCTTAGGCCAAGCTAACTTTGGGAGACATCTAGTTTCTTTTTTTTTTTTTTTCTTTGCAAGAGTCTGCTTTTAATTTTTATTTTATCAAAGAGAATCACTTAAGTCAGTATTCATTTGAGTAATCTGGCTTAAATTAGGGAACAGTCAACACTGGATTGCCATTTTAAGTTTCCAGATTAATACAAAATTAGTGTCAATAGTATAGGTTAAGCTGAAAACTTTTATAGTCAGAAGTACGGTGAGACTCAGTTTTACCTATTAAATCAGTTTTATCTATAAATCTGATTTTGCTGTAAAATCACGCTAATATTACACGCTTCAAAAAACATGCTTTTCCTTTGAGAAACTTTCTACATCTCAGCCGAAATGCCTTAATTTCATAAAATAAATGTTACAATACAAAAATCTTTTGTAAAAATATCAACTATATATGAATTAAAATCAATCTCTTCTTTTGTTAAAAGTTACCTGTAATTAAGAATGTCAGAACAACTGAGCCCCCATTCTAAAGTTTCTGTGGTGAAGTCATCTGTATTTCCTAGGTCAGTAAACCCAACAACATAATCTTGTGTTTTCCCATCTTTTACCAGTGCTAGTATGGGAATGACTTTGATATGCAGTCTCTCACAAAGGAAAGGTGCTTTTTCCACATTCAGCTTCAAAAATTTGGTCTCGAGGTGTTTCTCGGACAATATCGCCAGAAATCTGTCTAGTATTTTACACCTGAATGTGGAGTCTCTGTAGAAATGGCAAACCACTTTTTTACTCTCCTTGACTTCTTGAAAAAAGTCTCTTTCACTAGGGATTTCTCTGTATTCCCCATGTCCTTTGGAAAGCCATTCTTGTTTCTGCTGTTGAGCTTTCCTTAGTGCCTCGAGTCTCTTTTCTTTAATGTGTTCCAATTCATCCTCATCCATCTGATCCAGTTTTTGAATTTCAGAATCCAAATGTTCTTCCACCAGTTTGGTAGTCTGAAGCAGCTGATTCTCCAGGACTTTGGAAAACATGTCAACAGATGCATCAGCTTCCATTCTTCTGAATGGTACAGAGTTCAGCCTGGGTGCTGAGCTCTCGGTGATGCCTGAGAAGTGAAAGAGCAGCAGTTTCAAAAAACAGGTCCACTCCGGCTTTAACCTTGCAGTAGCTGCCAGCGGCTAGGGAGACATCTAGTTTCTAGTTTAATTGATAGCAACCCTTCCCAAAAATTCAACCGCCTTTGTAAAGCTAATGAGAGACCACAAGACTAGGATGATAGAGAAGCCTGAATTCTGCTAAGGTGTAGACATAAATGATTGCCAGCCATTATTCTGGGGATCACAAGATATCCAACTTCCCCAATTACTCCTCCAGATACCATCACTATTGTATAACCTATGATTGGCCTTTGGAGATATCTTTTCAGGTTTTTTGCATGTCACAACCGATGGCTCCACCTGGACTTGGTCACGGTTCCTGTGGCCCCAGCCAGAAGGGGCTCAGTGAGGATGAAGACCATTTGCCACACCCCTATGATTGCGCCCCCAACCAATCAGCAGCAAGCACGATTGCCTAGCTACCCCTTCCCCTAAACTATCTTTGAGAAACCCTAGCCTTTGAATTTCCAGAGAGATCGATTTGAGTAATAACTCTGTCTCCCAAGTGACATGATCAGCCTCGTGTCTATTAAACTCTTTCTTTATTGCAATGCCGTCATCTCAGTGAATTGGTTTTTGTCTGCGCAGGGGGCAGGAAGAACCCACTGGGTGGTTACACCTGGGCAGGTGCTGCTTCCCTGAAGGACCAACTACGCCATGATGAGGAAAAGGGTAGTGTGTGGGTACTTTTCGTTCTGTCCCACCAGATCCACTTTGCTCCCTGCTCTGTGCTTTGGTGAGCTGATCTTCTTGAACTCTATCAGCAAAGATCCCTGGGGTCCTGTGTTGGAATTGGGTTAGGAAAATGGGAGGTAACAGCAGGAGATCAGAGGTTGGGAGAAGAGAGAGGTCACAGTATTGAGTCCCTGGCTCCTTTCCAGCTGGGCTTCAGGTCGGCTGTTTACCTAACTGGTCAGTTTCTTTTCTCAGCTCTTCTCTCTGAGCTTTGTAACCACCCTCAATCTCTTTTGACCTAAAGGTGATATTCTAGCACTGGCATGCCTCAGCATCCCTTATAGGTTTCCCTCAACCCTTTTGTAAATAACCTTTTAGTAATCTCTCCTCCACTGCCCTCTGTAGGTGTAGGATCTGTCTCTTGCGGAAGACTCTAACACAAGTCGTGAGTGCCTATCACCAAGCAAAGGCAGGGCGCAGTCCAGGCATCAGGCCCCTTGGCTCTCACAGTTACCTTTCCACTCGGAGAATAACGCAACCCTGCCCCGCTTTTCTGGCTTTAGATCCTGTGCACAGTTAAGGGCACCTGTGAATGAGCTGCAGGAAGTTTAAAGAATGGATAATTCCCATTAGTGTCATCTCTACCTCTTTGGATTTAAAATATTTATTCAAGAATGAGAAGCTTGATCTCATTCCTGAGAACATCCAATCACATGCCACTGAGAGGGGAAAGCCCCTAGTCAGCAGAAATAAATACAACTTAGTAATTGTATCACCACTAAGCTTTATGACGTGTTCCAAAACATTGAAAAGAGCAGGGATTTCCGGCCCCAGACAAGATGCTCTGTGCCTCTGCAACTGAGATGACAGGTGAAGCCAAGAAACCAAGAGGCTTTGCTGTGCACCTTTAAGTTCGTGTCTCATACCATATGGCTCCCCAGAGTCCACGACACCTCTAATGACCACCTTTTTCTGGTTGAGGAAGCTATATGATCAGCTTTTTGTACTGCTACATTAAAAAAAAAAAAAAAAAGTGGAGCCAGAAGTTCGATGTGGCACAGGGATTGTGAGCACAGGCCAGCATTGAAAAGCAATGGAATCAAGGATTGCATGTGAAAGCACTGAGTGTGGGGCCTGGGTTTCAGAGCTGCTTTTCCCCCATCAGCACAACCTGATGGAAGCCTGGTCTTTGTAGAAGGAAGCAAGGGACTCCTAATCTCCTTTTAGAAAAGTGCCACTTTCTAGGTTGTTTCTACCCTCCCTCCCTCCCTCTCCTCTTTTCTTCCTTCCTTCATCTCTCTCAACCAGAGTTCTCACAAGCAGCAATATCAATAGATTTATTTTCTTTTCCTTTTCCAGCCTAGCACTGAAGATGCCAATAAATATAAATAAAAATGGGCCAGGTGCAATAGCTTATGCCTGTAATCCTAGCACTTTGGGAGGCCAAGGCGGGTGGATCACCTGAGGTCAGGGGTTCGAGACCAGCCTGGCCAGCATGGCGAAACCCTGTCTCTACTAAAAATACAAAAAAAAAATTAGCCAGACATGGTGGCGGGTGCCTGTAATCCCAGCTACTCAGGAGGCTGAGGCAGGAGAATCGCTTGAACCCGGGAGGCGGAGGTTGCAGTGAGCCGACATAACACCACTGCACTCCAGCCTGGGTGACAAGAGCAAGACTCCGTCTCAAAAAATAATAAATAAATAAAAGCCATTCAATAAAGTTCATCTATGTGATAGTCAAAATAATGGGCGCCTTCAGGTGGTAAAGAGAGAGATGGGGAGTGTGTGTGTGCTTGCATGCATGTGTGTAAAATTGCCAAGCTTCACACCAGATTTTTGCACTTTGCTGTATGTAGATTATATCCCAGTTTCTTTTTTAGAATTGGAAGAGACAACCTACCTGATAGTGATACTGTGAATTAAAAAGTGTCTCCTTCTACTCCTAGCTCCACCACGGAGCTCCCTTACACATTGCTGATCACTGCCTGAAACTCCAGTGTGAGATCTACTTGATAGAATGAAAAAAATAATAATTATAAAGCCACAGGAAGTTGCAAAATAAACATACAGGGAAGTCCTATGCTCACTTCTTCTCCCCTAATATTAGCATGTTTCATAACTATAGTACAATATCAAAACCATGAAACTGACATTGCTACAGCCATGGACCTTACTCAGATTTCATCAACTACACTTGCACTCTTCTGTGTGAGTGTGTTTATGGGTCTATGCAATTTTATCACATGTGCATATTCATGTAGCCACCACCACACTCAAGATACAAAACTATTCCATTATCACATTTGATAAAATTTTAATAGGAGAAAAAGTCGTATTTGCAGTCCTCTCCCAACCCCCCTAAAAGAGAAAAGTCCCCTGCTGTATTTACTGTTCTTTTTTGAGGCAGAGTCTCACTCTGTCCCCCAGGCTGGAGTGCAGTGGTGTGATGTCGGCTCACTGCAACCTCCGCCTCCCGGGTTCAAGCGATCCTCCTGCCTTAGCCTCCTGTGTAGCTGGGACTACAGGCATGTACCACAAAGCCTGGCTAATTTTTTTGTATTTTTAATGGAAACGGGGTTTTGCCGCACTGGACAGGCTGGTCTCGAACTCCTGAGCTCAAGTGATCCGCCTGCCTCAGCCTCCTAAAGTGCTGGGATTACAGGCATGAGTCACTGTGCCTGGCCACCTGTTCTTTATTATGCTGAGTGGAGTGATGATTAGAAGAATAAGAGACATCTTGCTTCCCTGATGACTGTTACTGACCTAGAGATGGCTGTGCAACCTGACTGGGCATTCGGCCCACACAGACTGAGCAGAGGATAAAGAGTCTGTGGTTGGGAGAGACATTTTCCCTCCCTCTCTCTCTGCCTCACTCTTACACCCCTCTGTTTCTCCAGGTAAACCTCAATAAGGAAGCACTATAGTCTCTGATGATTTGGGCAGATATCTTACAGCCTAGGGAAAACCAACCTTAGGATGAAGCTAAGGACACCTCAGTGAAGGGGAGGAAGAAGCCTGAGATCTTAACGGTATCTTGAAAAGCTGATTCACACAGTTACTGGAGCCCATCCTTACTCTAGACTTACAGCGAGACAGTGAAATCTCTCATGGTTTTAGTCCATTTAAGTTAGGGTTTTCTGTATTTTTCAGCCAAAAGCAAGATAACTGAAGCGTATCTACAAAAATCCTACAGCTAACATCATACATAATGGTGAAAGACTGAATGCTTTCCCCCTAAGATCAGGAACAAAGCAAGAATCCCCTCTCACTACCTCTATTCAATATCATACTAGAGGGTCTAGCCCAGGTAATTTAGTAACAAAAAGAAATAGAAGGCAGCCTGACTGGAAAAAAAGAAGTAAAACTATCTCTATTCAAAGATGACATGGGCCAGGAGTGGTGGGTCATGCCTGTAATCCCAGCTTGAGGTCAGGAGTTCAAGACCAGCCTGGCCAACACGGTGAAATGCCATCTCCACTAAAAATACAAAAATTAGTTGGGCAGGTGGTGGGCATCTATAATCCCAGCAACTCAGGAGGCTGAGGCAGGAGAATTGCTCAAACCCAGGAGGCAGAAGTTGCAGTGAGCCAAGATTGTGCCACTGCACTCCAGCCTGAGCAGCAGAGCAAGAGTGTCTCAAAAAAATACCACAAAGATGACATGGTCTCTCGTACATAAAAAATTCTAATAAAAACAAATACACAACACACACAAAAACACTAATAAATATGTTCAATAAGGTTGGAGGATACAAGATCAATATACAAAAATCAGTTGTATTTCTGTACACTAGCAAAAACAATCCACAAATGAAATTAAGAAAACAATTTAATTTACAATAGCACCAAATAGGATAAACTACCTAGGAATAAATCTAACAAAAGAAGTGCAAGATTTGTACACTGACAACTGCAAAGTGTTGTTGAAAAAAATTAAAGAAGACCTCAATAAATAGACATTTATGGTTATGGATCAGAACACTTAATATTGTTAAGATGGGCCAGGCGCGGTGGTACACGCTTGTAATCCCAACACTTTGGGAGGCCAAGGCGGACGGATCACTTGAGCTCAGGAGTTCGAACCCAGCCTAGGCAACATAGTGAAACCCCATCTCTAGCAAAAATACAAAAATTAGCTGAGCATGGTGGCATGCATCTGTGGTTCCAGCTACTCAGGAGGCTGGGGCAGGAGGATAGCTTGAGCCTGGGAAGCAGAGGTTGCAGTGAGCTGAGATCGCACCACTGCACTCCAGCCTGGGTGACAGAGTGAGACTCTCTCTTGAAAAAAACAAACAAACAAACAAACAAAAATATATATATATATATAGTTAAGATGGCAATAATCTCCAAATTGACCTACAGATTCAATGCATTCTCAATCAGAATCCCAGCTCCCATATGCAGAAATTGACAAGCTGATCCTAAAACTTTGTGGAAATTCAAGAATAGCCAAAACACCCTTGAAAAAAAAAGCAAAGTTGAAAGATTCATATTTTCTGATTTTAAAACTTACTACAAAGCTATAGTAATCTAGACAATGCAATACTGGCATAAAGACAGACATATAAATCAATGAAATTGAATTGAGAGTCCAGAAATAAAACCTTATGTTTATGGTCAACTGGTTTTCAACAACTGCCAAGACAATTCAATGGGTAAAGAATAGTCATTTCAACAGATGGTGCCGTGACAAATGGATATTCACATGCAAAAGAATTAAGTTGGGGCCGGGTGCGGTGGCTCACGCCTGTAATCCCAGCACTTTGGGAGGCCGAGGCGGGCGGATCACAATGTCAGGAGATCAAGACCATCCTGGCTAACATGGTGAAATCCTGTCTCTACTAAAAATACAAAAACTTAGCCGGGAGTGGTGGCATGTGCCTGTAGTCCCAGCTACCCCAGAGGCTGAGGCAGGAGAATCGCTTGAACCTGGGAGGCGGAGCTTGCAGTGAGCCAAGATCGCACCACTGCACTGCAGCCTGGGTGACAGAGCGAGACTCCGTCACAAAAAAAAAAAAAAAAAAAAAAAGAATTAAGTTGGACCCCTACATCACACCATATAAAAATATTAACTCAAAATTGATCAAAGACCTACATAGAAGAGCTAAAACTATAAAATGCTAAAAAAGAAAGCAGGTGCACATGTTCATGACCTTGGATTTGGCAATTTCTTAGCTATGATATCAAAAACACAACTAACAAAAGAAAAAATAGATAAATTAAACTCATCAAAATGTAAAACTTTTGCGAGTCAAAGGATACTATCAAAAAAGTGAAAAGAAAACCCACAGAATGAGAGATAATATTTACAAATTACATATCTGATAAAAGACTTGTATCTAGAATATATAAAAATTTCTTATAATGCAGCAACAAAAAGACAACCCAATCAGAAGATGGGCAAATGATTTGAACAGATATTTCTGTTCAACAAGCTACACAAGTGGCCAAGAAGCACATGAAAAGATGCCCAGCATCATTAGTCATTTGGGAAATGGAAAATGCAATCTAAACCACAATAAGACACTTCACATCCATTAAGCTGACCATTATCTAAAAGATGGACAATAACAAGTATTGACAAGAATGTGCCTTCCTCAAAACTCTCTACCAGGCCAGAGACTCATGCCTCTAACCTCAGCACTTTGGGAGGCTGAGGTGGAAGGATCACTTGAAGCCAGGAGTTTGGGACCAACCTGTGCAACAAAGTGAGACCACTGTCTCTACAAAAGAAAAAATAAATAAATAATTAGCCAGGCATGGTGGTCCACACCTGTAGTCCCAGCTACTCAGGAGGCTGAGAAGAGAGGATCCCTTGAACCCAGGAGTTTGAGGCTGCATTGAGCTGTGATGACACCACTGCACTCCATCCTGGGCAATAGCAAGACCACATCTCTTACAACAAAAACAAAACACAACAAAAACTCCCTATCAAAAAATCTAAAATTTCTGTTCCTCCTTAGGAAAATTCGGGCTTTACCTACAAAGAGAGAGCTCAATTCCTGGAGTGGTTCACTTGTCCACAGTCAGTGCATAAAACTTTTAGTTTGGAAATGCATCTTGTGGTGTGGGAGCTGCAGTGTGCACCTCAGTGCCCCCTGGAATGAAGGACTTAGTCTCCCAGCTGCTAGAAGTGTGGCCAGAAGACAGCTCTCATAGGTCAGCTCTCTTTGGGGATTGCCTCTGATGATAAAAAACTGCCTTGCCTAAAGTGAAACCTGTTTCCAGGGATGGCCCACATTCAGTGACTAATTAACACAGGGTATAAAGGCCCGACCTCCTCCCTCCTACTTAGAGCAACTTTGCAGGACTTCTGTTCCAGATCTCCCCATGGGGTTGACTGAAGCCTTCCGTTGGGTCTGCACCACAACTCATCTTCTCTGTTTGTGCAGTCCTTCTTCCTTTCCTTCCCTTCCACAGGTGTGGAATACTTCCCTCATTCGTTGCAAAAAAATTTTTTCCTTCTCTGTAAAAGGGAGTAATCTCTTCAAAGCATTGTGGATTAAATGCATTAGTGTACTTGGAGGCACTGAGGGCAGTTTCCAGCACATGGGGTAAGAGCAGTACTTCCCGGAATAACAGAGAGAGTATTCCTGAATAGCAACTTCCTTTGTTATACCAGAAGGAACTCCCAGACTCTGAATGGCTAAGGTTCTGCAGTTTCTCTCTGTGGGAGGAGGGTTGCTAATTCTTTCATCCTCATTTGAGACATTGACCTGCCTGTGTGGGCGGGGCTATCCCCTGTAAATACGTCAGAATATTCTCTGTGCTCTGTGATAATGCACATTACATTACTCCACGACAGAACCTATTGCAACACCACCATACAGGTATGTGCCTTATGAATCTTGAAAAGGGTGGATTGTGGTTCATAATGTTTCCTAGGTTTAAATTCATTCCCCTGCCTTTGTTGTTTTTTTTTGTTTTGTTTTGAGATGGAGTCTCACTCTATGGCCCAGGCTTGAGTGCAATGGCGTGATCTCAGCTTGTTGCAACCTCCACCTCCTGGGCTCAAGCCATTCTCCTGCCTCAGCCTCCCAAGTAGCTGGGATTACAGGCCTGCGCCACCACGCCCGGCTAATTTTTTGTATTTTTAGTAGAGCGGAGGGTTTCACCATATTGGCCAGGCTGGTCTCCAACTCCTGACCTCAAGTGATCCACCTGCCTCAGCCTCCCAAAGTGCTGGGTTTACAGGTGTGAGCCGCCATGCCCTGCCTTAGTTTTTTAATCAAACTAGGAACTATCTCTTGAATGTTTTCCTGCTGAACATGTTCTTGGAAACTCTGATCTCTTCAACATAATTATGTTAATTTAGGAAGATATTTTCCCAAAAGTAACAGCAGGCTAGGAGTTAAATAGAGCGTGCTGGTCAGTAGTTTGTGGCCATGACACTAATAGTCACAGCTACTCTTCATCGAGCACCTACTACGTGCCAAGCACTGTGCTAAGAGCTTTGTAAACATCACCTCATTAAACTCTCAAGGCCATGGTGCCTCATGCCTGTAATCCCAGTATTTTGAGAGGCTGAGGTGGGTGGATCTCTTGGGCCCAGGAGTTTGAGACCAGCCTGGGCAACATAGTGAAACCCTCTCTCTACAAAAAAAATAGGCAGGCGTGGTGGCACACACCTGTAGCCCCAGCTACTTGAGAGGCTGAGGTAGGAGAATCTCTTGAGCCCGGGAGGTTGATGCTGCAGTGAGCCATGATCATGCCACTGCACTCCAGCCTGAGCAACAAAGTGAGAGCCTGTCTCAAAAAAAAAAAAAAAAAAAAAAAAAAAGCTGGGCACAGTAGCTCATGCCTGTAATCCTAACACTTTGGGAGGCCAAGGTGAGATTGCTTGAGGCCAAGAGTTGAAGACCAACTTGGCCAACATAGACCCTGTAGCTGTTTTTTTTTAATAAATAAAAATAGGTTTACACAAGGTTACACAAGTCAACAAGTAGTGGAGTCAAGATTCAAATCCAGGCTGGGCGCAGTGGCTCACACCTGTAATCCCAGCCCTTTGGGAGGCCAAGGCAGGTGGATCACCTGAGGTCAGGAAATCGAGACCAGCCTGTCCAACATGGTGAAACCCCGTCTCTACTAAAAATACAAATATTAGCTAGGCATGGTGGCGCATGCCTGTAGTCTCGGTTACTCGGGAGGCTGAGGCAGGAGAATTGCTTGAACCCAGGAGGTGGAGGTTGTAGTGAGCCGAGATCGTGCCACTGCACTTGTCTGGGAAAGAGTGAGACTCTGTTTCAAAAAAAAAAAAAAAAAAAAAATTCAAATCCAGATCTGTCTGACTCTGAAGTTCATGAACGTGAATTTCTGGTTTGAACAAGACGGGATACAGGTAGCATTTATCATCTTCTCTTCCTGGAAATTAGCCAAAAAACAAAAAGATAGAGATGCAAAGACAAAATTCTTTTTCCTAGAAAGTAGATACAGTCTATTCCCCCAAAATTTATATATTGAAATCCTAACCTCTAACGGGATGGTATTAAGAGGTGGGGCCTTTGGGGGTGATTAGATCATGAGGGCAAAGCCTTTATAAACGGGATTTATAAAGCAAGCCCGAGGGAACTCATTTCTTCCTACCACCACGTGAGAACACGGCAAGAAGACAGCAACTATGAGCCAGAAAGCGGGCCCTCGCCAGACATCAAATCCAATGGCACCTTGAACTCGGCCTTCCAAGCTCCAGAACTATGAGAAATTTCTGTTATTTATAAGCTACCCAGTTCACAGCATTTTGTTATAGGAGCCCAAATGGACTCAGACAGTAGGAAATAGATAAAACCCAGGTCCCCAATTACTTGAAAGGGCTGCCGAAAGCAATAAAGATCAAGCAAGGGGGCAAGTGGGAGGAAGCAGAGAAGCAGAGAAAAGAGCCTATAGCCAGAAGACACAATGGCTCGTGTGTGTGTGTGTGTGTGTGTGTGTGTGTGTGTGTGTCTTACGCCTGTAATCTCAGCATTTTGAGAGGCCGAGATAGGAGGATCACTTAAGCCCAGGAGTTCAAGACCAGCCTGGGCAACATAGAGCGACCTCATCTCTACAGAAACTTTTAAAACTTAGCTGGGTATGGTGGCGTGCACCTGTAGTCCCAGCTACTGGGGAGACTGAGCCGGGAGGATTGCTTCGTCTTAGGAGTTCAGGGCTGCAGTGAGCTATGATGGCACCACTGAACTCCAGCCTGGGTGACAGAGCGAGACACAGTCTCTAAAAAAAAAAAAGAGAGAGAGAATTCTTGTCATATTTACCTACAGTAATCATTCTTTGGCAGGATATATATCTTATGTATACTGTAAACCAAAGGTACAGGCCTAGGCCTTTCCCACCAGAGATGACAAATAATGCTACATTTCCCTCTCATTGCCAAATTCTATTAGCTTAAGCCCTCAGTTAGCTTGCTTTGTCACTGGAAATCCCTGGAAAATGCTAACTTGTATCTGAAATCCATCCCAGTTGCCCCCTGCGTGGTCAGCAATGATCAATCCATCTTAAGCCACCCTGGACCACCGTGTGCTCTGTCATAACCCTGCCCTGGAGGTTTCTTTTTGTTTTGTTTTGTTTTTTGTTTTGAAGCAGAGTCTTGCTCTGTTGCACAGGCTGGAGTGCGGTGGTGCAATCTCGGCTCACTGCAACCTCCACCTCCTGGGTTCAAGCAAGTCTCCTGCCTCAGCTTCCCTAGTAGCTGGGATTATAGGCGCCCACCGCCACGCCAGGCTAATTTTTGTATTTTTAGTAGACACAAGGGTTTCGCTATGTTTGCCAGGCTGGTCTTGAACTCTTGACCTCAAGTGATCCACCCGCCTCAGCCTCCCAAAGTGCTGGGATTACAGGCATGAGCTACCGTGCCTGGCCTGCCCTAGAGGTTTCTATTATAAAATACCGTCCCTCTGGGGGCTGCTGCTGTCCCCTGTACTGCTTCATTCCAACCAGACACAAACCTTCCCCTTATTTCCACAGTACTAACTAAAACTGGGCTGTGATGTTTCACAGAGATTCTTTAGAAGCTTCTGGTTAACATAAGGGAATTGTAACACAGACCTAGAAACTTCACAGGTCTATGACTTCCCACAGCAATCCCTTGTGGAACACAGCTTTGCTTAAACCTCAGCCTGTAGTAAAGGCACTGAATCATGCCTTTAGGTATGTAGCAAAGGCACTGAACTTCACTTCTTCCCTAACCTCATGGGTGAGTCTTTGTGTACATCTTCTCTTCTAAGGGTCCAGGCCCGAGGAGAGGAAGGATTTGCCCACTCATGCCAGCATAAGGCCTCCTTCCAACAGCCTCATTTCGCATTTCAGGACCTACCTTATCCCAGGATGACTGACAGCAGAAATGGCCCATCCCTGACCAGCAGGGCTAACCTTGCCCCAGCTGGGATGAACAGTTTCTCAAGACATCCAGGTAGCTCAGTATTTTATAGGATCGTAGTCTAACACCGGGTTAAACACAGAAAACCCAATCCAGGTTATTTTTTAGAATCTCCTTTAATTGAAAGGGACAACCCTCCAGCTATTTTTGGGTCTTGTTTCTTGATCTCTTGTAACTGTTTGCATGGTAATATGTGTGTATACTTTTACCAAAAACAAGAAATAATATATTGTGTATACCTTTACATAGTTTAGCTCCTTAGACCATGCATATCAAACCCATTCAATCTAGACGGTGTGGTAGCCAGTCTCTGAAGACAGCCCAAAATGAGCCACATCTCCTGGTATTAAATCGTTACGTGGTCTTCTCACACAGAATCTGGGCTAACCTCATGATTCACTCATCCAGTAGAACGTGGCAGACATGACATTATACTAGTTCTAGGCCTAAGCCTAAAGAAAGCTTCTGTTTTTGTACTTTTAAAAACCCTGAAGCGGCCGGGAGCAGTGGCTCATGCTTGTAATCCCAGCACTTTGGAAGGCTGAGGTGGGTGAATCACCTGAGTTCAGGAGGTCAAGACCAGCCTGGCCAATATAGTGAAACCCCGTCTCTACTGAAAATACAAAAATTAGCTAGGCTTGGTGGTGTGCCCCTGTAATTCCAGCTACTCAGGAGGCTGAGTCAGGAGAATAGCTTGAACCCAGGAGGCAGAGGTTGCAGTGAGCTGAGATCACACCATTGCACTCCAGCCTGGGTGACAGAGTGAGACTCCCTCTCAAAAAAACAAAAACAAAAACCAAACCCTGAAGCAGCATGGAAGACATCAGGCTACCCTACCAAAGAGACCACATAGAAAGAGAGGTCAGTCACATGGAGAGAGGTCCCAGCCCCCAGTCATCCTTGCCAAGGCTGCAGACATATGAATCATGCCATCTTGAAGGTCCCAGCCATGCCACCATCTGACTGCCTTATTCAGCCACTATATTTGGAGTGCCTTATTAGGTGACTATAGATAGCTGAAATAGAGCGTGTTGTCCTACATGAAATTCACAGAGAAAAAGGATAGGCTACCCCAAAGATGAGCTTTCTACCTCTCATCTCTTATCTGCTTAAAGTTGTGTATTAGTCCATTCTCACACAGCTATGAAGAACTACCTAAGACTGGGTAATTTATAAAGGAAAGGGGTTTAATTGACTCACAATTCCGCATTGCTGGGGAGGCCTCTGGAAACTTACAATCATGGTGGAAGGCAAAGGAGAAGCAGATACCTTCTTCACAAGGCTGCAGGATAGAGTGAGTGCAAGCAGGGAAAATGCCAGACACTTATAAAACCATCAGATCTCAAGAGACTCGCTCACTATCATGAGAACAGCATGGGGGACACAGCCCTCATGATCTAATGGCCTCCACCTGGTCTTGTCCTTGACATGTGGGGATCATGGGGATTATGAGGATTACAATTCAGGATGAGATTTTGGGTGGGGACACAGCCAAGCCATATCAACTTGTAAAATATTTTTTTCCCTTTTGATACTTCAGATATGTTAGGACTCATTTATAACGAATGTTCAAGTCCAAGTACCATCACTTTCTAGTCCCCTTAGCAGACTCAGTGTAGCTCAAAGCCTTCACAGGAGAGTTTAGCCCTGAAGTTAGGGCCATAGGAGACCTCCTTCTTCCTTCCACTTATAACTCCAAGGGTCACAGCCTTTCTCCATTAAAGGAAGCAAGTGGACATAATTTTGCTTCCTCTAATGAAGAAATGACACAAGCCGACATAGTTAAAGTAAACAAATGTAGTTAGGAAAGAGCACGCGTTACATTAAATGTTTTGCAAGGGTGAAAAAGATAAGAAAATACATACACAGAGACAAGAGATTTGAAAATATTCCATATGGGTTTGGAATAAAATGTAAACATAGTAAAATGCAATATATTGCACACCTAAATTTAAATTATAATTTTGTTCTAATCTGACTTTACAACATGGCATTTGGTATAAGACAAGCCCATCTTGGCCACCGCCTAAGGGAAATAGTCACTGGGGCAATGGTTACACCATATGGCTGTCTTACCTAAAATATGTTCTTACGACTTAGAGCAAAAGGATATTATTTCATCTCCACTTGTCCAAATAAATACATGTATAGCCAATTCCTAATTACCCAAGTGCAGTAGCAACGGGATATCGTATGTTGCTGTCAAATTGTCTTCTGCCAGTTAGCTGCTTCTCATTATCATTAGATGCATCATCTTGGTCTTCATAATGGGCTTCTACTTCTGGCTCACAGCTCACCAAGTCTATAGGAAGAGGCTGGGCACAGTGGCTCATATTTGGGAGGCTTAGGTGGGTGGATCACTTAAGGTCAGGAGTTTGAGACCAGCCTGACCAACACGGTGAAACCCTGTATCTTCTACAAATAAAAAAATTAGCTGGGCATGGTGGCATGCACCTGTACTCCCAGCTACTTGGGAGGCTGAGGTGGGAGGATCTCTTGAACCTCAGAGGTGGAGGTTGCAGTGAGCCGAGATCGCACCATTGCACTCCACCCTGGGCAACAGAGTAAGACTCCACCTCAAAACAAAACAAAACAAAAATTAGCTGGGCATGGTGGCAGGCACCTGTAGTCCCAGCAACTTGGGAGGCTAAGGCAGGAGAGTCCCCTGAACCCAGGAGGTGGAGCCAAGATTGTGCCACTGCACTCCAGCCTGGGCAACAGAGGGAGACTCCATTTCAAATATATATATATATATATATATATATATATATATATATATATATATATATATATATATATATATGTAGAGAGAGAGAGAGAGAGAGAGAAAATAGGTATCTGTTCATTCAACCATTCATTCATTCAACAAATATTCAGTGAGTACCAGTTATAGGACAGATACTCTTCAAAACACTCGGAACTCAGTTCTAGCTGTCCTATCACTGCTGCAACTATTATAGAGCATTTTTTAGTCTACAAAGTTATTTCTCCTGATGTGTTAAATTGGTCACCAAACCCTTAAAACTCTCAAAGAAGATAAAGCTATTTTCCACCATCCATAAAGATTGGAAGATTTGTTTTCCTAACTTTAGCACCATGTAATGATGGTTATTGTGGCCCCAAATTGTTTCTAATGTAAAGAATGATAGTGACATCTCTGCAAAGAGAGAGGCCTAATAGAAGTTTCTCATCAATAAGTGGTCATAAATGCAGGTGATGATGCCATTACAAAAACACCACTTATGAGTAATAAAATGCACTTGAAATCTAAGTACTCTTCTCAATAACAGAAATGACACAAGCTGACATAAATAAGTGACCAGTGTGTTGTGATAACAAGTGTTTTATAAATACCTACTTATATCATATTAAACTTGGGTGGGAAATGGTGGTGGGGCAGCTACACTCACATATGTTCCTTTCTAGTTCCTGAGTACTTCCCGGAATTTTTTTCACGAGGTGGTCAGTTTCTTGCTCCATGCCTCAGGACAATGTGCAAATTTCCTTAGGCGGACCTGCTAAATTATTGAATAGACCCAGGCAAATGATATACCAAATATTTGATTAGTACCAAGAAAAGCATTTGAACACACAGCAATATTTTCTAAAAATAGATAAATTCTAGAAGCTCCAGGGCTAAAAAAACAAAAGGATAGTGTGAATTTCTTACATTTAAAATGTAGGCATTAGCATTGTATTTGCCAAAATGTGGTTGTCTATTTTCATGTGTGAAAAATAACGACCAGGCACAGTGGCTCACACCTGTAATCCCAGCACTTTGGGAGGCCGAGGCAGGCGGATCACAAGGTCAGGAGATCGAGACCATCCTGGCTAACATGGTGAAACCCCGTCTCCACTAAAACTACAAAAAATTAGCCGAGTGTGGTGGTGGGCACCTGTAATTCCAGCTATTCAGGAGGCTGAGGCAGGAGAACTGCTTGAACCCGGGAGGCGGAGCTTGCAGTGAGCCGAGATAGTGCCACTGCACTCCAGCCTGGGCAAGAAAGCGAGACTTGGTCTTAAAAAAAAAAAAAAAAGAAAGAAAGAAAGAAAAATAACGTGAACGCATTTGATATGAGGAGCTGCATGATACTAGTCATTTGAAATGTGTCCCTCAGAGGCTATATCTAGCAGTCAAGAAATTTAAGATCTACTTTTGTTTTTCAGTCTGAAGCAAAGTTAGCAAGTGTTGAAAGCTGTTAATTTTAGAGATGATGGAAAAATGATGAAAAAGAAAATGAGAATGCCCTGTTTTCCTATGACTTCAAAGAATCCTATAGACATAACTCCATTCATCTAAGAGAATAACTCTACTAATTATGTTATACATATTATATATAATTATATTGTTATATATAATAAACTAATGTCTTAGTTGCTTGTTTTATAGAAAGAGAGTTCAGGCCTTGGGAAAAGAATTGAGCAAAAGTGGAAAAACCAGAAAGAAACTTTTATATCTTCTAACTCTTTGGCTTAGATAATAGCTTCTTTGTAACTTGAGACACATTTTCCTCCTGTTCTAACTGGTTCAGTGGATTGTGAGCTCCTAGAGAGTGGGAATGTATCTTTTTTTTTTTCTCCCCCTAGTTTCCATGTCACTCTTGGAAACTCTCAGCTCACTTTCCAATCTTTTTCCAGTAAGCTTCTCTTCTATTAGATACTTCTTAAGTCTTGCAGTTATTGGTCCCTCCTTGGCCCACTTCCTTCCTTTTTTTAAATTGAGACTGAGTCTCACTATGTTGCCCAGGGTGGTCTCTAACCCCTAGGCTCAAGCAATCCTCCTGCATCGGTCTCTCCAGTAGCTGGAATTACAGGCACGCACCACCACACCCAGCTCCTTTTTTTTTGAAACAGA
Source organism: Homo sapiens (assembly GCF_000001405.40). NCBI lineage: Eukaryota > Metazoa > Chordata > Mammalia > Primates > Hominidae > Homo > Homo sapiens. The sequence goes on from NC_000004.12 coordinate 56,777,486, forward strand.
GTCTCACTCTGTCTCCCAGGCTACAGTGTGTGGCACAATCTCAGCTTACTGTAACCTCCACTTCCCAGGTTCAAGCAATTCTCCTGCCTCAGCCTCCCGAGTAGCTGGGATTACAGGCGTGTGCCACCACACCTGGCCAATTTTTGTATTTTCAGTAGAGACGGGGTTTCACCATGTTGGCTAGGCTAGTCTCGAACTCCTGACCTCAGGTTATCCACCCATCTTGGCCTCCCAAAGTGCTGGGATTACAGGAGAGAGCCACATGCCCAGCCTAAATTTTAGCTCATATAGTGGAGGTGTTAGCGCATCTCAATGAGACTATCGGACACTTTCGGTTTTGGTATCTGCTGCCACCTCCCGCTAGCTACTCCTATCAGAGTAGTAGTGATGATGGTCCGTGTTCACTGCCCTCAGCATAGGGTTGGTAGAGAAAAAATGCAGGCAAGAAAGGATAGTTTACTTAGTTTTTCTATTTAAAAGTAGACTGTGAGGCTGGGCGCAGCGCGGTGGCTTATGCCTGTAATCCCAGCACTTTGGGAAGCCAAGGCAGGCGGATCACCTGAGGTCAGGGGTTAAAGACCAGCCTGGCCAACATGGCGAAACCCAGTCTGTACTAAAAATACAAAAAGATAGCCGGGCATGGTGGCAGGAGCCTGCAATTCCAGCTACTTAGGAGGCTGAGGCAGGAGAATCACTTGAACCCAGGAGGCAGAAGTTGCAGTGAGCTGAGATTGCACCATTGCACTCCAGCCTGGGCGACAAGAGGGACACTCCATCTCAAAAAAAAAAAAAAAAAAATGTAGACTGTGAAACTCATTCCAGAAGCAGTAGCCTAAAGGAAAATATATTTAGTCTAAAAATCCTTTCTTTCAAGCATAAGAATCTGGCTTTTGAACATCAGAAGCTAAAATCCCAAAGAATTTAGAGCAGTAAAGTATTTCTATAATCAATGAGTTTGGAAGAAGACATGCTCATGTAAGAGTTTGCCCCACTCTAGGTAGGGCATGGTGGCTCACACTTGTAATCCCAGCACTTTGGGAGGCCAAGGCGGGTGTGGTTTTGGGTGCCTGTAATCCCAGCTACTCAGGAGGCTGAGGCAGGACAATCGCTTGAACCCAGGAGGCGGAGGTTGCAGTGAGCTGAGATCGCACCACTGCACTCCAGCCTGGACAACACAGCAAGATTCTGTCTCAAAAAAAAAAAAAGTTTGCCTCACTCTAGAGGATATAAAGATCCCCTGACAGGGTGGAGGAACAGAAATAATTCCAATAAGTATCCTATCTTGCACCATTCCAAGTCTACAGAGGAGCAAGGGGAAATAAAAGACATTCCAGATTGTCTGGGGTCTCCAAAGTGGAGGGAATCTGTTGCTAAACATCAGTCTCCACCAGGCACGTGGCTCATACATGCAATCCCAGTGTTTTGGGAGGCCGAGGTGGGAGGATTGCTTGAAGTTAGGAGTTTGAGACCAGCCTGGGCAACATAGTAGGATCCCATCCCTACAAAAAATAAAACAATTAGCCAGACCAGGTGGCACGTGCCTGTAGTCTCAGCTAATCTCAGGAGGCTGAGAAAGGAGGATGGCTTGAGCCCAGAAGGTGGAAGCTGCAGTAAGACATAATCTGCCACTGCACTCCAGCCTGGGCAATAGAACAAGACCCTGTCCCAAAAAGATAAAATAAAACAAAAGTCAGTCTCATATAGGCTTCTTGCATCCAGCATGGGCTGGGCATAGGTCATAAATGTTGAAGCCAAGAGCACATGAAACTGCCCCACTACCCTACCTATATCCTTCTAATCAGGTGAACAAGCAGCCAAATATTTCCCATTCCCTGGGAGATGTGTGAAGGCAACTGAGAGAGCAGATGACTTAGGATTAGGAAGAAGGAACATGGCAACAGATAATCCCCTGGACATTCTGACCAGAGATCTGATGAGAAAATAAACATCTCAAGAGATTCCAGTGAGAAAGACGAAGAACAACCAAAGGTCAGATAAAATGTGGCCATTGAGGCCGGGCATGGTGGCTCAGGCCTATAATCCCAGCACTTTGGGAGGCTGAGGCAGGAGGATCACTTGAGCCAGAAGTCCAAGACCAGCCTAGATAACATATCAAGACCCCTATCTCTAATTTTAAAATCAACATTTATTAAAATAAATAAATATATAAGAATGTGGCCATTGAGCTCTTGACACCACCTAGTCTCTCCCCGACCGCACCAGGATGCATCAACATAGCACTCAGAATTGAGATGCAACCCTGCGGTGAAGAGGAGAGAGGCAAGAGTTTGATTGGCTGAGAAAGCCCTATTGGCTAAAGATTACATTTCTGCCACTAGGCAGAATGGGGACTCAAGCTGAAAGTCAAGTTTATTAAGCTAGGCACAGTGGTGTGCACATTTAATCCCAACTACTTGCGGAGGCTGAGGTGGGAGGATTGCTGGAGCCCAGGGGTTAGACATTAGCCTGAGTAACATAGTGAGATCCCATCTCAAAAAATAATAGTAAGAATAATCAAGTTCACTTAGAACAAAAATTAGAAAAGCTTTGTTTCTTGCATACCCAAGTATGTGTATTGAAATTTGTTCAAGATACACTAGTTTTTATCTGTTCACATGACTGTCTACCCACTGGGCTATAAACTCATCAATGGTAGGGACTGTGTCTTTTCATCTCTGAATCCCCAGCACATATCATAAAGACTGAAACAGAGGCTAAATGTATGTTCAGTGGATTCAGCCACTTGATGCCCATGCAAGCATGACATATCCAATGTTGCCAAACACCCTGGGTGGGTAAGCTAATCCATGAGCCCAATCTATTTAGCCAGAGCTCCATATGCATTTTGGACAGAGAAGAGGAGATAGTGGGGGCGGTGGGGAGGCAGCCCGTGGGAAATCCCAGGAGATGCCTTTGTGTAATCATCACTAGAAATTATAAGCTTATAAAACCACGGAGAATTTTTTCAGGGCTGGAAGAATCTCTGTAGGATCTAACCCAAAACAAAGTCAGGCATTTTTGCTCCAAAGCCTGTAGACAGGGCTGGTTTTAGAGCAGGTGGATTTTACCTTTGCCTCCAAGTGTGATTTTAAAGGCCCAAGCAGCTCCCTGCAAATCTTCCCCATCTGCTGTTGCAGGGTCCTACCTGGTATTCCACTTTAAATACTCCTTCCATTTCTTTAACCTGAAATCTTATTCTTTGCTAAAATGGAGACCGATTTGAGAAAAGAAATATTTTGAGTTACTATCAGCCTTTTATCCTTTGACCTAACCAAAAGAGCACAGAAATTTTTTTTTTTTTTTAGACGCCAGAGTCTCACTCTGTTGCCCAGGCTGGAGTGCAATGACGCAGTCTCAGCTCACTGCAACCTCTGCCTCCCGGGGTTCAAGCGATTCTCCTGCCTCAGCTTCCTGAGTAGCTGGGATTACAGGTGCCCACCGCCAGGCCCTGGCTAATTTTTGTATTTTTAGTAGAGACGGAGTTTCACCATGCTGGCGAGGCTAGTCTCTAACTGCTGACCTCGTGATCCGCCCGCCTTGGCCTGCCAAAGTGCTGGGATTACAGGCATGAGCCACCGCACCCAGCCCAAGCGGAGGAATTTTTTTTTTTTTTTTTGAGACGGAGTCTCGCTCTTTCGCCCAGGCTGGAGTGCGGTGGGGCGATCTCGGCTCACTGCAAGCTCTGCCTCCCGGGTTCACGCCATTCTCCTGCCTCAGCCTCCCAAGTAGCTGGGACTACAGGCGCCCGCCACCACGCCCGGCTAATTTTTTGTATTTTTAGTAGAGACGGGGTTTCACCGTGTTAGCCAGGATGGTCTCCATCTCCTGACCTCATGATCCACCCACTTAGGCCTCCCAAAGTGCTGGGATTACAGGCGTGAGCCACCGCGCCCGGTAAGCGGAGGAATTTTTAAAACAAGAGATAGGTTGGATGGAGAGGTGGAGAGTAACAGGTACATGGAAGTTGGGAAGGAGGCTCCCTGAGTGGAGAAAAGACAGAACAGAGAATCCCAGGGTGCAGATCCTTTGTAGGCTTTGCAGTTCTGCATAGGGCCTCCTATACCTATGCAAGAACAGGATGTGGATCTGGATCTGGGTGGACTGGAGAAAGAAAATAGAGGTGCTCCCCATCCCCCACTGCCTCACATTAGTCATTGGCGCCTTGAGAATTGTCCTGGCCTGCTTAGGAGCTGTTTTCTGTCTTGGATGAATTGGTGCTTTTCTAAGAAGAAAGAGAGCTGTGATGGACTGCAGCAGAAGTAAACCCTGGGGCATGCACCAACTCACCAAATTGATTCCTGGGCTTGGGATACAGAGAACTTTGTAATTATGAGACTATAATGCTTGTAAATTGGCTTGAGGAAATTAGACACACAAACCCGATTGCCAGGAGCCATGAAATAAGATTTGTTGGAGCCAAATGGATTTTGTGGATGCAAGCTTCTTGGAGGCTTGGGTTTTCTGTTGAGAAGACATCACTGAGCTAAATCTAATGACGGCAGGAGGTAGCTCTCACTTTCCAAAGCAAAGAAACTGGTAGTGCTGGCGAAGATACGACAGGCACAGTCTGAAGGTCTGTCTTGAGAATTTTCTGGAAAGATTGACTGCCAAGCAGCCCATGCTTCTCCTCATTTAACTGGGTCTTCTCAAGCAGGATGAAAAAGATCTAAGTTCATCTCTGCTGTGCTTCCGTTCAGGTGACTGATTAACTCACGGACACACTGGTATGGCTTAGAAACAAATACGTAGCCATTGTCTTAGTCCGTTAAAGCTGTCGCAACAAAATCCCATAAATTGAGATAAACAACAGAAGTTTATTTTTCACGGTTTTGGAGGCTGGGAAGTCCAAGATTAAGGCATCAGCAGATTTGATATGTGGTGAGGGCCTGCCCTCTAGTCCATAACTGGTGATAGCTGGCTACCTTCTTACTGTGTCCTCACAGGGTGAAAAGGCCAGCTAGCTCTCTGGAATCTCATTTGTGAGGGCTCTGTCCTCTTGTTCTAATCACCTGCCAAATGCCCCACCTCCTACTACCATCACCTTAGGGGTCAGAATTTCAACTTATGAATTTTGGAGGGACACAAACATTCAGACCACAGCAATCACTGATTGTACCTTAGGTGTATTTGGACACTTAGCACCTCCAAATGGAATGGAGTCAGGAAGACGTAAGTGATATAACTTCTTTTTTTTTTTTTTTTTTTTTTTTTGAGACAGAATCTTGCTCTGTCGCCCAGGCTGGAGTGCAGTGGCCCAATCTCAGTTCACTGCAGCCTCTGCCTGCCAGGTTCAAGCGATTCTTGTACCTCAGTCACCTGAGTAGCGGGGATTAGAGGCATGCACCACCATGCCTGGCTAATTTTTGTATTTTTAGTAGAGATGGGGTCTCACCATGTTGGATAGGCTGCTCTTGAGCTCCTGACATCAGATGATCCACCCATCTCAACCTCCCAAAGTGTTGGGATTACAGGAGTGAGCCACTGTGCCCGGCCAAGTGATGTAACTTCTACTTCTGCTTTTCTCTTTGATCTTTACCCTCCCTGCCAATGGCTCTGCCAACTTCCTAGCCTCTCAGCTGGCATGGTGAAGTGAGCTCTGTGCTAAGTGCCAAGGATATTCTTGTTGATTCTACATCAGGGAAAATAATCTCCAGCACATCTCAATATAGATTAGCAGGACTTTAGTGCTAGAGCTTGAAAAGCAATGGGTAAATAATAATAATAATAATAATATGTCCCCGGGTTCCCCTTACAGTTTTCACAGAGGATGAAACTGGACTGCCGTGAAATGTCCCTTCACTACACTGAAGACACAACTGCAGATACAAGAATAAATCACCAGGGGCGGTGGCTCACGCCTGTAATCCCAGCATTTTGGGAGGCCAAGGCGGGCAGATCACGAGGTTAGGCGATTGAGACCATCCTGGCTAACACAGTGAAACCCCGTCTCTACTAAAAATACAAAAAATTAGCCGGGCTTGGTGGCAGGCGCCTGTAGTCCCAGCTACTCGGGAGGCTGAGGCAGGAGAAGGGGGTGAACCCAGGAGGCGGAGGTTGCAGTGAGCCAAGATTGCGCTACTGCATTCCAGCCTGGGCGACAGAGCGAGACTCGTCTCAAAAAAAAAGAATAAATCCACACTGATGTCTAGACTGAAAAAACACTGAAAGCAAATCAAGTCATTTGCAGTGCTGGGATTGGTGCCTTAGAATCAAGATAACTAAAAAAAATCGGCAATTCACCTAGAATTACAATCTTTAAATGTGTCATGTCAGTATTTATGCATATGTGCATGTTTAACAAGTGAGGGTTTTTCTTGGGTTTTTGCTGTTGTTGTTGTTGTTTAGTGCCTTGAAATGTGTTTAGCTGTTTCCTACTTCTCTTGAGATTAAGTGGTGACTTTTACAAAGTAGTCACCACAATTGTCCTTATTATCTTTACATTTGCATTTAATTTATAAACATTTTTCATTTGAACTACATGCTGGAAATATCCTTCAAGTGAAATAAGGCAAATTTCCCTGGTAAGGAAGGTAGAAAGGAAAGGCAATGAGAGGGTTAAGCCCCACATCCCCACTCTCACTTGCAGTTCACGTTCACAAGTTGTGCATCCCATGCCTGCCACTTCCCTGCTCCTCTCTTGCTTCTAAAATTACCCCAAGATCATCTGGCTGAGTTTCCTCCAGGATGAAAGCACATTTGTGGCGAAGGAACATTCCCGGTGGTCACTCCTTATGGTTTCTGCTCCTGAGGAAGTGGACACAGATGGGATGGAGCCGAGCCAGCCCCCTTTCTCCTGCCCCACTGTTTCCTTGCCTCTGCTCTTCCTTGGTGACCCCCGGAGACCAGGAAATCTCTGACAGTCCCTTCCTCATTCCTACAGGTGACAGAGACAGCTAGATATCTACCCACCGCCGTTTCCCTGCTACAGACTGAATGTCTGTCTTCCCCAAATTCATATATTGAAATCCTAACCCTCAATGTGATGGCATTTGGAGATTGGGCCTTTTGGGGGTGATTAGGATTATTTGAGGTCATGAGGGTGGAGCCCTTGTGATGGGATCAATACCCTTATAAAAAGAGGAGGAGAGGGCCGGGTGCAGTGGCTCACGCCTGTAATCCCAGCACTTTGGGAGGCAAAAGCGGGTGACACACGAGGTCAGGAGTTTGAGACCAGCCTGGCCAATATGGTGAAACACCATCTCTACTAAAAATACAAAAATTGGCCAGGCATGGTGGCAGGCACCTATAGTCCCAGCTACTTGGGAGGCTCAGGCAGAAGAATCGCTTGAACCCAGGAGGCAGAGGTTACAGTGAGCCGAGATCACGCCACTGCCCTCCAGCCTGGGTGACAGAGCGAGACTCCGTTTCAAAAAAAAAAAAAAGAAGAGGAGACAGGGAATCCTCCTCTCTGCTCACCAACATTTGAGGATACAAGACAGCCATCTACAAACCAAGAAGTGGGCCCTCATCAGACACCAGATCTGCTAGCACCTTGATCTGAGACTTCCTAGCCTCCGGAGCTGTGAGATGTAAATTTCCATTGTTTAAACCATTCAGTCTGTGTTATTCTATTATAGTAGCCCAAACTAAGACTTCTCCTTTCTTCCTTGCCAATGAAACCTTTACTTTATTGCAAATGTCAATATGACCAGTTTAAGAAAATTACTTTTCCCAGTCTTCCAAGCGAATAGGCATGAGTAAGTGGCAAAATTTTGGCTGGCAAGATGGGAACAGAAATTGTTGAATAGGACATCTGTAAAGCTTCTTAAAAGGGGGAAATGGCTCATTTGTGGGCCCCTTAATATTTTTCCCTTCTTCTTTCTTACTTATGCATACTAAGCACAAACACGGCACCACTACATATATTACAAGGATATGTGTATATTCAAGAGCACATCTCAGTCACACCAGAGCGGGATGCCCGCAGAAGGCAGGCAATGGGAATAAGTGGCTGGTATGAATGGGAAAAGCAATTTTTTGGTGGGGGTTGTGGATTTCATGTCCAAAAAGTTGCTCATCTTTTAAAAACACGCACACACACACACACACACAATTTTAGGTTTGGGGGTACATGTGAAGGTTTGTTACATTTGTTGTACAGATTATTTTATCACTCAGATATTAAGCCCCATACCCAATAGTTATCTCTTTGTGGTTTTGATTTGCATTTCTCTAATGATCAGTGATATTGAGCTTTCTTTCATATGCTTGTTGGCCACATGTATGTCTTCTTTTGAAGTGTCTGTTCATTTCTTTTGCCCACTTTTTAATGGGGCTGTTTGCTTTTCTCTTGTAAATTTGTTTAAGTTTCTTATAGATGCTGAATACTAGACTTTTCTCAGATGCATAACTGCAAATATTTTCTCCTATTCTGTAGATTGTCTGTTTACTCTGTTGATAGTTTCTTTTGCTGCACAGAAGCTCTTGTTTACTTAGAATCTACTTGTCAAATTTTGCTTCTGTCGCAATTGCTTTTGGTGTCTTTGTCATGAAATCTTTGCCCATTTCTGTGTCCAGGATGGTATTGCCTAGGTTGTCTTCCAGGTTTTTTATAGTTTTGGGTTTCACCTTTAAGTCTTTAATTCATCTTGAGTTGATTTTTGTATATGGTGTAAGGAAGGGGTCCAGCTTCAATCTTCTGCATATGGCTAGCCAGTTATCCCAGCACCATTTATTGAATAGGGAGTCTTTTTCCCATTGGAAAAGCAAATTTTTTAAAAGAGAGGGGGGGTCAAGAAGGAAGATCAGGCCGGGCACGGTGGCTCATGCCTGTAATCCCAGAACTTTGGGAGGCTGAGGCAGGTGGATCACCTGAGGTCAGGAGTTTGAGACCAGCCTGGGCAACATGGTAAAACCCCATCTCTACTAAAAATACAAAAATTAGCCAGGCATGGTGGCACATGCCTGTAGTCCCAGCTACTCGGGAGGCTGAGGCAGGAGAATTGCTTGAACCCGCGAGGCGGAGGCTGCAGTGAGCCGAGATTGTGCCGCTGCACTCCAGCCTGGATGACAGAGCGAGACTCCATCTCAAAAAAAAAAAAAAAAAAAGGAGGATCACTCACACCTGTAATCCCAGTAATCCCAGCACTTTGGGAGGCCAAGGTAGAGGCTTGCTTGAGGCTAGACATTTGAGACCAGTCTAGGCAACATGGCAAGACCCCATCTCCACACACACACACAAAATTTTAATTTAGCTGAGCTTGGTGGTGCGTGCCTGTAGTCCTGCACATAGTGATACACTCCTGTAGTCCCAGCTTCTCAGGAGGCTGAGAAGGGAGGATCACTTTATCCCAGGAGTTCGAAGCAGCAGTGAGCCCTGATGGTGCCGCTGTATTCCTGCCTAAGTGACAGGGCGAGACCTTGTTTCAAAAAAGCAAACAAACAAAAAACAGTAAAAAGGGCTCTGTACAGACTGTTGATAAAAATGTTTTCTGAAATAGGTGTTATGGGTGTTTTTATTTAACTCAGCTCTCTGCACCTTATGTCCTGGAAGGGAGGGGGAACGGGGAGAGGAGAGATGAATAATCAGAGCCAGAAGCTATGGTCAATAATCATATGAAATCCTGCGGTGGTGCAGCAGCCTCTGCTCTGTGGGTGACTAAGAGGCGAACTCTCCACTTCCAGTACTATTCCTTGAAGATGTGAGCAGCTGTCCTGCAGGAAAGACGTGGGCTGCTGGCCAGCCCTTCTATCTCAGATCCAAACATGCATTCCCTTTCCAGATCCTCTGTCCTAGGCGGTGGGCGGGGGCAGCCGGGGGAGGGCGGGCGCCTAGCTTCAGATCCTTGATCCATCTTATCTTTGCACAGCTGTCCCTTTTAGGACTCAATAGACTTAACTTCCTGTTTAGGTTCTCTTTTCCATCAGGAGAGACTGCTGGCTGTCTTCTTCCTCTAAGCAGAGGTGCATAAAATTAAATGTTACCTAAAGTCTCTGTGTTGTGGGAGAAGTTAAAGGAGCAGTGTGGTAGGCTGTCACACAGGTGACCCCTGCTGAGCCATGCCTCCTTGTATACTCCCCTGCCCTTGAATTACAGGCCAGGGGACCTGGCCCTATGACCTGCTTTAATCAGTAGAAGCCGGCAGAAGGGGTGCTGTTTGGAGCCTGGGACTTAAGGCCTGGAAGCTTCCGCTTTGGCTATCTGAGGGAAGCCAGCTGCCCTGTAGGAAGACGACTGCCCTAAGCCCAGCGTGCTGTGAAATAGCCCTCATTAAGTTTTACAGTGGTTTGTTATGAACACTAGATAACGAAAACAAAGAGCCACCCCACTGCGTTATATTTAGGGCCTGTATTTCCACCTTAGGGGAACAGCAGCTTAGGGGAGAAGGTAGTGTTTCTTCTCACAGGGAAAGAGAGTGGTTGTTTAACAGACGTCTTCCATGCATAAGAGGATGCATAACACTGCAAAGCATCATCAAATGCTGACTTCCCCTCACTGCATTTCTTTCCTCTGGCTCCTTTTCTCCCTCCACCCACCCACCCACAGCGTTTTTTTTAGACAGGGTCTCACTCTGGTTGCCCAGGCTGGAGTGCAATGGCGTGATCTCAGCTCACTGCAGCCTCAGCCTCCTGGGCTCGGTGATTCTCCCAACTGAGCCTTCTGAGTAACTGGGAATACAGGTGCACTCTATCAAGCCCGGCTAATTTTTTTGTATTTTTAGTAGAGAAAGGATTTCGTCATGTTGCTCAGGCTAGTCTCAAACTCCTGGACTCCAGCAGTCTGCCCACGATCAGCCTCCCCAAGTGCTGGGATTATAGGTATGAGCTACCACGCCCGACCTCCTCCCCCTTTTAATGAGCTGATCCCCCCGCACCCCGGATTTGCCTTCTGCTTCTTCCCACTCCTGTCATTTTGCCTGTGCTGTGCCATCCACCTGCAACACTCCTCCTTTATCAAAATCACTCCAGTTTTTCTGAACCCTTGTAAGGTATAACTTTTTTTTTTTTTTTTTTTTTTTTTGAGACAGGGTCTCACTGTGTTGCACAGCCTGGTCTTGAATTTCTGGGCTCAAGTGATCTTCCTGCCTGTGCCTCCCAAAGTGCTGGGGTTGCAGATACGAGCCACCGCATCTGGCCTAAGTATAACTGTTTTAATAGTTTTCCATGAATACCTCAGCCCCAGCAAAAGCTGTTCCTTTCCTCTGAAATCCATCCCCAAAGCAATTCTAAGTGGAAAATTGATTTGGCCATTAGTCAATTTGTAACATCATTTCTCTTATTGTCTTGAACTAATAAGCAAATGTACCTTGATTTAACTTTACAGTAGTTTGTTTCTTGTTCACTGAATCAGATCGTAGTTCATTAAGAACAAGAATATTGGGCCAGATGCAGTGGCTCACGCCTGTAACCGCAACACTTTGGGAGGCCAAAGTGGGTGGATCACGGGGTCAAGAGATCGAGACCATGCTGGCCAACATGGTGAAACACTGTCTCTACTAAAAATTCAAAAATTAGCTGGGCATGGTGGCGCACACCTGCTGTCCTAGCTACTTGGGAGGCTGAGGCAGGAGAATCACTTGAACTCGGGAGGCGAAGTTTGCAGTAAGCCGAGATTGCACCGCTGCACTCCAGCCTGGTGACAGAGTGAGATTCTGTCTCAACAAACAAACAAACAAAACAAAACAAAACAAACAGGAATATTGGCTGGGTGTGGTGGCTTAGGCCTGTAATCCTAGCACTTTAGGAGGCAGAGGTGGGGGGATCACTTGAGGTCAGGAGTTTCAGACCAACCTGGCCAACATGGTGAAACCCCGTCTCTACTAAAACTGCAAAAATTAGCTGGGTATGGTGGCGCCTGCCTGTAGTCCCAGCTACTCAGGAGGCTGAGGCAGGAGAATTGCTTGAACCCAGGAGCCAGGGGTTGCAGTGAGCAGAGATCATGCCATTGCAGTACAGCCTGGGGGACAGCAGCGAAACTCTGTCTCAAAAAAAAAAAGAACAGGAATATGTGTTGTCATCCACTCATTAGAAAGTTAGTAAATATCTATTGATTTCAACTGTATTTACCAGTTCTATCGAGAACAGGCAGCCAAATAGTTTTATTTTTAAAGCTCTCATATCCTATCAAAATGATTGCAACAATTTTAAACTTTTGCCTAAGACTAGGGGATTTCTGGGAATGAGAAACTTCAGTTTTAAAACTGAAAAATTAGCCGAGTGTGGTGGTGCGCACTTGTAGTCCCAGCTACTCTGCAGGCTGAGGCAGGAGAATCACTTGAACCAACGAGGCAGAGGTTGCAGTGACCTGAGATTGCGCCTTTGCACTCCAGCCTGGGTGACAGAGCAAGACTCTGTCTCAAAAATAAATGAATAAATAAAATAAATAAGACTGAGGACATCCCATGCAAACCAGGACAAGTTGGCTACCCTACTTATAAGTTTATTGCCCCATCTAATTCACATGGTACCCCACCCAGTGTTTCAAACAGCAGAACAGTTGCCCAATCCTATTTTCACATAAACCATTCTCGTAAGTTCTATTAGTTCAAACAGGTGGTCTCCTAAACAAGTTTCACTGTCATTTAAATTTGATAGGCTTTTGAAAATCATTTGTGATAATTATACATTACCATAATGGAGGTTGTTTTCATAGTAGAAGCTATAAAAAGGAAGGATAAAAACTTGCTGGATTTTCTCCAGTTTGGGTGTTGGAGGGAAGGTGTATGTGGCAAGCACATGTCATTCAGCCCCAGATGGTCTTAGTATATTCCATCCTGCTGCAGAGGAAGTTCAGGGCTTCACTAAGACCTTAGTTAGACCTTTTGCTACATTGTATTGAAACATTTACCTGTCACTCTTTACCTCCCAGTACTGTGAGCTGCTTTTTTTTTTTTTTTTTTAGACGGTGTCACCAGGCTGGAGTACAGTGGTGCGATCTCTGCTCACTGCAATCTCCGCCTCCCGGGTTCAAGTGATTCCCCTGCCTCAGCCTCCACAATAGCTGGGACTACAGGCATGCGCCACCATGCCCAGCTAGTTTTTTTGTGTTTTAGTAGAGATGGGGTTTCACCATGTTGTCCAGGATGGGCTCGATCTCCTGACCTCGTGATCTGCCCGTCTTGGCCTCCCAAAGTGCTGGGATTACAGGTGTGAGCCACCCCGCCCGGCCTACTGTGAGCTTCTTAAAGCCAAGGGCTGGTATATTTATATGACAACATTTATAAAACACATTCAGTGTGCCAGATAATGTTCTTTGCTTTTTACAAATTTTGTGTGTGTGTTTTTTTAAGAAACATGTTGTAATAACATGTTCTCAAAGTTTGCTTCCAAAGATGTTTCTCTGCCAAACTCTTATATTCACTAACTGAAAACAGCTTTTGATGCATCTTTAAGAAATCATGCTTACATTTGCCTTTTTTTGGTATAAATTTATGGGGTACAAATGTAATTTTGTTTCATGCATAGATTGTTTGGTGGTGAAGTCAGGGCTTTTAGAGTATCTATCACCCAAATAACATACATTGTACCCATTAAGTGATTTCTCATTATCCATGCCCCTCCCACTCCCTCCCTCTTCTGAGTCTCCATCGTCTATCACTCTGCACTTTAATCCATGTGTCCACATTATTTAGCTCCTACTAGTAAGTGAGAACATGCAGTATTTGTCTGTTTCTGAGCTGTTTCACCTAATGGCCTCCAGTTCCAACCATGTTGTTGCAAAAGACATGATTTCATTCTTTTTGAGGCTGAATGGTATCCCAATGTGTATGTATACATATATATATCACATTTTCTTTATCCAACTATCCATTGATGGACAGTTAGGTTGATTCCATATCTTTGCTATTGTGAATAGCGGTGTGATAAACACATGAGAGTAGATGTCTTTTTGCTGTAATGATTTCTTTTCCTTTATTTTTAGTTTTTTGAGAAATCCCCATACTATTTTTCGTAGAGAACACACTAATTTACATTACCACCAACAGTGTATTAGAGTTCCCTTTTCTCCACATCCTCACCAACATGTTATTTTTTGTCTTTTTAATAATGGCCATTCTGACTAATATAAGATGATCTGTCACTGCGGTTTTAATTTGCATTTCTCTGATGATTAGTGATGTTGAGCATTTTCTCATATGTCTGTTGGTCATTTGTATGTCTCCTTTTGAAAAATATCTGGGAGGCTGAGGTGGGCAGATTGCCTGAGCTCAGGAGTTCGAGACCACCCTGGGCAACATGTTGAAACTCCGTCTTTACTAAAATACAAAAATTTATCTGGGTATGGTGGTGTATGCCTGTAGTCCCAGCTACTCAGGAGGCTGAGGTGGGAGAATTGCTTGAGCCCAGTAGGTGGAGGTTGCAGTGAGCCAAGATCGTGCCACTGCACTCCAGCTTGGGCAACAGAGTGAGACTCTCTCTCTCAAAAAAAAAAACAAAAAAACTGTCTATTCGTGTATTTTGTCCACCTTTTAATTTTTATTAGAGACAGAGCCTTGCTCTGTCACCCAGGCTAGAATGCAGTTGCATGATTATGGTTCATTGTAACCTTGAACTCCTGCTTTGCCCACTTTTGTTTTGTTTTTTGTTGTTGTTTGTGATGGAGTTTCACTCTGTTGCCAGGCTGGAGTGCAATGGTGCGAACTCAGCTCACTGCATCCTCCGCTTACCAGGTTCAAGCAATTCTCCTGCCTCAGCCTCCAGAGTAGCTGGGACTACAGGCTTATGCCACCACACCTGGCTAATTTTGTATTTTTAGTAGAGACAGGGTTTCTCCATGTTGGTCAGACTGGTTTCGAACTCCCGACCTCAGGTGATCCGCCCACCTCGGCCTCCCAAAGTGCTGGGATTACAGGCCTGAGCCACCGCACCCGGACTTTGCCCACTTTTTCAGTGGGGTTATATGTTTTTCATTGTCGAGTTGTTTGAGTTCCTTGTAGATTCTGGCTATTAGTCCCCTGTCGGATGCATAGTTTGCAAAATTTTTTTCCCATCTGGCAGGTTGTCTGTTTACTCTGTTGATTATTTGATTATTTCTTTTGTTGTGCAGAAGCTTTTTAGTTTAATTAAGTCCCATTTGCCTATTTTAGTTTTGTGGCCTGTATGTTTGAGGTCTTAGTCATAAAATTTTTGCCTAGACCAACGTCCAGAAGAGTTTTACCTAGGTTTTCTTTTAGTATTTTTATAGTTTCAGGTACATGTAAGTCTTGTAATTCATCTTGAATTCATTTTTGTATATGGTGAGAAATAGGGGTCCAGTTTCATTCTTCTGCATACGGCAATCCAATTTTCCCAGCACCATTTATTGAAAAGGATGTCCTTTCCTCAATGTACGTTCTTGTCAATTTTGTTAAATATCATTTGGCTGTGCTTTCTTACAAATGTTGACTCATTTAATTCTCATATGACCTTTATCAGAAAGGTGCAATTATTATTCCCATTTTACAGATGAGGAAACTGAGGCACAACTTGACAGTGGTTAACCAACTGTCAAGCTAGTAAATGGTAGAGTTGGAATTTGAATTCAGGCAATTTGGCTCCAGAATGTGTTTTTTTTCTTCTTCTTCTTTTCAATGTTTAAAAATTTTCAATAGAGGGCCGGGTGCAGTGGCTTAGACCTGTAATCCTAGCACTTTGGGAGGCTAAGCTGGGCAGATTACCAGAGGTCGGGAGTTCAGGATGAGTCTGGCCAACACGGTGAAACCCTGTCTCTACTAAAATACAAAAAAAATAATTAGCCAGGCATGATGGCGGTGCCTGTAATCCCAGCTACTTGGAGGCTGAGATGGGAGAATTGCTTGAACCGGGGAAACAGTGACTGCAGTGAGCCGAGATCACACCACTGCACTCCAGCCTGGGCAGCTGAGCAAGACTCCATCTCAAAAAAAAAAAAAAAGTCAATCGAGATGGGGTCTCACTATGTTGCCCAGGCTTGTCTCGAACTCCTGGCCTCCAGTGGTCCTCCCCACACAGCCTCCCAAAATGTTGATATTACAGGCATGAGACACCAAGCCCGACCCCCAGAATGTGTTTTAATCACTACATAATCCTGCCTAGTCCTTATTTATTGTACCACAGCACCTAGCTCCATCTCTGGCATGAAGTAGATGTTCAACAGAATATTTATTAAAGAATAAACAAGTGGCTGGGCATGGTGGCTAATGCCTGTAATCTCAGCACTTTGGGAGGCCAAGGCGGGTGGATCACCTGAGGTTGGGAGTTCGAGACCAGCCTGACCAACATGGAGAAACCCCATCTCTACTAAAAATACAAAATTAGTCAGGCGTGTCAGCGCACATCTGTAATCCCAGCTATTCGGCAGGCTGAGACAGGAGAATCACTTGAACTCAGGAGGCAGAGGTTGCGGTGAGCTGAGATAGTGCCATTGCACTCCATCTTGGGCAATAAAAGCGAAACTCCATCTCAAAAAAAAAAAAAAAAAAGAATAAACAAGTAAATGATTCCCTTTTGTACAACAATCACATTCCAGGATAGGATATTCTTGCGGAGTTCTAATTTAAAACATTCTGCCATGTTTTCAAAACATGTTAAATTAGGCATGAGATGATACATCTGGATTTAGGGATCAGAAACAGTGGCACAGTTTCCATAAGATTATTAATTCTATTTATTCTGATTCTATGTTCAACACATCATCTTCAAATTGATAATTCTTAGTCTGCCATCTTAATACCAGGAATGAGGTGCCCTGGGATAATGGTTGTCAAATGCCAAGCACTGGAAAAATATCAAGTGTTGACCAGGTGTGGTGTCTCATGCCTGTAATCCCAGCACTTTGGGAGGCTGAGGTGAGAGGATCACCTGAGACCAGGAGTTCATGGCCAGCCTGAGCAACATAACAAGGCCCCATCTCTAGAAATATATTTTTTTATTTTTTATTTGAAAAGTATAGAACGTTTTGTTTTAGAGATGAGGTCTTGCTATATTGCCCAGGCTGGAGTGCAGTGGCTGTTCACAGGCACAATCCCACTACTAATCAGCACAGGAGTTTTGACCTGCTCCATTTTCGACCTGGGCTAGTTCACCCCAGGTGAACCTGGTGGTCTCCTGCTCCCAGGAGGTCACCATATTGATGTCAAACTTAGTGTGGACGCCTGATCGACATAGCACAGTACAGCCCAGAACTCCTGGGCTCCAGTGATCCTCCTAGCTCAGCCTCCCGAGTAGCTGGGACTACAGGCATGCGCCACTGCTCCTGGCCTCTAGAAAAAATGGTGTGGCAGTGTGAGCCTATAGTTCCAGCTACATGGGAGGACAGCTTGAGCTCCGGAGTTCAAGGCTGCTGTGAGCTATGATTGTGCCACTGCCCTCCAGCCTGGGCAACAAAATGATACATTGTCTCAAAAAAAAAAAAAAAAAGAGAGAGAGAGGAAGAAGAGGAAATTTGGACACAGAGAGGTACAGAGGGAAGACCATGTGCAGACTCAGGGAGAAGATGGCCATCTTCAGAGCCAAGACAGGCCTTAGAAGAAACCAGCCCCGGAACACTTTGATCTTGGATGTCTAGACTCCAGAACTGTGAGAAAATTAATTTCTGTTGTTTAAGCCATCCAGTCCGTGGTACTTTGTTACAACAGCCCTAGCAAACTACCCCAAGGCCCTAGCCAGGAATGTACCTTGTTAGGATACTATTTTATGGTAGGGGCTGCTTATCTTGTATTATAATCTGGTCTACAGAATCTTTCAGCTAAGGATTCCATGGTCCAGAAAACTTTCTATGCTAGTGGTTCTTATGTATTCCCTGACCAGCAGCATCAGCAGCTCCAAGGAACTCATTAAAAATACAAATTTTCAAGCCCATTCTATAACTATGAAATCAGAAACTGGGAGTGGAGCTTAGCAATGTGTGTGCCCTCCAGATGATTCGGCTGCAAGCTAGAGTTCAAAAGTCACTGATCGGCTGGGAGAGGTGGCTCATGCCTGTAATCCCAGCACTTTGGGAGGCCAAGGCAGGCAGATCACTTGAGGTCAGGAGTTAAAGACCAGCCCGGCCAACATGGTGAAACCCCATCTCTACTGAAAAAAAAAATACAAAAATTAGCCGGGCGTGGTGGCAGACGCCTGTAGTCCCAGCTACTCGGTAGGCTGAGGCAAGAGAATCGCTTGAACCTGGAAGGCAGAGGTTGCAGTGAGGTGAGATCGTGCCACTGCACTCCAGCCTGGGTGACAGAGTGAGACTCCATCTCAAAAAAAGAAAAGAAAAGAAAAGAAAAGAAAAGAAAGCTACTGTTATACAATAATAACTAAATTTGGTTTGTTTTTCAACTCAACTTTATTAAAAGAGAAAGAAAAAGAGATGACAGGTACATCCCAAGTTCCAAGAATCCCCATGAGGTTAAAGGGGCATTTGTTTCATGTATAATCAATCAGAGGCTGCCCCTCCTCTACTAATGGTGCCTTGGTGCCCTGTCTGCTCTAGCTGTGCCTTCAAGACTAATTCTGGCACACCTTGCCAGAGTGCTCCCTGAATGCCTTTTTCTCCTTAAAGAAGCCTGCAGGGAAAGGAGCTTTGGGCCCTGCTCCACGCTTCTGGGGAACCCCAGGTGTTCTCATGAGCACACCCAGGCCAAGGCTGGACCCTTTTTCAAGGGGCCAACCACTGCCGCCTCCCCATTTTCCCCTACCGACCATTCTGTACAGGCGCTGCTGCCTATTACAATGCCTTCTTTCAGGCTGGGGGCTCTCAGCCGTCTCTCTCTCTGCCGTCACTGCTCTTGGGGTTGTCTCCCACCTTGAGATGCTCTCTCCCCTTTGCAAGGAAGGAGCCACAGAATCCTAAGATGAATGTTCCCTAACTTGCCCTTACGTGCCAGGGCTTATGCAACTACTGACCACCTCAGCCTCCCTGCTCCTGGGGGCCTTTCCTGTCCCCCAAGAGCATCAGTAAACTCTTCTGACTCTGGGTGGTGGGGGGTGATAGGACTGATTATACTTTCACAGCCGTAACTACTGCTATTATCTATCAGAGCTTTGTTCACTTTCAAGGTGCTTCCTGTAACATGCCAGCTGTAGCTCCCACTCTCTTAAGTGGGCTTCTTTCTTTCTGTGTGATTTTTGCTCTGCTTTTATATCAGAGAGGTCATGTACACTGACTTTGGGACAAGAGGAGAACAAATTCTAGTAGTTCATCCAAAGTACCTGGAAAGTCTACCGCAATGTGCAGGAGATATTGACTTCATTGTTATTTTCTGGGTGACACTATCCAACTCCCCTTGGCAATAGCTCCTCAACACTTCCCCATTTAACAATTCATGCCCACTATGTGTGGGCTTCACTTATCCTAGGGTTAGAAGACTATCTGTGTGCAAGCCTTGATGAATGAGCTATTTGAAGACAGCTAGTTACTTAGAAAGGCCTGAAAATGTTTCACTATTTTAAAGTAAATATTCCTAAAGTATTCTTTTGTAGTTCTGCCACCCTTGTTTGTTATTTCTGCCATTAAAATAGAGTGGCCAGGCGCAGTGGCCCATGTCTGTAATCCCAGCACTTTGGGAGGCTGAGGCAGGCAGATCGCAAGGTCAGAAGATCAAGACCATCCTGGCTAACACGGTGAAACCCTGTCTCCACTAAAAACACAAAAAATTAGCCAGGTGTGGTGGCGGGCACCTGTAATCCTAGCTACTTGGGAGGCTGAGGCAGGAGAATCATTTGAACCCGGGAGGTGGAGGTTGCAGTGAGCCGAGATTGTACCACTGCACTCCAGCCTGGGCAACAGAGCAAGACTCTGTCTCCAAAAAAAAAAAAAAAAAAATATATATATATATATATAGAGAGAGAGAGAGAGAGTGTGTGTGTTAGGCAAAAAGCCTAGGATGCAATTGTGATGTAGAACAAGATTGACCTTAATATTTATCCTCCTTATGCCCTTATCATCCAGTTTGCTGGTTTCTGGAACCCTGATCATGAAGATAATATATTATCAACTCATCCAGATTATGCTGCTAAGGTAGGGAGGGATACCATATAGACTTCTACTCATATGCCAACATTGACTAGCCTGCATAGGCTGCCAGCAGCACTGTGTTGAGGATTCCCTTTTTTTTTTTTTTGAGATAGAGTCTCACCCTGTCACCCAGGCTGGAGTTGTAGTTCACTGCAACCTCCACCTCCTGGGTTCAAGCGATTCTGCTGCCTCAGCCTCCTGAGTAGCTGGGATTACAGGTGCCAGCCACTATGGCCAGCTAATTTTTGTATTTTTTTTTTAGTAGAGATTGGGTTTTACCATGATGGTCAGGCTGGTCTCGAACTCCTGACCTCATGTGATCCACCTGCCTCAGTCTCCCAAAGTGCTGGGATTATAGGCATGAGCCACTGTGCTCGGCCTTTTTTTTTTTTTTTTGAGATGGAGTTTTGCTCTTGTCGCCCAGGCTAGAGTGCAATGGCACGATCTCGGCTCACTGCAACCTCCACTTCCCAGGTTCAAGTGATTCTCCTGCCTCAGTCTCCCGAGTAGCTGGGATTACAGGCACCCACCACCATGCACAGCTAATTTTTGTATTTTTAGTAAAGGCAGAGTTTCACCATGTTGACTGGGCTGGTCTCAAACTCCTGATCTCTGGTGATCCACCTGCCTCGGCTTCCCAAAGTGCTGAGATTACAGGCATGAGCCACCATGCCCGGCCACCTTGAGGATTCTAAGGCTAATTCCAGACTCTGTGAGAAAGCATGCGATGATAGATTAGTAACACCTGCTGTCAACTGGCAGCATGCCTGGGAACTTGCCTAGAATTTGCCATCCCTGTGTTAAAAACTTAATATATTAGCTTTCTATAGGACATTTGCATGTTAAAAGAAGAATGTGAAGAAGACAACCATTTATTAAAAGACTGATGAAATATGGAGGCTCAGACATTGGTAGGTCAGTGGGATATATTAAATACATTTTGCAGGAGCCATAGAGATAGTTGAGGAAGGTGGAAGCAACATCTGTTCCACAAGAAAGAATCAGCTTGAAAGTGTGCAGAGAGAAATTGCTTATCCTAGCCTTACTAACTACCATTTTATAGACCTAATATTAACTCAAAATTCTGGTTAAATGTATAAAATATGTCCAAGGTACTGTGATTTATTTTGTGATTTATTTAGTTTCTATTTAAAAAACAATTTTCCAGGCTTCGCATTGTGCCCTGGCTAAATTGTTTATTTTATTCTCCTTTGTCTGATGTGAGCCAAGATGCCTGGGAAGGCGGGCTTATAGAAGGCATGGAAGGTACTGTGTGTGATTTTCCTACTGGACTGAGCACATCTTTGGTGCTCAACAAATAATAAACCACCTAAGTGCTGCCACGTACTTGGGAACCAGCTTTTTTCCCCAACAGAGTCTAAATGAGAAGCTCCTGGCTCAGCAGCACTGAGAACTAAATCCTTTCAGCACCTTAGTTGTTTATGTAATCCCAGCACTTTGGGAGGCCGAGGCGGGGAGATCACTTGAGGTCAGCAGTTCAAGACCAGCCTGGCCAACATGGTGAAACCCTGTCTCTACTAGAAATTCAAAAATTAGCTGGGTGTGGTGGCGCATTCCTGTGATCCCAGCTACTCAGGAGGCTGAGGCAGGAGAATCGCTTGAACCCCAGAGGCAGAGGTTGCAGTGAGCTGAGATTGCGCCACTGCACTCCAGCCTGGGTGACAGAGTGAGACTCCGTCTCAAAAAAAAGAAAAGGAAGAAAACAGTAACAGTAGCCACCAAATCCACTGCAAAGAAAGGAAACAAAGGTACTGTTGATTACAAGTCCCAAATATATTTACAAGCATTTATTTAGTGTGTAAAACCACACTACCCTAAAAACTCTGTAGCAAATGCTCCTTTTGAAAGATTTTTCTGCATGAGTAAGACTTGTTGCAACTTTTGAAAATATATGGTTTAGAAAGACAACTTTCCCTAATAAATCACCTGTGGCAAACAAAGGAATTCTTCACTCTTCCAAAGACCTCCAAACCACATTGAAAATGAAGGTCATCTGTCTCACACGTATTCATTGCCGATTTGATGTGCACAGATGCCTGTGAAAGTCTTTGAATAGAAAACGCTTCTACAGTGTCGCCTTGCTCTTCCTTTTCAGAAAGAAATTCGCTGCCAAACTCCGTATTTGAGATCCTGGACCTTCCACGCTGCCCACATCAGGAGCTTTAGCCAGCAGCCTGGTCAGTGTTCTCAGGCCAATGCGATGTCATTAGGGCTTGGTCCAGTAATCCAGTGGTTTCTAGTATTAGCTTTAGTCACTTAGGGTGTACTTATTTCCAATATAGTGAAGGTCTTTAACGTGGGAGTCGAAAGCCCAAACCATTTCAAATCATGGGTGGAAAACACGCATGAAAATGGTTTATAAAGTATAAACAACTTTGTAAACAGTATAGCCAAGCAAAGATAGAATGTTATATGCATTGCCTGAAGTAATGCATAAAGGCAGAAGTTTTAGCCAGAATGAAAGATTGTGAACTGGGGGAGGGACAGGGGGCGGCAGTGTTGAGGCAGAAAAGCTGGAGAAGAAGAGTGGGAACTTCCTCCTCAACTTGCTGCCCATAGAGAAGCACGCCCCTCTTCCTGATGGCTGTGGGAACTAGGTCAACCTGGACCGCTAAGTTTGAACCCTATCGTGGCAGCTTTTCAAATCCCTTTCCTGGACTCCTACTCCAGAAGGCAAAATGGTTTCGGTTTGTCTTTATTTCCCATCTTTTCACCCAGGTCCTCAACTACATGCTAATCCCCGCCGGACCATCGTTCAGTTTTATTCACAGAAACGGTGCCTTCAAGAAATCAAAGCATAAGAGCCTTCGGAAGCAGCATGTAAGTGCAACGTAACTTTCCCGAGTTTGGTGACGATGAATCGATGAATCGTAGACTGCAGGCTGAGCCGCCTGAGCTGGGAGCAGCAGCAGTTCTCAGGGAGCCACTGCCCCCTGGTGTCTCCACACTGGCCAGGAAGCATTTTTGGTCATGATCTGTAAGAGATTATTGCTGGGCTCTTTCTGACTCGTGCCTTCATCTCATGGCTTTTAAAATCAGACCTTTCTTCCTCCTCTCCCCCACTCTGATTTTTAATAAGACCCATTTTATTATAATTAGCAAAATAGTGTATACTCCTTGAAGAAAATTTGAGTATGATTATTTAATTTCATTAATGTTTTAATGTATTTCCTCCCCCAATTTTTTTTCTTTCTACGTATAAGGAAATCTAATTTTACTTGGGGACAGAAGAAAAGCCACAAAAACTATGAAACCTAATTTTATCATAAATGTCACATAAACACGATCCCCTGCACAGTAAGAAAACCAGTTTTTGAATCTGCTAGAATACTAAGAAACAGAGTTGATGTTTCTCTCTTAAACAATATAAAACATAAAGGATAGCACTTTAGATCATAGGCCCTCATAAAATGTGCCTGTAGTTTCAATACTATGGATTAAGAATACTGGAGCGGGTTTTGGCCGGGCTCGGTGGCTCACGCCTGTAATCCCAGCACTTTGGGAGGCCAAGGCGGGCAGATCACGAGGTCAGGAGTTCGAGACCAGTCTGGCCAATATGGTGAAACTCCGTCTCTACTAAAATACAAAAAGTAGGCGGGCATGGTGGTGCGCGCCTGTAATCCCAGCTACTCAGGGGGCTGAGGCAGGAGAATCACTTGAGCCAGGAAGGCAGAGATTGCAGTGAGCCGAGATTGCGCCACTGCACTCTAGCCTGGGCAACAGAGTGAGACTCCAAAAAAAAAAAAAAAAAAAAGAAGACTGTAGTGGGCCAGTGGGCCAGGCATGGTGGCTCACACCTATAATCCTAGCACTTTGGGAGGCTGAGGCGGGCAGATCACTTGAAGTCAGGAGTTCAAGACCAGCCTGGCCAACATAGTGAAACCTTGTCTCTACTAAAAATAGAAAAATTAGCCAGAAATCGCTTGAACCTGGGAGGCAGAGGTTGCAGTGAGCCAAGATTGTGCCACTGCATTACAGCCTGGGCGACAGAATGAGACTCCGTCTCGAAAAAAAAAATACTGCAGTGAATGCAACTATAGACACTCATTAAATTAAATATTATCTCATTTTCAACACAGAAAAATAAAACTCCCTGCTTTAAAGAGAGAATGTGTCAATTATGTAATTTGGCAGTCTAAATGGTCCCGTTATTGGCAACTGCTTTCACATGTGATTGATCATATTGCTAAATATTGTGTAGGTATGTTGCTTCCTCTCACCATGGAGAATATAGAAACAGAGGCTTAGATCTGGGTATTATAGAAGGAGGTGAGAACGAGGTCTTTGCTTCCCCAAGTTCCTTTTCTTCTGTATTTTATTCATTGTGTGTGTCAGTTAAATGCTTATACAATACAATATAAACATAGTTGTATGATGTCAGAGAGTAACTGTGGATGAGAACTGGAATGGGGTAGAAGGAAGCTTAATGGTTTCAATATTTTGTCTGATGCTTTATTTTCTTTGAAGACCCTGCGACTAAGAGAGGACATTTCAGTATGAGCCGGAATTTGATCTCAACTAGGAGTTTAGAGAGGGACAGGTGAAAGAAGCCCTGGAACATGGGTTCTCAATTTTTTTTATGCTGAGATCACTTTAATTCTATGGGAAGAAAACTCCATGGCTGGATGTGGTGGCTCACTTCTGTAACCCCAGCATTTCAGGAAGCCAAGGTGGAAACCTCATTTGAGCCCAGGAGTTTGAGACCAGCCTGGGCAACATAGTGAGACTCCCATGTCTATTATTTAAAAATAAAAATAAAAAAGGCCAGGTGCAGTGGCTCACGCCTGTAATCCCAACAATCTGGGAGGCCGAGGCAGGCAGATCACTTGAGGTCAGGAGTTCGAGACCAGCCTGGCCAACGTGGTGAAACCCCATCTCTACTAAAAATACAAAAATTAGCTGGGCGTGGTGGCGCGTGCCTGTAGTCCCAGCTACTCAGGAGGCTAAGGCAGGAGAATCCCTTGAACCTGGGAGATGGAGGTTGCAGTTAGCCAAGATTGCACCATCGCACTCCAGCCCGGGCAACAAGAACAAAACTCCGTCTCAAAATAAATAAATAATAAAGACAAATAAAACAAAATGCTTTTTTTGTTGTTTTTATTTTTTTAATTATACTTTAAGTTCTGGGTTACATGTGCAGAACGTGCAGTTTTGTTACATAGGCATACACGTGCCATGGTGGTTTGCTGCACCCAACAACCTGTCACCTACATTAGGTATTCCTCCTAATGCTATCCCTCCCCTAGCCCCCCACCCCCTGACAGGCCCCAGTGTGTGATGTTTCCCTCCCTGTGTCCATGTGTTCTCCTTGTTCAACTTCCACTTATGAGTAAGAACATGTGGTGTTTGGTTTTCTGTTCTTGTGATAGTTTGCTGAGAATGATGGTTTCCAGCTTCATCCATGTCCCTGCAAAGGACATGAACTCATCCTTTTTTATGGCTGCATAGTATTCCATGGTGTATATGTGCCACATTTTCTTTATCCATTCTGTCATTGATGGACATTTGGGTTCCAAGTCTTCGCTATTGTGAATAGTGCCACAATAAACATACATGTGCATGTGTCTTTATAGTAGAATGATTTATCATCCTTTGGATATACCCAGTAATGGGACTGCTGGGTCAAATTGTATTTCTAGTTTTAGATCCTTGAGGAATCCCCACACTGTCTTCCACAATGGCTGAACTTTCTTCACATCCACAAAGTGCTTTCTTAAAAACAAATAGTGTTGGCCAGGTGCGGCATGTCACGCCTGTAATCCCAGCACTTTGGGAGGATGAGATGGGAGGATCGCTTGAGCCCAGGAGTTCAAGACCAGCCTGGGCAATATAGCAAGACCCTGTCTCTACGAAAAAAAAGTTAAAAAGTGTTAGCTGGGCATGGTGGTGCATGCGTGTAGTTCAAGCTACTTGGAAAGCTGAGGCAGGAGGACTGCTTGAGCCTGGGAAGTCAAGGCTGCAGTGAGCTGTAATCTTCACTCCAGCCTGGGTGACAAAGTAAGACCACGTCTGAAACATACACACACACACACACACACACACACACACACACACACACACACACACAGTGTTCAGCAAATAAATGTTCAATAAACTAAGACATAGGTCCCCTTTTTTTGAGGTTTATGGCCTGGGTGAGCTCACCTCCAAGACATAGTGAGGAAGTGGCTCCCCTGAAGGTTGAATGAGAGTGATTTATATCTAACTGTTGCCACCTGCTTTGCTGCCTGAAGCTCAGCTTCTCCTTTTGTCCAAAATACTCTTGCCATTGTAAATCTAGCCACAGAATGCAGAAGCCATCAGAATGAAACTGACTTCAGTAAGCCCGCCCACGAGTACTTATTAGGTTTTTATTGTGTGACAGGCACTGTGCCAAGTGCTGGGAATTCAGTAGGGAACACAACAAATACTGGTTTTAACCTCATGGAACTTAAAAGTCTACAGCAGACATCAGATTCTTGGTTTTCAGAAGTGAGAGTTGTTCTGCTTTTCAGAGAAAAAAGAATGATCCTATAAGTTCTGCATGTACAGGAGCTAAGGGTCATTTGTCATTGTATACCCCATGCTCATCACATGGTAGATATCTGTAAGTGTGTACGACATAAATGAGTGAATGATCAGACGTAAAGATTTTTTGTCATTAAAAAAATCTAAGGCAGGGCCGGGTGCTGTGGCACATGCCTGTAATCCCAGAGCTTTGGGAGGCCAAGGCAGGTGGACTGCTTGAGCTCAGGAGTTCAAGACCAGCCTGGGCAACATGGCCAGGCCTCATCTCTACAAAAATTAAGAATAATTTTTAAAATTAAAAAAAGGGCCGGGCACGGTGGCTCACATCTGTAATCCCAGCACTTTGGGAGGTTGAAGGGGGTGGATCACGAGGTCAGGAATTCAAGACCAGCCTGGCCAATATGGTGAAACGCCGTCTCTACTAAAAAATACAAAAAATTAGCAGGGTTTGGTGGTGGGCACCTGTAATCCCAGCTACTCGGGAGGTTGAGGCAAGAGAATTGCTTGAACCTGGGAGGTGGAGGTTGCAGTGAGCCGAGATCACACCACTGCACTCCAGCCTGGGCAACAGAGCAAGATTCCATCTCAAATAAATTAATTAATTAAATAACAAAGAAGAATCTAAACCAGTTTAAGGTATGCTCCTGGAACTGTTCAAAATCTTCTGGGCATGAAGCATTGTTATCTTTTTCAGAGTAACATAGGAAAAAATGAAATTCACTGTTGGGCAAGTCAAAACGTTGTTTTCTTTGTGGTGTGTGGGATTTCTGGTTTGAGTTATCTTGCCTGTTCTTGCAGGAAGGAAATTCATGGAGGTTAGTGGTTTTGTTGTCATTATTTTGTGAGCTTCCTAAGCTGTATTTTCATGTCCTCAACCAACAAATATGCACTGTGCTAGGTGCTATTCTGGGCACTGAAAATACCATGATGAGCAAGACTTAGAGGATCTCCATCCTTGGGCAGCTTCTATTCTAGAACTCTCCATAGACTGTTGAACTTTCTTCTCACCATTTACTTGAGACAACTATAATTACTATGCCACTTTTAAAGAACATTAGACCAGCCTGGCCAACAAGGTGAAACCTCATCTCTACTAAAAATACAAAAACTAGCCAGGCATGGTGGTGTGTGCCTGTAACCCCAGCTATTCGGGAGGCTGAGGCAGGAGAATCACTTGAACCCTGGAGGCAGAGATTGCAGTGAGCTGAGATCGCTCCACTGCACTCCAGCCTGGAGCGAGCCTCTGTCTCAAAAAAAAAAAAAAAAAAAAAAAAAAAAAAAAAAAGAAAAGAAAAGAAAAAAAAGAAGAAGATTAAAGGGAAAAAACGAATTTTTCAATAAAGAATGAATGCTAGCCAGGTGCAGTAGCTCATGCCTGTAATCCCAGTACTTTGGGAGGCTGATGCGGGCAGATCACCTGAGGTCTACAGTTCGAGACCAGCCTGGCCAACATGGTGAAACCCCGTCTCTACTAAAAATTCAAAAATTAGCCGGGTGTGATGGTGGGGACCTGTAATCCCAGCTACTCTAGAGGCTGAGGCAGGAGAATTGCTTGAGCCCCAGTGATGGAGGTTGCAGTGAGCCGAGATGGCGCCACTGCACTCTGGCCTGGCTGACAGAGAGAGATTCTGTCTCAAAAAAAAAAAAAAAGAATGGATGCAAACTGAGTATACAGAACAACTCTAACTGAGCAGATTCGGGGCAGCACTACTTCTTTAACTCAACGGTATTAGAAAGAAGAACTAGGCACTCATTTGTCACAGAGGATGTAGATAGGTACACGCTTTTCAAAAATATTTTGAAATCTCTTTCAATGTTTTAAATTTGTGTATCTTCTGACCAAGTAATGCCAATCTTATGCATTTGTCCTACAGAATGTGCACAAAGAAGGAAGGGCATGAGTACAAAGACATAAGTTTAGCCAGGCATGGTGTCACATGTCTGTAGTCCCAGCTACTCCGGAGGCTGAGGTGGGAGGATCGTTTTGAGTCCAGGAGTTCTGGGCTGTAGTGTGCTATCCCTATGGGTGTCCACACTAAGTTTGGCATCAATATGGTGACCTCCTGGGAGCAGGGGACCACCAGGTTGCCTAAGAAGGGGTGAACCGGCCCAGGTTGGAAACAGGGCAGGTCAAAATCCCGGTGCTGATGAGTAGCAGGATCTCACCTGTGAACAGCTACTGCACTCCAGCCTGGGCAATATAGTGAGACCCATCTCTATTAAAAGAAAATTTTTCACTTTTTAAAAAATAAATAGGCCAGGTGCGGTGGCTCACACCTATAATCACTACACTTTGGGAGGCCGAGGCGGGTGAATCACCTGAGGTCAGGAGTTCAAGACCAGCAAGGCCAACATGATGAAACCCCATCTCTACTAAAAATACAAAAAATTAGCTGGGCATCATGGCGCATGCCTGTAATCCCAGCTACTCAGGAGGCTGAGGCAGGAGAATCACTTGAACCCGGGAGCCGGAGGTTGCAGTGAGCTGAGATCGTGCCACTGCACTCCAGCCTGGGCAACACAAGCAAAACTTCACCTCAAAAAATAAATAAAAATTTATAAATAAATAAATAAAAATAAAAGACATAATTTCAGCATTAGTGATAGTGAAAAATGAGAAATAATGTAAGTGTCTATCAGGATGAGATTGAATAGACAAATTATGGTATGTCTATATAACAGAATACTATGCAAGTGTTTTCAATGATGTAGATCTATATGTATAGATTTGGAAAAACATCCATGAAATATTAAGTCAAAAGAGCAAACTGTTTTTGCAAAAAAAGGTATAGTTTTCTATAATACAGCCAACATTTCAAGTGTCCTAAGCACCTTACATGCATTATCTTAAGTAGATACTATTATCTTCCTCACTTTATAAATGAGGAAACTGAGTTAAGCAGTAATTTGGTCAGTGAATGCAGATATCTGGCTTTGAACCAGTGTGCTTAGTCACTTCACTATATCAAGGAAGTAATTAATTCCCCTTTTAGCTTAGGCTAGTTTGAGTTGGGATTTCCCACTTTCAATCAAGAGAATCCTAATAAATAATCCAGATATAGGTCAATAGAGACTGGATAAATTATGGCACAATAACAGTATACTGTGTAGCTGTTTAAAAGAAGAAACAGGCTGGGCACGGTGGCTCATGCCTGTTATTGCAGCACTTTGGGAGGCCAATGAGGCAGATCCCTTGAGGTCAGGAGTTCCAGACCAGCCTGGCCAACATGGTGAAACCCTGTCTCTACTAAAAATACAAAAATTACCCAGGTGTAGTGGTGGCAGGCCTCCAATCCCAGCTACTCCAGAGGCTGAGGCAGGAGAATCGCTTGAACCCGGGAGGCAGAGGTTGCAGTGAGCAGAGATCATGCCACTGCACTCCAGCCTGGGCCACAGAGCAAGACTCAGTCTCAAAAAAATAATAATAAATTTTTTTAAAAAAGAAGAAACAATATATATCAACATGAAAACAAACCCAATATTTAAAGAGTAAAAGCAAGTTTACAGGACTTGTGTGTGCACATGTGTAATTTTGTATACACGTGTACTTAGAGAAAAAGACATTTCAAAACAGTTTTGGGTGCCTCTGGAGGCTAGGATGGGCAAGACTTTCACTCTATTTTTATATACTTCTGTATCTATTTTTTTTTCATTTATTTATTTATTTAATAGAGACGGGGTCTTCTGTGTTGCCCAGGCTGATCTCGAACTTCTGGCCTCAAATGATCCTCTTGCCTCAGCCTCCCAAAGTGCTGGCATTACAGGGGTGAGCCCCTGCACCCGGTCTGTATTTTTCAATTTTCCAAAAAGTATATATGACTCTTTTTTTTTTTTTTCAAGATGGAGTCTTGCTCTGTCAACGCAGGCTGGAGTGTAGTGGTGTGATCTCAGCTCACTGCAACCTCCACCTCCTGGGTTCAAGCGATTCTCCTGCCTCAGCCTCCCGAGTAGCTGGGGTTATAGGCACGTGCCACCACGCCCAGCTACTTTTTGTATTTTTAGTAGAGACGAGGTTTCACCATATTGGCCAGACTGGTCTCGAACTCTTGACCTCGTGATCTGCCTGCCTTGGCCTTCCAAAGTGCTGGGATTACAGGCAAGAGCCACCATGCAGGCCCAGGCTCAGTTCTATCACCTTAGGCAAATGTGTTTGCCTTTGTGGGCCTGTTTTCTCCTCTCTAGGAGGGGTGTCTGAAACAATAGTAGCACCTATTTCAGTGGCTTCTATATGTCAAGCACTATGCTAAACAGTTTCCTCATCATAGCTCCAGGAGCTAAACATCAACCCCATTTTCAGATACGAAAACTGAAACACAAGTGTTGGAATCAGAATGAACTCATATTTAGCTCACCCCCAAAAGCCATGTTCTCCCCACGATACCACTCTCCCAGCCACCTCTTGCCTCGCGTCTCACCATTTCCTGGTGCTGGAATGTACTTAAACCTAGGCCTTATGACTAAAATTCTCTACCTGGAAAACTCTATCATTCTAAATTCCTGGTCACTTATATTATTGTTATAAAATGTTTATACTGTATCAAACTCTAAAACAGGGTGTCTCAACCTTAGCACTACTGACATTTGGATTGGAAAATTCCTTGCTGTTGGGGGCTGACCTATGCAATGTAGGATGTTTAGAAGCATTCCTAGGTAGCACCCCACACCTCAGCAGTTATACCAAACATGCCTCCAGACATACTGCCAAATGTCCCCTTGGGGAAAATCACCCTGGATTGAGAACCACTGCTCTGAAAGAAAGAAAAAGCCAAACTCCTGTATGAACTCAGAATGAAAACTGTATTGAAAGGAAATTTTGAATCTAATAAATATTTGTACCTCCATGATTCTTTAACTTTACGAGTTTGGGTTAATGTTAACGCCAAGTATCTTACAATTATTGGCCATGTGCAGAACACTGTACCAACTACACATAATTACCCGAGAATTAGGGAAAGAAGGAGTTAGGATAAATTTTGCCCTCTCAACAATAACTCCACTTCACACCTACTGAAATTCATCCACGCCTGAGAGGAACAGGGCCATGTGAGGCCGCTGATGATGGAGTTAATATGCCAACCCAAAATATGCTGCCCTGGCATATTAACTATTTTGAGTTAAAAGCACTTGAAAAACAGCAGGTGCAAGAAGATCATTCTGACTTTCCTTCTGTTTCTTAAAAGCAGGAGATAAAATTCCCCTGTGAAAGATGTTCTCCCTATGCCAGAAGTAAAGTAACATTCTTATCATCAAGGACTGGGGGAAATTGGAAACTGAGGTCAAGGGAAATGTGTACAAACCAACCTTGTTAGACTAATGCTTATCCTCAGCCACTTCTCTACCCAATTAACTCAGCCCAAGCCCCTCTGCCATGTCACACTTTCATAATTCACTACTCTTTGTCTAATTCAGCATATAATGTTCAACTCTGTGTCTTTGAGCGTTTATTTATTTATTTATTTATTTATTTATTTTTGAGACAGAGTCTCGCTCTGCTGCCCAGGCTGGAGTGCAGTGGTGTGATTTCAGCTCACTGCAACCTCCGCCTCCTGGGTTCGAGCGATTGTCCTGCCTCAGCCTCCCGAGTAGCTGGGACTACAGGCATGTGCCACCACACCCAGTTAATTTTTGTATTTTTAGGAGAGACGAGGTTTCACCATGCTGGCCAGGATGGTCTTGATCTCTTGAGCTCATGATACGCCCGCCTCAGCCTCCCAAAGTGCTGGGATTACAGGCGTGAGCCACCACGCCCCGCCGAGTGTTTATTTCTTTATGAAGGCTCCCATGCCAAGTGAAACTTGTATTAAATAAGTCTGTATGCTTTCCTCCTGTTGATCTGTCTTATGTCCATTTAATTCTCAGGCCCAGCTGAAAAACTCTTGAAGGATAGAGGTAAAACTCTGCCTCCTCTGGAATGAGAATGGTATTTTCAACAGAGAACAGTAGGAACTGAATTCAATGCTGATTTTATTTCAACTAAATAAAGCAATGCACAAGTCACCTGGGCAGTAAGCTTAACTCCAGGAGCAAAAGCCAAGAAACAAGGATTCTTTTTTTCTTTAAATTATCCATCACTACACATGGCTGTCTTCCATACCTGCTCTCAGAAAATGTGTGTTAACAAATCTCATGTAAAGAAACACAGGAAAAGAGAAAAAGGGGAAATGCAATTTATCTAGTCTGCCAGTGAAGGTGGTCTCTCCATCTTCTTTTCTGTAAACTGCTCCATCAGCAGGGTCCATTTCGAATGATTTTAATATTATGACCACCTTCCCTGCAAATTGAACAATCATAGAAATACATTTATTACCTACCATACTGAAACTGTCTCATTATTTGTGTTAAAAAGACCCATGTAGATAGATATATATTAGATTCCTTCCACAGCTACACTTATTTAATCATTTTTTAAGCTAAATCTAGGAAACAAAGAGGGTGAAAGTCCCCACTCTGTCATTTTTTTCCCTAACGCTAGGGCACAGGACACTAACCCCAAAGAATCACTCAGAGAGCTGGGCATGGTGGCTCATGCCTGTAATCCTAGCACTTTGGGAGGCCAAGGTGGGTGGATTACTGGAGGTCAGGGGTTTGAGACCAGCCTGGCCAACATGGTGAATCCCCACCTCTACTAAAAATACAAAACTTAGGCTGGGAGCAGTGGCTCACGCCTGTAATCCCAGCACTTTGGGAGGCTGAAGTGGGTGGATCACCTGATCACCTGAGGTCAGGGGTTTGAGACCAGCCTGACCAATATGGTAAAACCCCATCTCTAACAAAAATACAAAAATTAGCCAGGTGTGGTGGCACATGCCTGTAATCCCAGCTACTTGGAAGGCTGAGTCAGGAGAATCGCTTGAACCTGGGAGGCAGAGGTTGCAGTGAGTCGGGCGACAAGTGAGACTCAGTCTCAAAAAAAAAAAAAAGAATCAGAGAAGACCGACTAAGGTCAAATAATGAATCCCTGCTATATACAAAGCTGCATACCTGAAGGAGCAGTGACAGTCACCTGGTCAGGTGTGCTACATGAAGCATATCAAGTATCATACACTCATTACTTAGCATTCTAGACTAAGCAGAGTCAGTAAGTCCCACTTCCCGACTACTAATACAGGGTGTGCAGACCACCTACACATGCCCTTTGAATTAAAAATAAAATTTAATACTCCACAGAGTTTAACTATTAAATAGACTCTTAATTTTAGGAAATTTCACATTTGTGGGCAATAACATAATTTGATTACCTGGCCTATAGTTGACTAATCACACATCTCATTGTTTAACTTGACCTGAAAAATGCACTGAGGATTTTGCATCTCTTTAAGCATGACCCTGAAAACTGAGAACTACCATACCACCTTTGATTCTTACATCCAAGAAAATTGTCACTACCCCCTAAGTAATCAAAATTCAACAAAAGAAATGAAGAGGTCAGGCGCGGTGGCTCACGCCTGTAATCCCAGCACTTTGGGAGGCCAAGGCGGGTGGATCACTTGAGGTCAGGAGTTCGAAACCAGCCTGGCCAACATGGTGAAACCCTGTCTCTACTAAAATTAAAAATTAGCCAAGCGTGGTGGCAGGTGCCTGTAATCCCAGCTACTCCAGAGGCTGAGGCACAAGAATTGCTTCAACCCAGGAGGCAGAGGTTGCAGTGAACCAAGATTGCACCACTGCACTCCAGCCTGGGTGACAGAGTGAGACTCTGTCAAAAAAAAAAAGAAGAAAAAAAAAGAAATGAAGAAAACTTGGCTAGTCTACAGCTGTAAAATCATGTTACCTGATTTTCATGCACAGAGTACATTCATTGGCATAAGTGGACATGTCACTGCCACACACAGGGTTAAAGTGTCTGGGACATCCTGGTAATCTATACTGAGAGCAGTTTGGCTGGAAAAAAGAAAGAGAGAAATTCGAGAATGACTTGAGACACACTCATATAAAATAGTTCAGAGGAGAAAATGTCCCAGATCTCCCTAGATTTCCTAGAATCATTTAATAAAAATATTTTTATTTTCCAGAAAAATTTTTTCTTTTTTTTTTTTTTTTTTTGAGACAGAGTCTCGCCCTGCAACCTCCACCTCCTGGGCTCAAGCGATTCTCCTGCCTCAGCCTCCCAAGTAGCTGGGATTACAGGCGCACGCCTCCATGCCGCTAATTTTTGTATTTTTAGTAGAGACAGGGTTTCACCGTGTTGACCAAGCTGGTCTCGAACTTCTGACGTCATGATCCACCCGCCTTGGCCTCCCAAAGTGCTAGGATTACAGGCGTGAGCCACTGCGCCTGGCAAAAAAAAATTTTCTAATGCAAAAATCAGATACAATGTTGGTGTGATGGTTCAATACATATTATGTAAAAAAAGGACTTTGGCTGGGAGCAGTGGCTTACGCCTGTAATCCCAACACTTTGGGAGGCCAAGGTGGGCAGATCACCCGAGACTGGGAGTTCGAGACCAGTCTGACCAACATGGAGAAACCCTGTCTCTACTAAAAAATAAAAAATTAGCCGGGCACGGTGGCGCATGCCTGTAATCCCAGCTACTCGGGAGACTGAGGCAGGAGAATCGAATGAACCTGGGAGGCAGAGGATGCGGTGAGCCGAGATCACGCCATTGCACTCCAACCCTCCAACCTGGGCAACGAGAACGAAACTCCATCTCAAAAAAAAAAAAAAAAAAAAAAAAAAAAGGACCTCAGAGGCTTCAATCTGGCTGATTTTTAAATGCAAGTCTAAGACATGCCACCACACCTACTTTTTTATTATCTAGCTTCATAATTTGCACTTCACTAAAATCTCCATGTGGATGTTTATTAAATTCCACCTTAATCCCTTGCCTTAATGCCAAGACAAAATCAGGAATCTAATCTTTCAATCTGAACTTTTAAGGCACTGACATTTAACCAAAAACATTAAAGAAAGCAGGAAATTGAGAATTGAAGCAAATTTGTGCCAAAGGAAAAATGTTCAAAACAGGTTCATCATCTATGGAGACTCCAAATTTCACCGCACAAGATACTAACTACAGGAAGAGAGTTCAATCTGGGCAGACATTGCCCCAAAACTTCCTCTCCACTCTCTGGAAGAGGACCACTGCACATTTATTATTCCTTAATGTCATTTTAATTCTCATAGAAGAGCGGAGCGTGGTGGCTCATGCCTGTAATCCCAGCACTTTGGGAGGCTGAGGCAGGTGGATCACCTGAGGTCAGGAGTTCAAGACCAGCCTGGGTCAACATGGTGAAACCCCATCTCTAGCAAAAATACAAAAATTAGCTGGGGGTGGTGGCGCATGCTTGTAATCCCAGCTACTTGAGAGGCTGAGACAGGAGAATCGTTTGAACCTGGGAGGCAGAGGTTGCAGTGAGCCGAGATTGCACCACTGCACTCCCGCCTAGACAACAACAGCGAAACTGTCTCAAAAAAATTACGAATTAAAATAATTCTTATAGAAGGATATGATAAAATTTTAAGCAATTCTCTGACCTTTATACTCTAGAGCAGGGGTTTCCAACCATCAGATCACAAACTGGTACTAGTCCATGGCCTGTTAGGAACTGGGCCTCCTGTTAGGAGGAGGGAAGTGGCTGGCCAGTGAGCGTTATCAACTGAGCTCTGCCTCCTGTCAGGTCAGCGATGGCATTAGATTCTCATAGGAGCACGAACCCTATTGTGACATGGGCATGTGAGGAATCTAGGTTGTGCACTCCTTATGAGACTTTTTTTTTTTTTTGAGACAGAGTTTTGCTCTTGTTGCCCAAGCTGGAGTGCAATGGTGCCATTTCGGCTCACTGCAACTTCTGCCTCCCAGGTTCAAGCAATTCTCCTGTCTCAGCCTCCCCATTAGCTGGTATTACAGGCGCATGCCACCACGACCAGCTAAATTTTTGTATTTTTAGTAGAAACAGGGTTTCACCATGTTAGCCAGGCTGGTCTCAAACTTCTGACCTCAGGTGATCTGCCCGCCTCAGCCTCCCAAAGTGCTGGGATTACAGGCATGAGCCACTGCACCTGGCCCTTTTTTTTTTTTTTTTTTTTTTGAGACAAAGTCTCACTCTGTCGCCCAGGCTGGAGTGCAGTGGCGCGATCTTGGCTCACTGCAACTTCTGCCTCCCAAGTTCAGGCGATTCTCCTGCCTCAGCCTCCCATATGGGTAGGATTAAAGGCACCCACCACCACGCCCGGCTAATTTTTGTATTTTTAGTAGAGACCGGCTTTCACCATGTTGGCCAGGATGGTCTCAAACTCCTGACCTTGTGATCCGCCAGCCTCAGCCTCTCAAAGTGCTGGGATTACAGGCATGAGCCGCCGCACCCTGCCGAGACTCCTAACTAACGCCTGATGGTCTGAGTTTCATCCCAAACCATCTCTGCCCACCCCACCCCATTCCTCAGTCCATGGAAAAATTGTCTTCTACAAACTGGTCCCTGGTCCCAAAAAGGCTGGGGACCGCTGCTCTAAAGCTTTTTTCCTGAAAGGTTCTTATACCGTTTACTGGTATAATCACTCATTTACAGATGTTACGGGAGACACAAAGACAAAGAAAAGTTGGATCCTGCCTATAAGAAGCTTAGGGTCGAATAAGGCAATTGAGAAATACACATGCTGGTCTTGAAGAAAGGGTAAAATTTAATATAGAAGGCTGGGAGAATGTCTACCGCAAGGAAATAAAATTGATCAAGCAAAGGCACAGTGGCAAGAGAAGTGGTTGGCATTGGAGTTAACAGTTTAAAGGAACCTCCAAAACTCTTTTATGATTTTTTTTAAAAAAAAGAGGTGGCCAGGCGCGGTGGCTCATGCCTGTAATCCCAGCACTTTGGGAGGCCGAGGCAGGTGGATCACGAGGTCAGGAAATCGAGACCATCCTGGCTAACACGATGAAACCCCGCCTCTACTAAAAATACAAAAAATTAGCCAGACATGGTGGTGGGCGCCTGTAGTCCCAGCTACTCGGGAGGCTGAGGCAGGAGAATGGCGTGAACCCAGGAGGCACAGCTGGCAGTGAGCCGAGATCATGCCACTGCATTCTAGCCTGGGTGACAGAGCAAGACTCCGTCTCAAAAAAAAAAAAAAAAAAAAAAACAAAGGCTGAGGCAGGAGAATCACACAGGAGGCAGAGGTTGCAGTGAGCCAAGATCACTCCATTGCACTCCAGCCTAGGGGACAAGGGTGAAACTCTGTCTCAAAAAACAAACAAACAAACAAACAAAAAACACAGCACTCAACGAACCAGGAACAGAAGAGAACTTCCTCAACCTTATAAAAGGCATCCATAGAAAAAACAAAAACAAAAATAAAATAAAATAAAAGGCATCCATGAATAACCTAAGCAAACATTCTACTCAATGGTAAAGGACTCAATGCTTTTCCCTAAAATCAGAAAAAAACACAAGAATGTCCACTTTCACCTCTTCTATTCAACACTATACCGAAGTTTCTTGCCAGGACAATTACCCAAGAAAAATAAATAAAATGCACCTAGATTGGAAAGGAAGAAGTAAAACTATCTCTATTCAAAGATGACAGAGGGGCTCATGCCTGTAATCCCAACACTTTTGGAGGCCAAGGCAGGCAGATCACTTGAGGCCAGGAGTTCGAGATCAGCCTGGCCAACATGGTGAAACCCTGCCTGTACTAAAAATGCAAAAATTAGCCAGGCGTGGTGGCAGGCACCTGTAATCCCAGCTACTTGAGAAGCTGAGGCAGGAGAATCGCTTGAACCTGGGAAGCGGAGGTTGTAGTAAGCTGAGATTGTACCACTGCCCTCCAACCTGGTGGAAGAGTAAGACCGTGTCTCAAAAAACAAACAAACAAACAACAAAGATGACACAATCTTGTTATATAGAAATTCCTAAGAAATTCACACACACACACACACACACACACACACACACACAAAACTATTATTACTAATAAACAAGGCCAGGTATGGTGGCTCATTCCTGTAATTCCAGTACTTTGGGAGGCTGAGGTAGGAGGATGACTTGAGGCCATGAGTTCAAGACCTGCCTGGGCAACATAGCAAGACCCCATCTCTACAAACAATTAAAAATTAGCCATGTGTGGTGACCTGTGTGTGTAGTCCTAGCTTCTCAGGAGGATGAGGCAGAAGGATCACTGGAGCCCAGGAGTTCAAGGTTATATTAAGTTATGATCATGCTATTGCACTCTAGCATGAGCCACAGAACAAGACTCAGTCTTGGAAAAAAGAAAAAGGACTAATAAACAAGTTCAACAAGGTTGAAAGATACAAGATCAATATATAAAACTCAATTTTATTTCTATACACTAACAATGAAAAATCTGAAAATAAAACTAAGAAAACAATTCCACTTACAATAGCATCAAAAAGAATAAAACATCTCTAGGGCCAGGCATGGTGGCTCACACCCTTAATCTCAGCACTTTGGGAGTGCTGGGATCAGCCTGGCCAACATGGTGAAACCTTGTCTCTACTAAAAAAATATAGGCCAGGCACAGTGGCTCACACCTGTAATCCCACCACTTTGGGAGGCCGAGGTGGGAGGATCACTTGAGGTCAGGAATTCAAGACCAGCCTGGCCAACCTGGTGAAACCCCGTCTCTACTAAAAATAGAAAAATTAGCTGGGCGTGGTGGTGGGTGCCTGTGATCCCAACTACTCGGGAGGCTGAGGCAGGAGAATCGCTTGAACCCAGGAGGTGGAAGTTGCAGTGAGCCGAGATCACACCATTATACTCCAGCCTGGGTGACAGAGTAAGACTCCATCTCAAAATAAATAAATAAAATATATATTTTATATCTATATATCTATATATAGATATATATACATATATACACGAAAAAAAATTAGCTGGGCATGGTGGCGGGAACCTGTAATCCAGCTACTTGGGAGGCTGAGTCAGGAGAATCACTTGAACCTGTGAGGCGGAGGCTGCAGTGAGTCGAGATGGCTCCACTTCACTCCAGCCTGGATAACAGAGTGAGACACTGTCTCAAAAAAAAAAAATAAAATAAAATAAAAAAATAAAACATCTAGAAAGACCAGGTGCGGTGGCTCACGCCTATAACCCAGCACTTGGGGAGGCTGAGCCGGGCAGATCACGAGGTCAGGAGTTCGAGACCAGCCTGACCAACATGGTAAAACCCCATCTCTACTAAAAATACAAAAATTAGCTGGGCGTGGTGGCACACACTTGTAATCCCAGCTACTCAGGAGGCTTAGGCAGGAGAATTGCTTGAACCCAGGAGGCAGAGGTTGCAGTGAGCCGAGATCATGCCATTGCACTCCAGCCTGAGCGATAGAGCGAGACTCCATCTCAAAAAACAAAAACAAAAACATTAGGAATAAATATTTACAAAGTGTAAGACATGTATACTGAAAACTACAAAGCATTGTTGAAAGAAATTAAAGGCCTAAATACATAGAAAGACATCCCATGTTCATGGATCATAAGACTTAACACTTTTAAGATGGCAATACTCTCCAAATAGATATACAGGTTCAATGGAATCCCCAACAAAATCTTAGCTATCTTTTTTTGCAGCAGAAACTGACAAATTGATCTTAAAATTCAGATGGAAATATAAGGGACTCCAAATAGCCAAAACAGTCTTGACTAAGAAAAAAAAGGTTGGAGGATTCACATTTCCTCATTTTGAAACTTACTATAAAACTACAGTAATCAGGCCGGGTGCGGTGGTTCACGCTTGTAATCCCAGCACTTTGGGAGGCCGAGGCGGGCAGATGACCTGAGGTCGTCAGGAGT
The DNA here is from genome assembly GCF_000001405.40 of Homo sapiens. Classification (NCBI taxonomy): domain Eukaryota; kingdom Metazoa; phylum Chordata; class Mammalia; order Primates; family Hominidae; genus Homo; species Homo sapiens. The sequence goes on from NC_000004.12 coordinate 56,817,650, forward strand.
TTGAGACCAGCCTAGCCAACACGGTGAAACCCTACTTCTACTAAAGATATAGAAATTAGCCGAGCATGGCAGTGCACGCCTGTAATCCCAGCTACTTGGGAGGCTGAGGCAGGAGAATCGCTTGAACTCAGCAGATGGAGGTTGCAGTGAGCCAAAATCGTGCCACTGCACTCCACCCTGGCAACAAGAGTGAAACTCCATCTCAAAAAAAAAAAAAAAAGTGTGGCACTAAGGATAGAGGAGGATAAACTATGAGAAAGCACCAGAAGGTACAGGTAGAAAAGTAGGCTGTGTCGATGAGGTTAGACTTTCTCTGTGGGCAATGAGAAGTCCTTGAAGATTTTGCACAGAGACATGCTACATTCAGTTGAGGTTTTAGAGACTAATTGAAGCAGCAGTGTGTAGCAGGAAGTGGAAAGTGAAGATACCAAAAGGATGGGGAAAACCCATTGAAAAGCCACTATGCTAATCTAGGTAAGAGATAATGGGCGTCCTAAATTAGAGCAGTGGCAATGGAAATAAGGAAGAAAAACCAAAGATCAATCTCTCTGTCTCTCTCCCTTTTTTCTTAAGACTGGTCAAGCGAAGCAGTGGAATAGAAAAGGAACAGAGAAATCTGTGGTTGTGATCAATTAGTTGTAAACACCACTGCACAAAAACCAGCCAAACCAAAGATCTCTTGTGTGAGTCATCCTTTTAACAATCTTGTCAAAAGACAGCAGGTCCAGGCCGGGAGCGGTGGCTCATGCCTGCAATCCCAGCACTTTGGAAGGCCAAGGTGGGTGCATCCTGTGAGGTCAGGAGTTCAAGACCAGCTTGGCCAACATGGTGAAACACTGCCTCTACCAAAAATACAAAAAAATTAGCCGGGCGTGGTGGCACATGCCTGTAGTCTCAGCTACTCGGGAGGCTAAGGCAGAAGAATCACTTGAACCCGGGAGGCCTCAGGTTGCAGTGAGCAGAGATCTCGCCACTGCACTCCAGCCTGGATGACAAAGCAAGACTCCGTCTCCAAAAAACAAAAAAAGACAGCAGGTCCTGCAGCACTTGCCTTGCCTCCTGAGCGTGAGTGCCTTCTTAAATTCTACATGTAGGAACTCACTCACTTTACCCTAATCCCAGCCTTGAAACGAAGGTACCATAACTCCCATTTTCTAAAAGAAAATCAAACCCAAGCAAACTGAATCACTGACTAAAAGTGTTATTGGGCATCTGTGAGATGCTGAAGACTGAGCAACAAATAGCAAATAAGACATTATACCTGACAACATGCATACAGTTTCCTGGAGGACGTAGGCAAACAGGCAATTACAACCTAATGTTGTGACAGGGTAGAGAAAAGCACTGGATCTGGAGTCAGACTGCCTGGATGAGAAGCATAGCTCCACCACTTCCATGTGACCTTGGCCAAGGGGATAATAATGAAATAATGATCCCTACCTCACAGTACTGTGAAAGATGAAATTAGTTATTATATATGAAGCATTTAGAACACTGGTGTGGCATGTAGGTATCTAAGTATTTATTATTATGATGGTGATGATGATGCAGTATAGGTAAGCACAGAGAAAGTGTGTGTGTATACATATCTACATCTCTAGAGGAAGGGAATCGCGTGGGAAGGCTTCCTGGAAGAAGCCTACTCTGAGCTGAATGCTCAAAGTTAACCTGCTGAAGTCAATATCCTCATATGTCAAATAATGTCTATCTTACAACATCATTGTGAGAATTGAGAGACCAAATATACAGACAATGACTAGTCCTTATATAAAACAGAACTCTGACCCACAACCTGCAGCATCCTGTCCAGGAACCCAAACCATTATTTAGAATAACCAGGCCAGGAGGCCAGCCGGCTATAAGCCAGACTTGAAGGAAATCAGACTGCTATCTCTAGTGACAGTCCAGGAAGCAAAACAATAACCCCTTTAACAATCAGCCCAAAATGGCTAGGACTTTTTTTTCTTTCTTTTTTTTTTTTTTTGAGATGAAGTCTCACTCTGTTGTCTGGGCTGGAGTGCAGTGGCATGAACTCAGCTCACTGCAACCTTTGCCTCCCAGGTTCAAGTGATTCTCCTGCCTCAGCCTTCCCAGTAGGTGGGATTACAGGCACGTGCCATGATGCCTGGCTAATTTTTTGTATTTTTAGTACAGACGGGGTTTCACCATGTTAGCCAGCATGGTCTTGATTTCCTGACCTCGTGATCTGCCCACCTCGGCCTCCCAAAGCACTGGGATTACAGGCGTGAGTCACTGCGCCCAGCTGCAAAATGGTTAGGATTTGATTACTAACTGACAGCTTCCGTAATTTCTGTCCTTGATTCCAACTTAGGACAACCAGAGAAAACCAAATACACACCCCTAACCCATACCATAGAATGTTGTGCTTCTAGTTAGCTCACCTACAGCTTCCCTGTGCCAACAGCCTCCAATCAGGCCATACCTGAAGCCATTCCTTTTTTCCACTATAGTTTTCCCACTCCTCTCTTTGACTCGAGTCCCTACTCAAATGCAAGTGACAGTGGCTGACTCTCTTGCTATAACAAGCCCTGAAAAACATAGCCTTTGCTTGTTCTCATTTGGTTGGTCTCCATTTACATCCTCAGAATTTAATTTGATAAAGTACATAAAATATCTAGTACAAGGCATAACTTTTTCTAAGGACCTTTTGAATCTTTAAAGGAAATATTAACACAAAGACTGAGCTGTTTTCAACTAAAACTTACACTTTTATCTGAATCAAAAGGCCTGCCTGACAACCTGGTTTTAAACGCAGTCCTCAATGGTTTCAAAAGTGGCAGGTCAGACCTGAAAGCCAGCCTCCCTCCCAAACGGTTTTGGGCTTCACTGTATTAGTAGAAACAGTAGAAGTGGTTTGCTACTTACCGTTCTATATTTTGAAAACAGACCAAATTGAGGGATCAGAGAGGCTGTAAGAAGAAAGCATAGACATTTTACAGTATAGGATCAAGGTAAGGTATTGTTCATGAAGTTTTTTTTTTTTTTAAATGAAGTCTTGCTATGTTGCCCAGGCTGGTCTTGACCTCCCGGGCTTAAGCGATCTTCCTGCCTAGGCCTCCCAAAGTGCTGGAATTTGAGGCATTAGCCACCACATCCAGCTTCATAAGGATGTTTTAAAATCCAGTTTGGGATTTATCCAGGCCACATCTTCTATTTTCCCCTCTAATGCCTACCTTCTTTAAACTGTCCCCATCCCACTTCCCCCAGAAAGGATATTCAGTTTTTTATGGCACCTCTCCCCAAAAGCACATAGAAATAACATTTGGTTCTGTTCCCATTAGGGTTGGTTGAGAAAGGACTTTGAAGCTATGGAATAAAAGTCGCGCTAGCGCACTGCAGCTTCAATTCCTGGTCTCAAGCGAGCCTCCCGCCTCAACCTCCGGAGTAACTGGGACTACCGGCCCAAGCCACTACACCTGGCCAAGGAAGTAACCCTTAATTAATAGTTCATGATGTTATTTTCCTTTACAACTCGGGGTAACAAATACAAAATTTAATATAAGATGTGAGCATTTTAACTCCATTTTAAGAGAGGTGTCCAGTGTGGTTGGACTAAAGCCCCTTTCTCGTAAGCATCCACAATTCCTCATTCCTGCACATCTCCTCCCTTGGGACCATACATAAAAACTCAACTCCTCATCTTGGGCACCTGAAAATCTACTTTAACAGAGAAAGCGCTCTAGATGGCAGGTGTCCTTAGAGCTGGGAGCGAAGCCCAAGCAAGAACTAAAGAGGGTGGCTGACTCCACAAAGCCACCCCCACAACCCCCAGTTCGCGTTCCTCCACCTGGCAGGTCCTCTGGGGAACCGCCAGTAACGGGCGCGCGGGTACCGTCGCCGAGGCCGCCCGGAGCAGGGCAGGGTCCGCCGCCGGTCTGACTCCCAAACCCGCTTTTCTCCGGAGGTCCCCGCTCGCCAGGACCGCTCCGAGCGCTACCTGCGAAGGTAACTGCCAGGAGCAGCAGCGCCAAGCGCAGCACCGACAGCGCCATCCTCCTCCCGCGCCGGCTGTCTTGCCCCTGCGGTCTGTTACCTGCGCCACTCGCAGGGAGCGCTCGTGCGACGGGGCGCGGGGAGGGCGGGGGAAGGGGCGGGGCGAGAATGGGAGGAAAAGCAGCGGTAGGTGGCGAGGGAAGAGGGGCGGCGGGAAGAGGAGCGGCGGGAAGAGGAGCCGTGAAGGGTCGGGGGAGAACCGGAAAGGGCTGGGAAGGAGAAAGGTAGAAGGACGGGGGAGGGGGCCATGGGGAAGGAGGGGCGAGGGAGATAGAGGAAGGGGCAGTTGTTCCCCAACACCTTCCCCTCCCCCCAAGGAGACGAAGGGGAAGACCTCTCCCTCCGACATACAAGAACCTGTGACAGTCCTAGGGGGACCCTTGTGGAGCTCTTGGGAGCTCTGTCAATCAACACCTATTTCTTAAGCATGTACTAAGTCCCAGATAGTGTTTCGTTGCTGAAGACACAGCCCTGACCTCGACAAAGGAGGTCCTTGCTCTCAGGAAGCGTTCTGCCTTTCCCTCTTTTAATATATTTTTTAACTATTTGAGTTGACACATAATGATTGTACATATTTATGGGGGTACATAGTGATATTTGGATACATACAATGTGTAGTGATCAAAATAGGATAATTAGCATATTCATCACCTCAAACATTTATCATTACTTTGTGTTGAGAACATTCAAAATCCTCTCATCTAGCTACTTGAAAATACATAATAAATTATTATTATTATTTAAATTTCAGACAGGGTCTCGCTCTTTTACCCAGGCTGGAGTGCAGTGGCACGATCTCAGCTCACTGCAACCTCCACCTCCCAGGTTCCAGTGATCCTCCCACCTCAGCCTCCCTCCCAAGTAGCTGGGACCACAGATATATGCCACCATGCCAAGCTAATTTTTGCATTTTTTGTAGAGAGGGGTTCTCACCATGTTGCCCAGGCTACTCTCAAACTCCTGGGCTCAAGCAATCCGCCCACCTTGGCCTCCCAAAGTGCTGGGATTACAGGCTTGAGCCACCGTGCTCGACCTTTATAATATATTATTGTTAATTGTCGGCACCCTACAATGCTATGAAACACTAGCACTTATCCTTTCTACCTAGCTGTAATTTTGTATACTTTAACCAACCTCTCCCTATCCCCCTATCCTTCCCAGCCTCTAGTAACTACTGTTCTACTCATTACTTCTGTGAGAAATAATTTTTGCCAAAGAGGCTGAGCAAGTTAGTGCATTAAGGCCAGGCGTGGTGGCTCACGCCTCTAATCCCAGCACTTTGGGAGGCTGAGCCTGGTGGATCACTTGAGCTCAAGAGTTTGAGAGGAGCCTGGGCAACAGGGCAAAACCCCGTCTCTAAAAAAAGTACAAAAATTAGCCAGGTGTGGCCATTGAGCTGAGATTGAGCTACTGCGCTCCAGCCTCAGTGGCAAAATGAGACCATGTCAAAAAAATTTGGCCAGGCACGGTGGTTCATGCCCGTAATCCCAGCACTTTGCGAGGCTGAGGCAAGTAGATCACTTGAGGCCAGGAGTTTGAGACCAGCCTGGCCAACATGGCAAGACCCCATCTCTACTAAAAATACAAAAATTAGCTGTGCATGGTGGTGCGCACCTGTAGTCCCAGCTACCTGGGAGGCTGAGGCATGAGAATTGCTTAAACCCAAGAGGCAGAGGTTGCAGTGAGCCGAGATGGTGCCACTGCACTCCAGCCTGGGCGACAGAGTAAGACTCTGTCAAAAAAAAAAAAAAGTGCATTAGCAGATCCACTTTTTTTTTTTTCTGCTTCTTATGCCTGTGTGTCAAATGATTCTGTGACATGTTGCCTTATCAGTAAGGGTCCAGTCTGGAAAACACAAGGTTTACTAGGTATTTCACCAGAGATAATTTAGTATAAGGAATTGGCTAATCCAGTAGGGATAACTGAAAAAAGCAGAAAGGGAAAACGAGGTAACACAGAGATAAAGCCTTTAGGAAGTAGGCATCATGCCTCGATCTAGGGGAACAAACGGATTAGGTTGGGATTCTCAGAACTAGAAATTTGGAGGAGAGGTCCTGGAAAGCTGGGACTCAGACCCATGGGAAGGGGGTGTTGCTTGGATATGCAGGTGGCTCTAAGAGTGTGTGGAAAAGCTGAAGACTGGAGCCAGGTGCAGTGGCTCACACCTGTAATCCCAGCACTTTGGGAGGTTGAGGTGGGTGGGTCACTTGAGGTCGGGAGTTCGAGACCAGCCTGGCCAACATGGTGAAACCTTGTCTCTACTAAAAAATATAAAACTTAGCTGGACATGGTGCCATACTCCTGTAATCCCAGGTTCATGAGAATCTCTTGAACCTAGGAGGTGGAGGTTGTGGTGAGCGAAGCACACCACTGCACTCCAGCCTGGGCAACAGAGTGAAACTCTGTCTCAAAAAAAAAAAAAAAAATGCTGGAGACTGGAGCCAGCTGATTCTATCAGAGTGATGAAGAGTCATTGCTGTGGCACTGCTGAAAGAAACAGCCAGCAGGCAGGAGCCAGTCCCTTCTCCCTCCTCCTGCCTTCCGGTGTCCCCCTGACAGACCCTATGGGCATAACCTTCTGGAAGCCAGCTGAAAAAGCAGAAATGAGGTCTGCTGAGACCTGGCACCACATAGCAGAGTGTAGAAGGGGGTTGTAGAGCTGATGGAGAATCATCTTATGACTGGCATGTTCCCATGCCCACCCTTGACCTTAGCAACCTCAAAGGCTGGAACAAGAAGACACTGTGCAGTTTTTAACTCCACTTGGCACCACACATGGCTGAGTTCTGGCTGGAATCCTGTCTGAGGCCAAGGGGTAAATTTGAAATGAGTGTTAGTACTTCTCTAAGTCACATCACATTCAGTTCTTTGAATAACAGTCATGAAATGGTCATGGGTCATTTTGCTGAAGATTCTTATCAAGGATTGATAAAATATAATTTATATATAAAGCTTTTCTCAACTGTGCTGGATGTCTGTTACCAAATGACATGTGCACTTGCTTACAAACACCTTTGATGCTCTGGGAACACAAATCTGACCCAGACTCAGGGGCAATGCTCAGAGGTGTGTGAGTAGGAATTTCAGCTTCAAAAGAAAAGCCATTTACCCCTCAAGATAGATTTTTTATAAATTTATGTGTGTGGATACAGCTGCCTTTAGGTTATTTTGTTTCAAAGAGTTGACACTGACTGGCAGGGTGGCTCATGCCTGTAATCCCAGCACTTTGGGAGGCAGAGGCGGGCAGATTGTTTGAGCCCAGGAGTTGGAGACCAACCTGGGCAACATGACAAAACCCTGTCTCTAAAAAAATACAAAAATTAGCCTGGTGTGGTGGCGCGCACCTGTAGTCCCAGCTACTTAGGAGGCTGAGGTGGGAGGATCACCTGAGCCTGGGAGGTGGAGGCTGCAGTGAGCCATGATCACACCACTGCATTTCAGCCTGGGTGACAGAGCGAGACTCCGTCTCAAAAAAAAAAAAAAAATGTTGATAATTATACCTTAGAAATATTTTCTATCATGGTGCTTTTCACATGTTGTCTCAGCATTTGTGAGCCAAGAACAAGGGTCAAAAAACATTTTCTGTAAAGGGCCAGATAGTAAATACCATTGACTTCTTGTCACAACTAAACTCTGCCATTGCAGTGCAAAAGGAGACATAGACTATAACTCAATGAATGGGCATAACTGTATTCTTTTTTTTTTTTTTTTTGAGAGAAGATCTTGCTGTGTCACCCAGGCTGGAGTACAGTGGCGCAATCTCAGCTCACTGCAGCCTCAACCTCCTGGGCTCAAGCGATCCTCCCACCTCAGCCCCACAAGTAGCTAGGAATACAAGCATCCGCCACCACACCCAGCTAATATTCTTGTATTTTTTGTAGAGGTAGGTGATATGGTTTGGCTGTGTCCCCACTTAAATCTCAACTTGAATTCTATCTCCCGGATTTCCCAAGTGTTGCGGGAGGGACCCAGGGGGATAATTGAATCATGGGGGCCAGTCTTTCCCATGCCATTCTCATGATAGTGAATAAGTCCAGGAGATCTGATGGGTTTATCAGGAGTTTCCATTTTTGCTTCCTCCTCATTTTTTCTCTTGCTCCTGCCATGTAAGAAGGGCCTTTCACCTCCCACCATGATTGTGAGGCCTCCCCAGCCATGTGGAACTGTAAGTCCAATTAAACCCTTTTTTCTTCCCAGTCTCATGTATGTCTTTATCAGCAGCATGAAAATGGACTAATACAGTAAATTGGTACCAGGAGAGTGGGGCGTTGCTGAAAAGATACCAAAAATGTGGAAGTGAATTTGGAACTGGGTAACAGGCAGAAGTTGGAACAGTTTGGAGGGCTCAGAAGAAGACAGGAAAATGTGGGAAAGTTTGGAACTTCCTAGAGACTTGCTGAATGGCTTTGCCCAAAATGCTGATAGTGATAAGGAGAATAAGGTCCAGGCTGAGGTGGTCTAAGATGGAGATGAGGAACTTGTTGGGAACTAGAGTAAAGGTGACTCTTGTTATGTTTTAGCAAAGAGACTGGTGGCATTTTGCCCCTGCCCTAGAGATTTGTGGAACTTTGAACCTGAGAAAGATGATTTAGGATATCTGGCTGAAGAAATTTCTAAGCAGCAAAGCATTCAAGGGGTGACTTGGGTACTGTTAAAGGTGTTCAGTTTTATAAGGGAAGCAGAGCATAAAAGTTTGGAAAATTTGTAGCCTGATTATGTGATAGAAAAGAAAAGCCCGGACAGGCACAGTGGCTCACACTTGTAATCCCAGCACTTCGGGAGGCTGAGGTGGGCTGATAACCTGAGGTCAGGAGTTTGAGATCAGCCTGGCCAACATGGTGAAACCCTGTCTCTACTAAAAGTACAAAAATTAGCCAAACGTGGCGGTGGGCACCTGTAATCCCATCTACTCCGGAGGCTGAGGCAGGAGAATCGCTTGAAGCCGGGAGGCAGAGGTTGTGGTGAGCAGAGATGATGGCGCCATTGCACTCCAGCCTGGGCGGCAAGAGTGAAAGAAACTCTGTCTCAAAAAAAAAAAAAAGAAAGAAAGAAAAGCTGGGCGTGGTGGCTCATGCCTGTAATCCCAGCACTTTAGGAGGCCAAGGCGGGCGGATCACCTGAGGTCAGGAGTTCGAGACCAGCCTCAACATGGAGAAACCCCGTCTCTACTAAAAATACAAAATTATCCAGGCATGATGGTGCATGCCTGTAATCCCAGCTACTTGGGAGGCTGAGGCAGGAGAATTGCTTGAACTTGGGAGGCGGAGGTTGCAGTGAGCCGAGATCACACCATTGTACTCCAGCCTGGGCAACAAGAGGGAAACTCCGTCTCAAAAAAAAAAAGAAAAAAAAAAGGGCCAGGTGCAGTGGCTCACGCCTGTAATCCCAACACTTTGGGAGGCCAAGTTGGGTGGATCACATGAGGTCAGGAGTTTGAGACCAGCCGGACCAAGATGGTGAAACCCTGTCTACTAAAAATACAAAATTAGCCAGGTGTGGTGGTGCATACCTGTAATCCCAGCTTACTCAGGAGGCTGAGGCAGTAGAATCGCTTGAACCCGGGAAGCAGGGGTCGCAGTAAACCGAGATCACTCCATTGCACTCTAGCCTGGGCAAGAAGAGCAAGACTCTGTCTCAAAAAAAAAAAAAAAAAAAAAAAAGAAAGAAAGAAAGAAAGAAAAAGAGAAACCCATTTTCTGGGGGGAAATTCAAGCCGGCTGCTGAAATTTGTATGAGTAGCAAGGACCCTAATGTTAATCCCCAAGACCATGGGGAAAATGTCTCCAGGACATGTCAGAGACTTTCACTGCAGCTCCTCTCATTACAGGACTGGAGGCCCAGGAGGAAAAAGTGGTTTTGTGGGTGGGGCCCAGGGTCCCTGTGCTGTGTGCATCCTAGGGACTTGGTGCCCTGTGTCCTAGCTGCTCCAGCCATGGGTGAAAAGGGCCAACATACAGCTCAGGCTGTGGCTTTAGAGGGTGGAAGCCACAAGTCTTGGTAGCTTCCATATGGTGTTGAGCCTGCAGGTGCACAGAAGTCAGGAATTGAGGCTTGGGAACCTCCGCCTAGATTTCAGAAGATGAATGGAAATGCCTGGATGCCCAGGCAAAATTTTGCTGCAGGCCAGGGCCCTCATGGAGAACCTCTGCTAGGGCAGTGTGGAAGGGAAATGTGGGGTGGGAGCCCCCACACAGAGTCCCTACTGGGGCACTGCCCAGTGGAGCTGTGAGAAGAGAGCCACCATCCTCCAGACCCCAGAATCATAGATCCACTGACAGCTTGCACTGTGTGCCTGGGAAAGCTGCAGACGACAACGCCAACCTGTGAAAGCAGTGGGAGGGAGGCTGTACCCTGCAAAGCCACAGGGGCAGAGCTGCCCAAGACCATAGGAACTCACCTCTTGCATCAGCGTGACCTAGATGTGAGACCTGGAGTCAAAGGAGATCATTTTGGAGCTTTAAAATTTGACTGCCCCGCTGGATTTTGGACTTGCCTGGGCCCATAACCCCTTTGTTTTCACCAATTACTCCCATTTGGAATGGCTGATTTATCCAATACCTGTACCCCCATTGTATCTAGGAAGTAACTAGCTTGCTTTTGATTTTACAGGCCCCTAGGCAGAAGGGAATTGTATCATCTCAGATGAGATTCTGGACCGTGGACTTTTGGGTTAATGCTGAAATTAGTTAAGACTTTGGGGGACTGTTGGGAAAGCATGATTGGTTTTGAAATGTAAGAACATGAGATTTAGAGGAGCCAAGGGTGGAATGATAGGGTTTGGCTGTGTCCCCACTCAAATCTCAACTTGAATTGTATCTCCCAGGTTTCCCACATGTTGTGGGAGGGACCCAGGGGAAGGTAATTGAATCATCGAGGCTGGTCTTTCCCATGCTGTCTTGTGATCGCAAGTCTCATGAGATCTGATAGGTTTATCGGGGGTTTCCACTTTTGCTTCCTCGTTTTTTCTCTTGCTGCTGCCATGTAAGAAGTGCTTTTCGCCCCCCACCATGATTGTGAGGCCCCCCTAGCCATGTGGAACTGTAAGTCCAATTAAACTTTTCTTCCCAGTCTCGGGTACATCTTTATCAGCACTGTAAAATTGGACTAATACACGGGGTTCTGCCATGTTGCCCAGGCTGGTCTCAAATTCCAGGGCTCAAGTGATCTGCCTGCCTCAGCCTCCCAGAGTGCTAAGATTACAGGCATGAGCCACTGTGCCCAGCTGGCATAGCTGTATTCTAATAAGACTTTACAAAAATAGGCAGCAGGCCGTATTTAGACTGTGGGCCTTAGTTTGCTGACCTTAAGCCAAACATACCCAAAAAATGGCCATGCAGACCACTGGCATGTTTGTTAGAGGGTAAAACCAGGTGCAAGCTAAGAGATCTGTTTTGTGGTTAATCCCTGTGGTTTGGTTTTTAGTCATTTTTTAGGTATTCATTGCTGCTTAGGTCACCATAGCTCAAAATGAATAAAAAATTGATAAAGTGTCTAGACAATTTAGGCAAAAGAAATTTTTTTTTCAGTCTTATTATCTTGTCACTACATTAAAAATCATGTTTTTTATCATGAATTATCTAGCTAATTCTGCCTATAGAAGTCTGACTTTCAACTTTAGTTTTCTGTCAATTCCTGCTGCTCCCCTTGTCATCATAGGGGCCTAGAGAGGAGCTTTCACTGTTTCTCATGCTACAGCCTACTGAGATCTTATTACTAACCCCATCAAAGCATATTATCCAATACCTGTTTAATAATCAATTCTAGGCTTTTGAAATGCAGCCATAGGCATAAAAAAGCAAACTCTGTTATACTAAAATTAGCTCAAAATGAAACATGGACTTAAAATATGAAACTTTAAAATTTTAGAGAAAAACATAGGAGAAAGCATTTGCTCTGAAGGAAAACAACAACAACAAACAAACAAAAAACAAAAAACCTATACAGAAAATGAGGCTGGGTGCAGTGGCTCATGCCTATAATCCCAGCACTTTGGGAGGCCGAGGTGGGTGGATCACCTGAGGTCGGGAGTTTGAGACCAGCCTGGCCAACATGGTGAAACCCCACCTCTACTAAAAACACAAAAAATTAGTCGGACGTGGTGACTCATGCCGGTAATCCCAGCTACTCGGGAGGCTGAGGCAGGAGAATCGCTTGAACCCGGGAGGTGGAGGTTGCAGTGAGCCAAGACCACACCATTGCACTCCAGCCTGGGCAACGGAGTGAAACTCTGTCAAAAAAAAAAAAATGGAAGATGAAAAGTAGCAAGCCTCAGTGGCAAGCACCTGTGATGTCAGCTACCTGGGAGGCTGAGGCAGAAGGATCACTTGAGCTCAGAAGTTTGAGGCTGTAGTGTAGGCCGGGTGCAGTGGCTCATGCCTGTAATCCCAGCACTTTGGGAGGCTGAGGTGGGCGGATCACCTGAGGTCAGGAGTTCGAGACCAGCCTGACCAACATGGAGAAACCTCGTCTCTACTGAAAATACAAAATTAGCCGGGCATGGTGGCACATCTCTGTAGTCTCAGCTACTCGGGAGGCTGAGGCAGGAGAATCACTTGAACCTGGGAGACGGAGGTTGCAGTGAGCCGAGATCATGTCATTGCACTCCAGCCTGGGCAACAAGAGCGAAACTCCATCTAAAAAAAAAAAAAATTTTGAGGCTGCAGTGCTTAATGATCTCACCTGTGAATAGCCACTGCACTCCAGCCTGGGCAACACAGGGACACTCCATCTCTAAAAACAAACAAACAAAAAGGCAGAAGTCTGAGGCACAAGAATCACTTGAACCGACCGGTGAGATAGAGATTGCAGTAAGCCGACATAGCACCACTGCACTCCAGCCTGGGCAACAGCAAGACACCATCTCAAACAAAAAAAAAAAAAAAAAGAGAGAGAGAGAGAGAAAGAAAAGAAAGAAATTGTAGACCAGGGAACATATTTTGTCTAGAATATATAAAGAGATCTTAAAACCCAAGAGTAAAAAAAAAAAAAAATATGATTAGAAAGTGGGCAAAAAGATATGAATAGACATTTCACTGGAGAGGATATACAGGTGGCAAATGAACATAACATTGTAAGCCATTAGGGCAATGCAAAATAAAAACTGCAATAACACTACACACCTGTCAGAATGACTAAAATAAAAAACAGTGGTAACATCAAATGCTGGCAAGGATGTGGAAAAAGTGGATTACTCATTGTTCATGGAAATGTGAAATAGTACACCTACTCTGGCTGAGCACAGTGGCTCACGCCTGTAATCCCAGCACTTTGGGAGGCTGAGGAGGGTGAATCATTTGAGGTCAGAAGTACAAGACCAGCTTGGTCAACACGGTAAAACCCCATCTCTACTAAAAATACAAAAATTAGCTGGGCATGATGGCGTGCACCTGTAATCCTAGCTACTCAGGAGGCTGAGATAGGAGAATCACTTGAACCCAGGAGGCGGAAGTTGCTGTGAACTGAGATCGCACCACCGTACTCCAGCCTGGGAGACAGAATGAGACTCCATATCAAAAATATAAATAAATAAATAGGCTGGGCGCGGTGGCTCATGCCTGTAATCCCAGCACTTTCAGGGGCCGAAGTGGGCAGATCACCTGAGGTCAGGAGTTCGAGACCAGCCTGGCCAACATGGCGAAATCCTGTCTCTACTAAAAATAGAAAAACAAAATTAGACGGGCGTGGTGGCATGCGCCTGTAATCTCAGCTACTCAGGAGGCTGAGGCAGGAGAATCGCTTGAAACCAGGAGGTGGAGGTTCCATTGAGCCGAGATCGAGCCACTGCGCTCCAGCCTGGGCGACAGAGCAAGACTGCATCTCAAAAAATAAATAAAATAAAATAGTACGGGTGCTCTGGAATAGAGTTTGGCAGCTTCTTAACAATCTAAGTGGCTGGGCGCAGTGGCCCACGCCTGTAATCCCCATACTTTGAGAGGCTGAGGCAGGTGGATCACCTGAGGTCGGACTTCGAGACCAGCCTGGCCAACATGACAAAACTCCATCTCTGCTAAAAATACAAAAATTAGCTGGTCTTGGTGGCGGGTGCCTGTAATCCCAGCTACTCAGAAGGCTGAGGCAGGGAGAATCCCTTGAACCTGCGAGGCAGAGGTTGTGGTGAGCCGAGATTGCGCCATTGCACTCCAGCCTGGGCAACGGAGCGAGATTCTGCCTCAAAAAAAAAAAAAAAAAAAAAATCTAAGCATACAAATACCATGTGACTCAGTAATTGCATTATTGGGCATTTATCCCACAGAAAAGAAAACTTGGGGCCAGGGGTGGGGGCTCATGCCTGTGATCCTAGCACTTTGGGAGACCAAGTCAGGTGGATCACTTGAGGTCAGGAGTTCGAGACTATCCTGACCAACATGGTGAAACCCCCATCTCTACTAAAAATACAAAAATTAGCCAAGTGTGGTGGTACATGCCTGCAGTCTCAGCTACTCGGGAAGCTGAGGCAGGATAATCGCTTGCACCCAGGAGACAGAGGTTGCAGTGAGCCAACATTGTGCCACAGCACTCCAGCCTGAGTGACAGAGTGAGACTCCATCTCAAAAAAAAAAAAAAAAAAAAAAAAAATCTATCAATTGATCAAAGCAGGCCAGACGCGGTGGCTGTTTCTTATTTTTATTTTTGAGATGGAGTCTCTCTCTGTGACCTAGGCTGGAGTGCAGTTGTGCAATCTCATCTCACTGCAACCTCCGCCTCCTGGGTTCAAGTGATTCTCCTGCCTCAGCCTCCCAAGTAGGCGGGATTACAGGCGTGTGCCACCAGGCCAGGCTAATTTTTGTATTTTCAGTAGAGACAGGGTTTTGCCATGTTGGCCAGGCTGGTCTCGAATTACTGACCTCAGGTGATCCACCCGCTTCAGCCTCCCAAAGTGCTGGGATTAGAGGTGTGAGCTACCAAGACCAGCCCTTTATTTAAAAAAAAAAAAAAAAAGGAAAAATTAAGCAAACTCTGGGTTTTTTAAATTCTGTTCTGTATCTTCACTGGGTTGGTGGTCACAGGAATCTTCAAATGCGGATACAATTGCATAGAATTAAATATACACACAAACACACACAAATGAACATTGGTAAAATTGGTGAAATCTAATTAAAGTTAGTAGACTGTATTGTCAGTTTCCGGTTTTCTACATTATAGTTACGCAAGATATTACTATGCTATTTTCTAACAACTACGTGCAAGTCTACCATCATCTCAAAATATAAAGCTTAATAAAAGTGAAGCTCTGAAAAGTATCTATAGAATCTGAATAGTAAAGGGACATAATTCTTTTTTTCTTTTTTTTTTTGAGACAGAGTCTCGCTCTGTCCACAGGCTGGAGTGAAGTGGTGTGATCTTGGCTAACTGCAATCTCTGCCTTTCGGGTTCAAGTTATTCTCCTGCCTCAGCCTCCCAAGTAGCTGGGACTACAGGTGCACACCACCATGCCCAGCTAATTTTTGTATTTTTAGTAGAGATGGGATTTTACCATGTTGGCCAGGATGGTCTCGATCTCTTGACCTCATGATCCACCTGTGTTGGCCTCCCAATGTGCTGGGATTACAGGCGTGAGCCACCGCGCCCGGCCTTCGTTTTTTTGGGTTTTGTTGTTGTTGTTGTTGTTTTGATATGGAGTCTCGCTCTGTTCCCCAGGCTGGAGTGCAGTGGCACAATCTCGGCTCACTGCAACCTCCACTTCCCGGGTTCAAGCAATTCTCATCATGCCTCCGCCTCCCGAATAGGTGAGACTATAGGCCTGTGCCACCACACCTGGCTAATTTTTGTATTTTTAGTAAAGATGAGGTTTCACCATGTTGGCTTGACCTCAAGTGATTCCCCTTCCTTGGCCTCCCAAAGGGCTGGAATTATAGGCATGAGCCAGTGTGCCCGGCCATAAAGGTATATAATTCAAAATATTCTGAGCATACAGATTCTCTTTTCCTTCTTTAACATCATCATGATTTAAATGAACCTGAGTAATTAATGCTGATCTAGTAAATCGTAGTGGCCTTAAGTCTAAGTATTGAGAATAGGTAATTTTAGCCGGGTGCGGTGGCTCAGGCCTGTAATCCCAGCACTTTGGGAGGCCGTAGGCAGTTAGGATCACCTGAGGTCAGAAGTTTGAGACCAGCCTGACTAACATGGAGAAATCCCATCTCTACTAAAAAAAAAATACAAAATTAGCCGGGCGTGGTGGCGCATGCCTGTAATCCCAGCTACTCAGGAGGCTAAGGCGGGAGAATTGCTTGAACCTGGGAGGAGGCAGAGATTGCAATGAGCTGAGATCTGGCCATTATTGCACTCCAGCATGGGCAACAAGAGCGAAACTCCTTCTCAAAAAAAAAAAAAAAAAAAAAAAAAAAGAATAGGTAATTTTATTATATTCTACAATGAAGGGCAATTTAAACATAATGTAATTTAATGTTTAGACATTTGTGAAACTTTCAACTAAAAGATTCCCAAGTTTCTATGAGAAAAATTAAAACAACTTTTGTCAGAGTAGGCAGTAGGCATCCCAATTATTTTACAAAATATGCTCACCATAAACAAAACAATTATATGACTTAGAATTACATGTTAATATAACCGTTCTTGCCCTGCTTTCTACAAGGTATTGTGAAATTATGTGTTCTGGGTATTTTTGACTTGTATGTGCTTCTGATTAGCTGGAAAACAGCTAGGAAAATACAGTGGTCAAAACATAGAATTTGGCTGGGTGTTCTAATCCCAGCACTTTGGGAGGCGGAGATGGGAGGATCGCTTGAGGCCAGGATTTGAGACTAACCTGGGCAACATTGTGAGAGTCCCATCTCTACAAAAAATTAAAAGACAAGCCTAATTCAATATGGTTTTCCTTACCATTCAGCTCTGTGATGTAGATAGAAACTTTACCCCTGAAGCTAACATAATTCAAATTCAATTGTGGATCAAGTTGGCAACCCAACATGTATGCTCCATATTGCCTCTGGCACCAAGTTTAAACATTTAAGAAAAATTATCCGGCCAGGCGCAGTGGCTCAAGCCTGTAATCCCAGCACTTAGGGAGGTCAACGTGGGTGGATCATGAGGTCAGGAGATCGAGACTATTCTGGCTAACACAGTGAAACCCCATCTCTACTAAAAATACAAAAAAATTAGCCGGGCGTGGTGGTGGGCACCTGTAGTCCCAGCTACTCGGGAGGCTGAGGCAGGAGAATTGCTTGAAACCACCGGAAGGCAGAAGTTGCAGTGAGCCAAGATCACGTTACTGCACTCCAGCCTGGGTGACAGAGACAGACTCCATCTCAAAAAAAAAAAAAAGAAAAATTATCCTAATGTGTCCTCCAAATATGTCCTTTTTTTTTTTTTTTGAGACAGAGTTTCGCTCTTGTTGCACAGGCTGGAGTGCAGTGACATGATCTTGGCTCACTGCAACCTCCGCCTTCCGGTGGTTTCAAGCAATTCTCCTGCCTCAGCCTCCTGAGTAGCTGGAACTACAGGCACATACCACCACGCCCAGCTAATTTTTTGTATTTTTATTAGAGATAGGGTTTCACCATGTTGGTCAGGATGGTCTCGATCTCTCGACCTTGTGATCCGCTCGCCTCGGCCTCCCAAAGTGCTGGAATTACAGGCGTGAGCCACCGCGCCCGGCCCAAATATGTCCTTTCAAAGTCATACTAGAGTACTGTCTAAAAGGCCGGCATGGAAGTTGTCTGATTGTAGAGGAAGTCATTTCATTTCATTTATTTACCATTGATAGGGTCCGGAGTCTGTAAAGTTAGATGTTAGCTTATGGAAAATAAGTGGCAAATGATTTTGTTGGGTAGAAAAGATATCTCCAGGCCAGGTGCGGTGTCTCACGCCTGTAATCCCAGCACTTTGGTAGGCCGAGGCGGGTAGATCACTTGAGGTGGATCACTTCAGGAGTTTGAGACCAGCCTGGCCAGCAGGGTGAAACCCAGTCTCTACTAAAAATACAAAAATTAGCCAGGCTTGGTGGCACATGCCTGTAATCCCAGCTACTGGGGAGACTGAGGCAGGAGAATTGCTTGAATCCAGGAGGTGGAGATTGCAGTGAGCCAAGAGCGCGCCATTGCACTCCAGCATGAACGAAGAAGCGAGACTCTTGTTTAAAAAAAGAAAGAAAGAAAAGATATCTCCAAAGGTTGCCATTTCATTGCTCTGTGAATATTAAGCAGTGTTATATTTCATATTGCAGTCTTATCCCAGCATTCTTTTTCCCACTGACTATATATTTACCAGTCTCCCCTATCTTTCTTCTTTTGCCGGTTCCCTGATGATTAGTTAAATAAGAAGGGTAAATAAGAGGCTAGCTTGCCTAGCAGATAGAGAAAGGGGTATTTCTGACTTGGGAAGATCAGCATGTGCAAAGGCGAGCGTGACTCCTTTAGAGAATTCCAAGAGACTCCATGTGGCTAAAGCAGTTCTTCTCAAACTTTGATGTCCATATGAATCACTCAGATTCAGTGAGTCTAGGGCGAGGCCCAGAATTCCACCTGTCTACAAGCTCCCAGGTTAAGCTGCTGCTGCTTGTCTTTGGACCATACTTTGAGTAAAAAGGGGGTAGGGTTAAAGCACTTCCAAAGATGTGCACATCCAAAAATGAAGATGGGGCCAGGCACATTAGCTCATGCCTGTAATCCCAGCACTTTGAGAGGCCGAGGCGGGCAGATCACTTGAGTCCAGGAGTTTGAGACCAGCCTGGCCAATATAGTGAAATCCTGTTTCTACTAAAAATACAAAAAGTTAACCAGGCATATTAGTACAAACCTGTAGTCCCAGCTACTCAGGAGGTGGAGGCAGGAGAATCGATTGAATCCAGGAGGCAGAGGTTGCAGTAAGCCGAGATCACGCCATTGCACTCCAGCCTGGGCAACAGAGTAAGACTCTGTCTCAAAAGCAAAAATAAAAAACAAAGATGTGCACATCCAAAGATGAAGATGGAAACTGAGGGAGAGGGGTATGGAACAGGCTCTATACTAAGAATAATCATTTTTCACAATCCACATCAAACAAAAATATTTCTAAGCTCAAGCAGGTAGTTCATGCATTTGAAATCATACAAAAACTCCAACCACATTTCAATATAGTCACAAAAACAAGACCAGTTAAGTCATTTCCTAAAAATGTACGTTCTCCAGCAGCTAGTAGAGCTAAGCTGGTTTTGGCGATGTCTACTGCCATCTAGTGGAAATGGATTGACATAACTAGTGCATCATTTAGTGGTAAAGCTTTCAAATTAAAGTTTTCAAAGTACTCTCATTTTATCTCCACAGTAACCTGTGAAATAGACATTGTTATTCAGTTTGTTTTAACTTATTAAAAAATTTAAGGCAGGGCACAGTGGCTCACGCCTGTAATCCCAGCACTTTGGGAGGGGAATTCGAGACCAGCCTGATCAACATGGCGATACCCTGTCTCTACTAAAAACACAAAATTACCCGGGCGTGGTGGCATATGCCTGTAGTCCCAGCTACTCGGGAGGCTGAGGCAGGAGAATCGCTTGAACCCGGAAGGTGGAGATTGCGGTGAGCCGAGATCGTGCCATTGCACTGCAGCCTGGGCAATAAGATCGAAACTCTGTCTCAAAAAATAATAATAATAAAAAAATAAAAATAAAAAAACTTTCAGGCCGGGCGCGGTGGCTCGCGCCTGTAATCGCAGCAATTTGGGAGGCTGAGGCAGGCAGATCACTTGACCTCAGGAATTCAAGACCGGCCTGGCCAACATGGTGAAACTGCTTCTCTACTAAAAATATAAAAATTAGCCAGGTGTGGTGGCGCAAACCTGTGGAGGCGCAAGCCTCAGCTACTCTGGAGGCTGAGGTGGGAGAATGGCTTGAACCTGGGAAGGTGGAGGTTGCAGTGAGTCAAAATTGTGCCACTGCACTCCAGCCTGGGCGAAAGAGCGAGACTCCATCTCAAAATAATTAAATAAATAAGGCCGGGCATGGTGGCTCACTCCTGTAATCCCAGCTCTTTGGGAGGCTGAGGCGGGCAGATCACTTGATGTCAGGAGTTCAAGACCAGCCTGGCCAACATGGCAAAACCCCATCTCTATTAAAAATACAAAAATTGGGCCAGGCGCAGTGGCTCACACTTGTAATCCCAGCACTTTGGGAGGCTGAGGCAGGTGGATCACTTGAGGTCGGGAGTTCAAGACTAGCCTGACCAACATGGAGAAAACCCCATCCCTACTAAAAATACAAAAATTAGCCGGGCATGGTGGTGCATGCCTGTAATCCCAGCTACTTGGGAGGCTGAGGCAGGAGAATCGCTTGAACCCAGGAGATGGAGGTTGCGGTGACCCAAGATCGTGCCATTGCACTCCAGCCTGGGCAATAAGAGCGAGACTCCATCTCAAAAAAAAAAAAAAAAAAAGAAATTAACTGAGCATCATGTCAGGTGCTTGTAATCCCAGCTACTCAGGAGGCTGAGGCAGGAGAATTGCTTGGACCTGGGAGGCGGAGGTTGCAGTGGGCTGAGAACACGACACTGCGTTCCAGCCTGGGTGACAGAGCAGGACTCTGTCTCAAAAAAAAAAAAACCTTCGTATTAGGCCAGGCGTGGTGACTTATACTTGTAATCCCAGCATTTTACGAGGCCAAGGCAGGAGGATGCTTGAGGCCAGGAGTTTGAGACCAGCGTGGGCAATATAGCATGACCCTGTTTCTACAAAAAAAAAATTTTTTTTTTTAATTAGCTGGGTGGAGTGTCTGTAGTCTAGCTACTCAGGAGGTTGAGGCAGGAGGATCACTTGAACCCAGGAAGAACATTAGCCTGGGCAACGTAGCAAGACCCTATCTTACAAAAAAACTTTTTTTGACTGAGTGGGGTGGCTCACCCCTGTAATCTCAGCACTTTGGGAGGCCCAGGCAAGCAGATCACTTGAGGTCAGGAGTTCAAGACCAGCCTGGCCAACATGGTGAAACCCCATCTCTAGTAAAAATACAAAAAGTTAGCTGGGCGTGGTGACACATGCCTGTGATCCCAGCTACTCAGGAAGCTAAAGCAGAGAATTGCTGGAACCTGGGAGGCAGAGGCTGCAGTGAGCCGAGATCATGCCACTGCACTCCAGCCTGGGAGACAGAGCAAGACTCCATCTCAAAAAAAAAAAAAAAAAAAATTAACGCTTCATATTATCAAGCACTTATTATAAGCACTGTACATGAATGATCTAATTTATTCTCCATTACAATCTAATATGGTAAGTATTATCTGGTTTATTATTCCCACTTACAGATAAGAAGCCAAGACTTAGAGAATTTTAAGAAGAATGTTGAAAGTCCAGCAGCTAGTAAAGTGGGAGCATCAGGGTCAAAGTAGGGGATCCTACAAGGCATGTATCGTTAACATAAGTTATAACCAACATCACAAAATGTGTCAGACATTCTCCTAAGCAGTTTGTTTATAGGTATCAGCTAATTTAATCTTCACAAAACCTGAACCAGGCAAGGTGGCTCATGCCTATAATCCGAGCACTTTGGAAAGCAGAGGTGGGCGGATCACTTGAGGTCAGAAGTTCAAGACCAGCCTGGCCAATGTGGCAAAACCTCATCTCTGGCTGGGTGCGGTGGCTCACGCCTGTAATCCCAGCACTTTGGGAGGCCAAGGCGGGCGGATCACGACGTCAGGAGATCGAGACCATCCTGGCTAACATGGTGAAACCCCGTCTCTACTAAAAATACAAAAAAATTAGCTGGGTGTGGTGGCAGGCACCTGTAGTCCCAGCTACTCGGGAGGCTGAGGCAGGAGAACGGCGTCAACTCGGGAGGTGGAGCTTGCAGTGAGCTGAGATCGTGCCACTGCACTCCAGCCTGGGTGACAGAGCGAGACTGTCTCAAAAAAAAAAAAAAAACCTCATCTCTACTAAAAAGACAAGAAATTAGCTGGGCGTGGTAGCACCTGTCTGTGGTCCCAGCTACTCTGGAGGCTGAGGATCACCCGAACCCGGGAATTTGAGGCTGCAGCGAGCCATGATCGCGCCACTGCATCCAGGCTGGGTGACGGGAATGAGACCGTCTCAAAAAACAAAACCAAAACCAAAAAGGTATGAAGTATGTATAATTATTATTCCCATTTTATAGATCAAGAAACCAAGAGGAGTTAAGCAAGATATTCAAGGTCACCAACTAGTGAAAAGCATAGCCAGAACTGGAATCCAGGAAGTTTAATTCTAGGGCATATGTTCTCAACCAGTAAGCAATTTTTTAAAAAGTTATTATAACTTGGGCCAGGCGCGGTGGCTCATGCCTGTAATCCCAGTGTTTTGGGAGGCCAAGGTGGAAGGACTTTAAGACCAGCCTGGGCAACATAGTGAGACCCCCATCTCTATAAAAAATATGTATTTTTAAATAGCTGGACATGGTAGCACATGCCTGTAGTCCTAGCACTTTGGGAGGCTGAAGCAGGCAGATCACTTGAGCTTGGGAGTTCAAGACCAGCCTGAGCAACATGGCAAAACCATGTCTCTAAAAAAAACAAACAAACAAACAAAAAAAAACCCAGGCGTGGTGGCTCACGCCTGTAATCCCAGCACTTTGGGAGGCCTAGGCGGGTGGATCACTTGAAGTCAGGAGTTTGAGACCATCCTGGCCAACATGGTGAAACCCCGTCTCTACTAAAACTACAAAAATTAGCTGGGCATGGTGGTGAGCACTTGTAATCCCAGCTGCTCAGGGGGCTGAGGCAGAAGAATCAATTGAACCCAGGAGGCGGAGGTTGCAGTGAGCCAAGATTGCACCACTGAACTCTAGCCTGGATAACAGAGCTGGACTCTGTCGCAAAAAAAAAAAAAAAAAAAAAAAGCAAAAATGCAGATTCTGATGCAGAAAGCCTGAGGTAGGGCCTAAGATTCTGCATTTCTATAAGGCTCTCAGTGAGGACAGTGCTGCTGGCCAAGGTGGATCACACTTTGAGGAGCAAAGTTCTGGCAAGGGGAGGGAGGGGAGAGGAGCAACATTAGAACTGTTAAAAGAAAAATTCTAGACAAATTAAATTTAACAGAGGGTAATTGAACAAAGAATGATTCCTTAAAAATATATATATATTTTTAGAGACTGGTCTCTGTTGCGCAGGCTGGAGTGCAGTGGCTCAATCATAGCTCACCACAGCCTCAAACTTCTGGGCTCAAGGGACCCTCCTGAGTAGCTAGAACCACATGACACATGCCATGATGCCTAGCTTTTATTCATTTATTTCTTTTCTTTTCTTTCTTTCTTTTTTTTTTGGAAACATAGTTTTGCTCTTGTTGCCCAGGCTGGAGTGCAATGGCCTAATCTTGGCTCACTGCAACCTCTGCCTCCCGGGTTCAGACGATTCTCCTGCCTCAGCCTCCTGAGTAACTGGGATTACAGGCATGCGCCACCACACCTGGCTAATTTTGTACTTTTAGTAGAGATAGGGTTTCCCCATGTTGGTCAGGCTGATCTCGAACTCCCGACCTCAGATGATCCACCCCCCTTGGCCTCCCAAAGTGCTGGGATTACAGGCGTGAGCCACCGCACCGGCTATTTATTTATTTTCATAGAGACAGGCTGTTGCTGTGTTGCCCAGGCTGATCTCGAACTCCTGGCCTCAAGCCATCCTCCTGCCTAAGCCTCCCAAAGTGCTGAGATTACCGATGTGAGTCACCATGCCCAGCCTAAAGAACAGTTCCTGAATCGGGTGGCTCTGGGAACAAGCAGAGCTTCAAGAGCTCCACTCTGTAACAGCTTGATTGGTTACAGCTCAGTATTGAGACATGGTCTGATCAGTTGGTAGCCTGTGACTGACTGAAGCTCAGCTGCTGTGCTTGGCTGACACTCAGCTATTTGTTATTAAACAAAACTTCTATATTAGGCTCTCAGTTTACCTGCTGAAGTTAGGTTGCAGTTCTTTCAGTAGGAACTCAAGGTATGGAGGCAGCCTCTGGCCAAACTTAGTTTAATTTACTAGGACCCTTAGTAACGCCTATGTTATTGGGGTAGGAGGGGAATAAAAGGAGGCTCTGAAGGAGCCTGAGGGTGACAGGGGACTTGGCCTGAAAATGTCCTTGGAGAACCAGGACAGCGTGTTGTCAGAAAAGATACTATAGAAGCATTTCTTTCTTTCTGTCTTTTTTTTTTTTTTTTTTTTTTGAGCTGGAGTCTCACTTTGTCGCCCAGGCTGTAGTGCAGTGGTGCGATCTTGGCCCACTGCAGCCTCCACCTCCCAGGTTGAAGTGATTCTCCTGCCTCCGCCTCTGAGTAGCTGGGATTACAGGCGTGTGCCACCAAGTCCAGCTAAATTTTGTATTTTTAGTAGAGACAGGGTTTCGCCATTTTGGCCAGGCCGATCTCGAATTCCTGACCTCAAGTGAATCGTCCCGCTCGGCCTCCCAAAGTGCTGGGATTACAGACGTGAGCCAACGCACCCGGCCTATAGAAGCATTTCAAGGCAAAATAGTCAAAAGCAATACAAGCTAAGTGATGGTAAGGGGCCCTGCTGGTTTCTCAATTAAGAGGCAACTACAAAAAAAAAAAAAAGAAAGAAAAGAAAAGGCTACTGATCAATGTAGTAAATGTGGTTTCTGTGAATAATAGAAGCTGAAAGATTTTGTGATGTTGGGGTGTAGGGAGTGAATAGGGGAAGTAGAGCTAATCTCTTTTTCTAGAAAGAGAAAGAACAGTAGCTAAGGTGGATGGCAGGGGCAAATGAGAGAAAGACAGTGGGGCAGGGATGGCTTATGGGGAAGCTTGTTTGGTTTGGTTTTGCAGGTGTGACACCAGAAGCTATGGAGTTATGCAGAAAGGGAAAGGCATGAGGGAGAAATTGACCCAGAGAATGTGGGTGGCTTCTCCTCTCCTAAATAGACCATCATGTTTACTGAATGTCTGCAGTGTGGCAGCTCCAGGAATAAATAGGACACATCCTTGAGCTTCAAAGTCTTGATACTGAGGGAGCTTTGTGCCTTTTCTGTGAAACTTTGAGAGACGGCAGTAAAATGGGCGTGGGGTTCACGATGAACAATCTTTTCTACATGAGGCCCAATTCAAGAAAGATACACATGTTTCTGGTAACCAGTTTTCCTCACAATTGAGTTGAAACATTCTTTATTTCTCCATCACTGGAGAGTTCAATTTTTAACCTAAAATTCCAAAACAGCACCATACTGTTAGAATAGGTAGTTAGGCAGATGTAGGCAGGACAGGAGAGGAGTCCCCCCACCTAGGAATGTCAGGCCATGGTCAGACGACTGTCAGGTGATGGTCAGGCAGCTGTTAAACTGTGTCTCTAAAATAATAATTGGGCCAGGAGCTGTGGCTCAAGCCTATAATCCCAGCAATTTGGTAGGCCGAGGTGGGCAGATCACCTGAGGTCAGCAGTTCAAGACCAGCCTGGCCAACATGGTGAAACCCCATCTCTACAAAAATACAAAAATTAGCTAGGCATGATGGCGGGCACCTGTAATCCCAGCTACTCAGGAGGCTGAGGCAGGAGAATCATTTGAACCCTGTAGACGAAGGTTGCAGTGAGCCCAGATTGTACCATTGCACTCCAGCCTGGGCGACAGAGCAAGACTCCATCTAAAAAATAATAAAATAAAATAAAATAAAAATTGGTTACAGCAGGCACCAGGGAAAGGCAGTCTCCCAACAGATAGAAAACACCTGACGCTGGTCATCCACAGCTTCCCGATAAGATCTCAGGAGTTGGGGGAGTGGGCTCAAGCGTGTGCACTAAGAGGCAAAATGGCAGAGTTTAACTGGTATATGACCTTCCTCCAGGAACACTCAACTGGTAAGGGAAGAATGCCTCAAATGAGCATGCGCATAACTTCAGTAACCACACTGCGCACGCGGCCCCTCCCAAGTATCCGCAGGCCACTGCGCGAGGACAGCCCACACCGAAGGAGGAATCAGGGTAGAAGAAATGCACACCCCAGAACCATGCCAATGTATAAACCTCAAGCCAAGGTCAGTTGGAGCACTTGGATCTCTCAAGTTGCTTGGTTGGCCCTCTTCCAAGTGTAGTTTACTTCCGTTTGTTCTTGCTCTGAAGCTTTTTAATAAACTTTAACTCCTGCTCTAAAGCTTGCCTCAGTCTGTCACTCTGCCTTATGCCCCTTGGCTGAACTATTTCCTCCGAGGAGGCAAGAATGGAGTTCTTCTGACCCCTGGGAATCGCCGCTGCTGACATTATCAGTAGCACCCCCTGCAGTACGAAGCAACAACACTGGGTCTCTAGAGCAATGTTGAGTGAGACAGGCCACATGGGGTTATTGAAGGGGATAAAACATGGGGTTAGGTTAGAGATTTGGTGCTGAAGGACTGGGCAAGGTGGCCCATGCCTGTAATCCCAGCATTTTGGGAAGCCAAGGCAGAAGGATCACTTGAATCCAGGAGTTTGAGACCAGCCTGGGCAACATAGCAAAACATCATCTTTACAAAAAAATTAAAAAAAAAAAAAAAAAAATTGGCCGAGCGCAGCCCACGCCTGTAATCTCAGCACTTCAGGAGGCCAAGGCAGGTGGATCATCTGAGGTCAGGAGTTTGAGACCAGCCTGGCCAATATGGTGAAACCCTGTCTCTACTAAAAATACAAAAATTAGTTGGGCATAATGGCGGATGCCTGTAATCCCAGCTACTCGGGAGGCTTTGGCAGGAGAAATGCTTGAACCCGGGAAGCGGAGTTTGCAGTAAGCCAAGACGGTGCCATTGCACTCCAGCCTGGGCGACAAGAGCAAAACTCCATCTCAAAAAAGAAAAAGAAAAAGAAATTAGCCAGGCATGCTACATTACTATGTACATGCTACAGGCATTAGTGCATGCCTGTAGTCCCAGGTACTCAGGAGGCAGAGGTGGGAGGATCATTTGATTCTGGGAAGTTGAGGCTACAGTGAGCCACGATTGTGTCACTGCACTCCAACCTGCGTGACAGAGCGAAACCCTGTCTAAAAAAAAAAAAAAAAAGAGATTTGGCATTGCGATGCAGTCACAGACCAGGGACAACGGCAAAAATTCCAGCCCTTTGGAAAAATTCGACATCTGATGTCAACTGGAGGCAGAGGCTGCTATCTTAGTGGTAGCGAGTGGGTTACAGAGTAAAGTGTAGTGTGCAGGGCCTAAATAAGAGGGTGAGGGCCATGGTGCAAAAGCCTTCCAGAAACCTCCATCCGCCCCTAGCTTCTCTCAGCCTAAACAAGGATAAAAGAGAATTCAAGTATTCAGACCCCACCCAGCCCATCCTTCTGAATAGACTCTGCAGTCCATTAAGTTGCTCTGCAGATTTCCAGAGGAGTTGAAGTTCGATCCTCCCCCAATTCTGCAACCCAAATCAGCCCCCTAGGGGTTTATGTAACTATTGTTTCTGGTTTTCATTCATATGCAAATGTTCAAAACCTGACCATCACAGAACTGCCCCCAGGGAGCAAACAAGCTTTAGATGCATCATAAAGGTGCTCATTTTCCTTCCAGCTTGAAAGTGCCTACAGGTTTCCAGAATCAGACAATTGGAGATTCAGGGATGCCTCTAGCAACTTGGCTTTAGAGGAGCTCAATGCCTCTAGCCCTGGGCCAATGCCTCCTCTGCTGTGCTCTCTGGGGCCTTCTCTGTCCTCTGCCCCTCTCCATCCCCTCGGCATTCAGAGCCCTCTTAAAGCAGTTGGGCCCAAATAAAGGAAGAACAATTGCAGTTCTTTCCTTCAAGGATAAGTGCTTATATAGGCAGTGATGTATGATGCATGGTTCAGGATTGGCTCTACAGATAGTGAGTTTCAGGCTGCAATAAGCCATGATTGCGCCACTGCACACCAGCCGGAGCCACAGAAGGAGACCCTGTCTCTAAACAAACAAAACAAAACAATTTGAGGTTTTCCCAGGTGGGCAGAGGCCAGGAATTTTGTCCAGGCTTTTGTCTGTCTATTTTGCCTGCCTGGGATGCCCTCCCTCATTTATCTTCCAGAAAGCCTTTCTAGGACCCCTGAGTCTGGGTTAGTTTTCCATGGTACTTGGAGAACACCCCAAAGATATCACCTACTGTATAGTAATGTAGTTCCTTGGGCATAGAACTGTTCCATTTTATTCATCTTGGAATTCGAGTGCCTTTCAAAAGTTCCAGGCACTCAGTAGGCCCTCATAAATGTTTTCTTTTTTTTGAGATGGAGTCTCGCTCTGTCACCACGCTGGAGTGCAGTGGCGCGATCTCAGCTCACTGCAACCTCCGACTCCCTCTGAAGCGATTCTCCTGCCTCAGCCTCCCGAGTAGCTGGGATTACAGGTGCCCGCCACCATGCCCGGCTAATTTTTCTATTTTTAGTAGAGACAGGGTTTCACCATGTTGGCCAGGATGGTCTCCATCTCCTGACATTGTGATCCGCCCACCTCGGCCTCCTGAAGTGCTGGGATTACAGGAGTGAGCCACCGCGCCCTGCCCTCTCTCTCTTTTTAATAGAGATGCGATCTCACTATGTTACCCAGGCTGGTCTCAAACTTCTGGGTTCATCGGATCCTCCCATCTTGGCCTCCCAAACTGCTGGGATTACAGGCCTGAGCCACTAGGCCTGGCCTCATTAATGTTTCCTGAATGAATGAGTGTAATGAGGGTGAGCTGAATCCAGAGGGTCAGCTGGCCTGGAGGGTAGGGGCAGGCAGGACAAGACTGCAGTGGAGGCCAGGACCAAAGCATGGAGGAGCTTATGAGCCATGCTAAGGAATTTGGCCTTGGGAAGGTAGGCCATTCAGGAAAATTAATCTGTTTTTTTTGTTTGTGTTTGTGTTTTTTTGAGATGGAGTCTCACTCTGTCGCCCAGGCTGGAGTGCAGTGGCGCGATCTCGGCTCACTGCAAGCTCTGCCTCCCGGGTTCACGCCATTCTCCTGCCTCAGCCTCCCTAGTAGCTGGGACTACAGGCGCCTGCCACCACGCCCAGCTAATTTTTTGTATTTTTAGTAGAGACGAGGTTTCACCATGTTAGCCAGGATGGCCTCAATCTCCTGACCTCGTGATCCGCCCGCCTCGGCCTCCCAAAGTGCTGGGATTACAGGCATGAGCCACCGCGCCTGGCCAAAAATTGCTCTGTTATATGATGAATGCATTGGTTGAGGTGAGGGGACTGCTAGAGTGAAGGTGTCTCACACAGGGTTTGACACACGCAAGAAATGGATGACTATTTCCTTATGAAGAGGCAGCTAGAAGGCTACTGAAGTTAGGCTGGGTGCGGTGGCTCACATCTGTGATCCCAGCACTTTGGGAGGCCAAGGTGGGCGGATCATCTGAGGTAAGGAGTTCGAGACCAGCCTGGCCAACACAGTGAAACCCCGTCTCTACTAAAAATACAAAAATTAGCCAGGTGTGGTGGTGCCTGTCTATAGTCCCAGCTTCTTGGGAGGCTGAGGCAGGAGAATCACTTGAACCTGGGAGGCAGAAGCTTGCAGAGGCTGCAGTGAGCTGAGATCACGCCACTGCACTCCAGCCTGGTGACAGAGCAAGACTCCGTCTCAAAAAAAAAGGCTACTGAAGTTATCCAGGTGAGAGTTGACTGGGCTGAAGCTAAACAGATGACTGCCTTTGAGGCAAGAAATATTATTTCACTGTTTCTGCGGGTCAGGATTCTGGACATGGTTTTGCTGGGTCCTTTGGCTCAAGGTCTCTCACAAGGAAGAAATTATGGTGTCAGCCAGGGACATAGTCATCTCAAGGCTCTACTAGGGGAAAGTCCACTTCCAAGCTTAGTCAGTAGTTGTTGGCAGGTCTCAGGGTCTCCCTGGCTGTTAGCCCAAGTCACCAATTCCTTGCCATGTGGCACCTCCACAGGGCTTCTGACAACATGTCAGCTGGCTTCCCCCAGAATGAAGGCAGAGAGAATGAGAGAATACAAGATGAAAATCACATATTCTTTTTGCATGCTAATCTTGGAAGTGCCATCCCATTACTCATGCCCTATTCTATTTGTTAGAAGCAAGTCACCTTGTTCAGCTGACACTTAAAGGAAGGGGAGGGAGTACACAAGGGCATGAATACCAGGAGGGTGAAATGTTGGGAGCTATCTTAGAGGCTCCTATGGCAACTCTCAAAAAGGAAGGGAAGGAGAAGCTGGGGAGAAAGAGAGAGAAATGTAAATACCGGCCAGGTGCAGTGGCTCACGCCTGTAATCCCAGCACTTTGGGAGGCTAAGGTAGGTGGATCACTTGAGGTCAGGAGTTTGAGACCAGCCTGGCCAATCTGGTGAAACCCTGTCTCTACTAAAAATAGAAAAAAAAAAATTAGCCAGGCCTGGTGGCAGGTGCCTGTAATCCCAGCTTTTTGGGAGTCTGAGGCAAGAGAATCTCTTGAACCTGGGAGGCAGAGGTTGCAGTGGGCCGAGATCACGCCATTGCACTCCAGCCTGGGTGACAGAGTGAGACTCCATCTCAAAAATAAAAATAAAAAAAAGAAAAGAAATGTAAATGCCTTCTCAATGCCATATTTAGGAAGAGCTTAGAGAAGGGCAGAAAGAAGGAATTAAGTAGGAGGCAAGGGCAGCCTGAAGGACTGGTGAAATGGCTTGATCTTCCATGTTTTTTCTTTTATTTTTCCATATGTTAGGCAGATATTTTTTCCACATGGAAAAAATTATTATAACTAAAGACTAAGAGAAATAATACAGTGAAAGTTCAGGAATCTACCATGCAGTAAAAAATTTAATAAATTCTCAATATGAAAAACATGCAAATAAGGCTGGGTGCGGTGGCTTATCCTTTTAATACCAGCACTTTGGGAGGCCAAGGCTCAAGGATCACTTGAGGTCAGGAGATCAAGAACAGCCTGGACAACATGGCAAAACCCCACCTCTACTAAAAATACAGAATTAGTGGGACATGGTGGTGCATGCCTGTAATCCCAGCTGCTTGGGAGGCTGAGGCAGGAGAATCACTTGAAACCAGGAGGCGGAGATTGGCGGTGAGCCGAGATCATGTCACTGCACTCCAGCCTGGCAACAGAGTGAGACTCCATCTCAAAAAAAGAAAGGGCCAGGAGCGGTGGTTCATACCTGCAATCCCAGCACTTTGAGAGGCCGAGCTGGGCGGATCACGAGGTCAGGAGATAGAGACCATCCTGACCAACATGGTGAAACCCCGTCTCTACTAAAAATACAAAAATTAGTTGGGTGTGATGGTGCACACCTGTAGTCCCAGCTACTCAGGAGGCTGAGGCAGGAGAATCGCTTGAAGCCAGGAGGCGGAGGTTGCAGTGAGCCAAGATCACACCGCTGCACTCCAGCCTGGTGACAGAGCAAGACCCCGTCTCAAAAAAAAAAAAAAAGAGAAAGAAAGAAAGAGGCCGGGCGTGGTGGCTCACGCCTGTAATCCCAGCACTTTGGGAGACAGAGGCGGGTGGATCAGGAGGTCAGGAGATCAAAACCATCCTGGCTAACATGGTGAAACCCCGACTCTACTAAAAATACAAAAAAAATAGCCGGGTGTGGTGGCAGGCACCTGTAGTCCCAGCTACTCGGGAGGCTGAGGCAGGAGAATGGCATGAACCTGGGAGGTGGAGCTTGCAGTGAGCCGAGATCACGCCACCGCACTCGAGCTTGGGCGACAGAGCGAGACTCCGTCTCAAAAAAAAGAAAGAAAGAAAGAAAGAAAAACATGCAAATATAATTTTAAGATGGATAAAATTGAAGGAGTCCAGCTAACAGTTGCCAGGAGAAACAATATCAGTGGAACAGATGGAAATTATCAATGACGTTATGCAGCAGGTAGCAAAGAAATTATCAATGATATTATGCAGCAGGTAGCAAAGAAAAGTTAACCTCTGGAGGCTGGGTACGGTGGCTCATGCCTGTAATCCCAGCACTTTGGGAGGGCGAGTTGGGTAGAACACTTGAAGCCAGGAAAAAAATTAGCTGGGTATGGTGGCACATGCCTGTAATTGCAGCTACTCAGCAGCCTGTAATTGCAGCTACTCAGGAGGCTGAGGCACGAGAATCACTTGAATCCAGGAGGCAGAGGTTGCAGTGAGATCACACCACTGCACTCCAGCCTGGGCAAGAGACCACGACTCTGTCTCAAAAAAAAAAAAAAAAAGTTAACCTCTGGAAAAAATGAAGCCTATAAGGAAATGATATAAACCATGGGGAAAAAACATTTTTTTTAAATTTCAGTAGTTTTTGAGGTACAGGCAGTTTTTGGTTCCATGGATAAGCTCTTTAGTGATGATTTCTGAGATTTTGGTGCCCTTGTCACCCGAGCAGTGTACCCTGTACCCAATGTGTAGTCTTTTATTCCTCACCACCCCACCCTTCCCTCTGAGTCCCCAAAGTCCATTATATAATTCTTATGCCTTTGTATCTTCATAGTTTAGCTCCCACTTATCAATGAGAATCTATGGTATTTGGTTTTCCATTCCTGAGTTACTTCACTTAGAATAATGACCTCCAGCTCCATCCAACTTGCTTCAAAGGCCATTATTTCATTTTGTTTTATGGCTGAGTAGTATTCCATGGTATTTATATATACCACATTTTCTTTATCCACTCGTTGGTTGATGGGCATTTAGGTTGGTTCCATAGTTTTGCAATTATGAATTGCGCTGCTATAAAGACACTTGTGTGTGCAAGTGTCTTTTTCATGTAATGGCTTCTTTTCTTCTGGGTAGATACCCAGCAGTGGGATTGCTGTCGAATGGTAGTTCTACTTTTAGTTCTTTAAGGAATATCCATACTGTTTTCCATAGTGGTTGTACTAATTTACTTTCCCATCAGCAATGTAAAAGTGTTCCCTGAGAAAAGCTTTTTAGTAGAGAAAAGTTGACTTTCCTGTATCAGTGTTAGGGTTAACAATTAAACAGGCTTAGGCTGGGTGCAGTGGCTCATGCCTGTAATCCCAGCACTTTGGGAGGCCGAGGCAGGCGGATCACCTGAGGTCAGGAGTTCGAGACCAGCCTGGCCAACATGGTGAAACCCTGTCTCTACTAAAAATACAAAAATTAGCCAGGAGTGGTGGCAGGCACCTAGCACCTGTAATCCAAGCTACTCGGGAGGCTCAGGCAGGAGAATTGCTTGAACCCAGGAGGCAGAGGTTGCAGTGAGCTGAGATCATGCCACTGCACTCCAGCATGGGCAACAGAACGAGACTCCATCTCAAACAAAAGAAAACAAACAAACAAACAAAACAAAAAATTAAACAGTCTCTAGACTCCCTAGAGTGTACTGAGGAACTACTTTCCATATACCCTGAGACCTGTGCATTGGTGAATTTCAAACCTTTGACCTGAACAAAAAGTAAGAAATACATTTCACACAGCAACTACTATGCACACACTCACACACACAAAATAAAAGTACAAATTTTATAAAAACAATACTTACCCTGATTATGTACTATGTACTCAAATTTTTATATTCTATGTCTCTTAAAAATATTTTATGTTAAGAACCATTAAATTTTTTGTAACATTTTATGAACTATTAAAAGGTTATGACATGCAGGTTGAAAATGCTGCTCTGGGCCAGGTACCATGGCTAGCACCTGTAATCCCAGCACTTTGGAAAGCCAAGGCAGGTGGATTGCTTGAGCTCAGGAGTTGGAGACCAACCTGGGCGACATGGCTAAACCCTGTCTCTACCAAAAAAGAAAAAAATCAGCTGGGTGTGGTGGCACTCACCTGTGGTCCCAGCTACTCAGGAGGCTAAGATGGGAAAGTCACTTGAGCCTAGGAGGCAGAGGCTGCAGTGAGCAGAGATCACAACACTGCTCTCCAGCCTGGGCAACAGAGACCTCGTTTCAAAAACAAAACAAGGGCCAGGCGCGGTGGCTCACACCTGTAATCCCAGCACTTTAGGAGGCCAAGGCAGGTAGATCACCTGAGATCAGGAGTTCAAGACTAGCCTGGCCAACATGGCGAAACCCCATCTCTGCTAAAAGTACAAAAATTAGACAGGCGTGGTGGTGGGCGCCTGTAATCCCAGTTACTCAGGAGGCTGAGGTGGGAGAATTGCTTGGACTTCGGAGGCAGAGGTTGCAATGAGCCAAGATCATGCCACCGCACTCCAGCCTGGGCGACAAGAGCAAGACTCCATCTCAAAAAACAACAACAACACGGCTGGGCGCAGTGGCTCATGCCTGTAATCCCAACACTTTGGGAGCCCGAGGCGGGCGGATCACGAGGTCAGGAGGTCGAGACCATCCTGGCTAACACGGTGAAACCGCATCTCTACTAAAAAATACAAAAAAATTAGCCGGGCATGGTGGTGGGCACCTGTAGTCCCAGCTACTCTGGAGGCTGAGGCAGGAGAATGACGTGAACCCAGGAGGCGGAGCTTGCAGTGAGCCGAGGTCGCACCACTGTACTCCAGCCTGGGCGACAGAGCGAGACTCCGTCTCAAAAAAATAAATAAATTAAAACAACAACAACACGAAACCAAAACAGAAACGCCCGTAAAACAAGGTTACATATTGACTAGTTGACAAAAATATGACCACAGGCTCAACAGAACCTAACCCTGCATTTCCCCCACAGGCAATGGTTCAATATTTGCTAATTCAGTGTTTATGGCAACTTTATAGAATATAACTACTGCAAGTAACAAGAATTTACAGATTAGTGTTTGTATCTAAAGCTATGACTTTTCTTCTGAGCTAGGCCTTAAATGTGTCTCAGAATTCTAATATGTAGACTGTGCCTACGTAAGCTATGATCTGTCAGCTCCAAACCCAGAATTACTTTCCCAGTACCTTGAATCCTATATGCCAGTGGATTTTTTTTTTTCAGACGGAATCTCGCTCTGTTGCCCAGGCCAACCTCTCTGCTTCAGCCTGCCAAGTAGCTGGGATTACAGGTGCCAGGCGCCTGCCACCACACCCAGCTAATTTTTTTTGTATTTTTAGTAGAGACAAAGTTTTACCATCTTGGCCAGGCTGGTCTTGAACTCCTGACCTTGTGAACCACCTGCCTTGGCCTCCCAAAGTGCTGGGATTACAGGTATGAGCCACCGCGCCCGGCCCATGCCAGTGGTTTTGAAACCTCCATGCTGGACTTTGAGATGGTGAGTCTAGAACTCTACAAACTACATTTATTCTTTGTCAGCCAGCTTCTGTTAGGGTCAGTTAGTAGGGGGCACTAGAGAAACATGTGAAGGAGGATGGGGGAGCAGGACCAGGCTCCTTCCTACTGCATGGTTCCTGTCAGAGTCTGTCATGGCATTGACATCTTATAAAAAACACAAGCCATCATAAGAATGCTTTTCGGCTGGGCACGGTGGCTCATGCCTGTAATCCCAGCACTTTGGAAGGCCGAGGCGGGCAGATCACTTGAGGTCAGGAGTTCAAGACTAGCTTGGTGAACATGGTGAAACCCGTCTCTACTAAAAATAGAAAAAAGTAGCTGGGTGTGGTGATGCGCACCTGTAATCCCAGCCACTTGGGAAGCTGAGGCAGGAGGATATCTTGAACCCAGGAGGCAGAGGTTGCAGTGAGCTGAGATAGTGTCATCCATTGCACTCCAGCCTGGCAATAGAGTGAGACTCCATCTCAAAAAAAAAAAAAAAAAAAAAAAGGACCAGGCACAGTGGCTCATGCCTGTACGCCTGTAATGCCAGCACTTTGGGAGGTTGACATGGGGAATTCAAGACCAGCCTGACCAACATGCCAACATGGCAAGACCCGGTCTCTACTAAAAATACAAAATTAGCTGAGCGTGGTGGTGCGTGCCTGTAATCCCAGCTACTCAGGAGGCTGAGGCAGGAGAATCGCTTGAACCTAGGAGGCAGAGGTTCTGGTGAGCAAAGATCGCGCCATTGCATTCCAGTTTGGGTAACAAGAGCGAAATTCTGTCTTAAAAATAATAATAATAAATAATAAATAACAATAATTATGGAATTGGCCAGGCACAGTGGCTTACGTTTGCAGTCCTACCACTTTAGAAGGCCAAGGCAGGAGGATCACTTGAGCCCAGGAGTTCGAGACCAGCTTGGGCAACATAGTGAGACCCCGTCTCTAAAAGAAAAGAAAAGAACAGAACAGAACAGAACAGAACTAAAAGGACTAAAATAATTATGGAGTTGTATCATACACCCTAATAGCTGGACATTTAGGTTCACTGCAGCCTCTGCCTCCCAGGTTCAAGCAATTCTCCTCCCTTAGCCTCCTGAGTACCTGGGATTACAGGCATGCGCCATCATGCCTGGCTAATTTTTGTATTTTTAGTAGAGATGGGGTTTCACCACGTTGGTCAGGCTAGTCTTGAACTCCTAACCTCAAGTGATCCACCCACCTTGGCCTCCCAAAGTGCTAGGATTATAGGCGTGAGCCACCACGCCTCGCCTATTTATTTTTATTTGTATAAAAGTAAGGAGTACAAGTGCAGTTTTGATACGTGGATATATTGCATAGTGGTGAAATCTGGGCTTTTAGTATAACTATCAACCAAATAGTGTGGGTTGATTGACCAACCTGGCCAATATAGTGTACATTGTACCCATTAAGTAATTTCTCAACATTTAGACATTTAATGCTGTCTTTATAATAACTGTGAATAGCAGAAAAATCAAGAGAAAATTCAAAACCAAACAGTAAAATGTACAAAAGATAAGCATTAAGAAATTTCTAGACACTTTCATGGTCTCAAAATATCTTTTGTTTTGTTTTGTTTTGTTTTGTTTTTTGTTTTTGAGACCGAGTCTCACTCTATTGCCCAGGCTGGAGTGCAGTAGTGCAATCTCGACTCACTGCAATCTCTGCCTTCTGGATTCAAGCAATTCTCATGCCTCAGCCTCCCAAGTAGCTGGAATTATAGGTGCCCACCATTATGCCCAGCTAATTTTTGAATTTTTGGTAGAGACGGGGTTTTGCCATGTTGGCCAGGCTGGTCTTGAACTCCTGATCTCAAATGATCTGCCCGCCTTGGCCTCCCAAAGTGCTAGGATTACAGGCTTGAGCCACTGCGCCTGGCCTGGTCTCAAAATATCTTGCCATTGATTGCTTATTAATTGCACACAGAAATAAAAAATAAAAATAAAATAAAACTAATTGTATGGCGCAAAATAGTGGAGAAACTGGACAACATCTTGTCTATGTATCCAAAATTAACATCGCCAGCTGGGTGTGGTGGCTCACATCTGTAATCCCAGCACTTTGGGAGCCAAGAGGCAGGTGGATCACTTGAGGCCAGGAGTTCAAGAACAGCCTGGCCAACATGGCAAAAACAGGCATGGTGGCTCATGCCTGTAATCCTAGCACTTTGGGAGGCCAAGGTAGGAGGAATGCTTGAGGCCAAGAGTTCAAGACCAACTTGGTCAATATAGTGAGACCCCATCTCTAATAATCTTAAAAAAAATTTTAATTAAAAATAAAAAATGAAGACATACATCATATTATTAAAGTAAAGAAACTATCTGTGGCTGGGTGCGGTGGCTCATGCCTGTAATCTCAGCAACTTTGGGAGGCTGAGGTGGGCAAATCCCTTGAGTCCAGGAGTTCAAGACCAGCCTGGGCAACATGGCAAAATGCTGTCTCTATTAAAAAACAAAACAAGACTATTTGTTATGCTTATTTTGTTATGTTTTTAAATTCTCAATCCTTTTAATTTAAAAAAATCTGTTAAATTTTTAATATAGTTGAATGGTATCAAACTCAAAAGCTGCAAAGAACATACAAAGAGTTTCCCTCTCACCCCTATAATCCAGCTACCCAGTTCTCCTCTGGAAATAACTGATGTTACAATTTTCTCTATGTCCTTTTAGAGACAGTTTATACATTATCTTAGTTCATATGGGTGCTATAACAAAATATTATAGCCCATGGACTTATAAACAACAGAAATTTATTTCTCACAGTCCTGGGAGCTTGGAAACCTAAAATCTAGGTTCAGCAGATTAGGTGTTTTCTCATTTGTTTGTTTGGTTTGTTTGAGACAAGGTCTCACTCTGTTGCCCAGGCTGGAGTGCACTGGCAGGATCGTGGTTCACTCCAGCCTCAAACTCCTGGGCTCAAAGTATCCTCCTACCTCAGCCTCCCAAGTAGCTGGGACTACAGGCACATACCACTACAACCAGTTACTTATTTTTTATTTTTTGTTTTTTTTGTAGAGACAAGGTCTCACCATGTTGTCCAGGCTGGTCTTGAACTCCTGGCCTCAATCAATCCTTTTGCCTCGGCCTCCCAAAGTGCTGGGATTACAGGTGTGTGCTACCAGCACCTGGCCCAGATTAGGTGTTTGATGAGAACCCACTTCCTGGTTCATAGCCAGCCATCTTGCTGTGTCCTCACATGGCTGAAAGCAGTAAAAAATCTCTCTGGGGCCACTTTTATAAGGGCATTGATCCCATTATGAGGGCTCCACCCTCATGACTTAATCACCACCCAGAAGCCCTACCTCCAAATACCATTACATTGGGGATTAGGTTTCAATATATGAATTTGGAGAAGGGGGTTGGGGGAGACACAAACATTCAGACCACAACACGTATATAAAGCAAAAACATATATATTCTCTCCACTCCCCTTTCTCTACTGTTACTTTTGTGTATATTTTCCACACTGTTCTGCATTTGCCTTTTTTCACTTAACAATTTAACAATACAACCTGGAGATCATTAAATATCAGTACATTAAGTGTCAGCTTTTTTTTTTTTTTTTTTTTTTTCCAGATGGAGTCTTGCTCTGTCACCGAGGCTGGAGTGCAATGGCGCAATCTCAGCTCACTGCAACCTCCGCCTCCTGAGTTCAAACGATTCTCCTGCCTCAGCCTCCTGAGTAGTTGGGATTACACCACCATGCCCGGCTAATTTTTGAATTTTTAGTAGAGAGGGCATTTCGCCATGTTGGTCAGGCTGGTCTCGAACTCCTGACCTCAGGTGATCCACCCACCTTGGCCTCCCAAAGTGCTGGGATTACAGGCATGAGCCACCGTGCCCAGTCAATATAAAATTCTTAGAGTTCAAAAAACTTACCTTATAGATGACATTGAAATTTCAGTTTAATTCTTGTACAAGTATTGTAAATATTGTTGTTTCTAACACTCCAAAGTCTTGCTATTTGGCTTAATTTTTTATTTAAATAATGTACATATTTCCAGCTGCACTATAAACTACAGAGAGCAAAACTCAGGAAGGTGGCAAATAGTTCAGCTGTTTTACAGACCTGAGCCCTGGCAGAAGAGAAGAGGAAAAGGGGCTCTCCGCTGGACCGCTCCCACAGGCTCTTACTGTCCTTGAGGCATTTTCCTTGCCCAAATAAGAAGGAAAATTATTTTCCAGTCTTAAATCAAGTGCCAAAATTATTCTTGGAATTGCTCCCTTCATCTGTCCGTTTCAGTTTTTTCCCCATGGAGGTGTGGTCAGGGCAGCCAGAACTTCACCGTCAGAATCAGGATTGGAACTTAATTGCTCCCACAGACAGCTGGTTTGGAAAAACTCCTTGCAAGGCAATTTTGATAAGGGATGAGAAAGATCAGAAAGCTGATACGTGTTGGATCTGAAGCTCTAACCATACACCTGACTTGAGTCTTTCTACAGGGCTAGTGGCTAACAGAGATACAAAGGAATTAATCATCTTCGGGGATTTTTAGGAAAGAAAAGACAGAGGAGCTGAGTTCCACAAATTGTTAATGTTAGTCTCTAGCTCATTTCCCAAGTTCTTCATTTTCACTCTCCTGCTTAGTCCAGTCTAGTCAAGAGCGTGGGCTTTGGAGTCAGATGAACCTTAGCCACATCCATGTTTGTCCCTTGTTGGCTGTGGGATCACAAGTAAATTAGCCTCCTAGAGATAGGGTCTCCACCAATAAGACCGGGAGCATGCTCTCCTCCTCTACCTTCCTGTCAGTGTTGAAGTGAGGATTAAAGAAAATCAACTATGGGCACGGTGTCTTGCATGGTCCTGACAAATAAGGCTCAGTAAATGTTAGTTCATTTCATATTATCACCTTTCTACCCCTCTGACCAATGGCCTAAAACTCATTCTTCTGGAGTTTATGGTCTTGACCAGTATTAAGTTAGAAAAGAAGCATTATGGTAAGGCAATCTAAGTGGGACCACTGGCTTCACCTGTACCTAAACTAGAATTTGGAATTTTTCTAAAAATCCATTCCTTTCAATGTGGTAAGATTTTCAAACCCTCTGAAATGTATTTTGCAGTGTCAACAGCCCCTCTGTGAGAAAAATCCATACCTCTGGGGGCAACTCTAACAGGTTTTGTAATCAAGTCAAAACTGCAGCTTATATTGAAACATTTCACAATCTTGTAAAGCAATTTAGATACAAATAGATGTTTTACAAAATCAGGTTCAAGTTTCTCTTTTCTTTCCTCTCCCTAGAGAATATAAAAGGCAGCTCTCAAAAAATAGGAACTGGTTTTATCATAGAGACTTTAGAAATTATCTGAAACAAATGGTTTTGAGATGTTATACAGTACAAATATACAGTAGTGATTTACTTTAATTCAAATTATTTATTTATAGAAACCTAACAGGGACCAATTTAACCATAGTGGCAGACATTGGCTAGCTATTCACCAAATCTGTTTTTCTTCTGGGCACGCAGCTAGACTGTATTTCTCAACTTCACTTGAACTTAGGATGTGCCAAGTAGAATGTGGTCAAAAATGATATACAGCCAGGCGTGGTGGCTCATGCCTGTAATCCCAGTACTTTGGTAGGCCAAGGCAGGAGAATTGCTGGAACCCAGGAGTTCAAGACTAACATGGGCAACATAGCAAGACCTTGTCTCTATAGCAATTACAAAAATTAGCTGGGCATGGTGGCTGGCAGGCGCCTGTAGTCCCAGCAACTCAGGAAGCTGAGATAGGAGGATCACTTGAGCCCAGGAGGTTGTGGCTGCAATGAGTGAGCTGTGATCACACCACTGCATTCCATCCTGTGCGACAGAGTGGGGGTGGGGGGAAGTTTTATATATATATATATATATACATGAAATCACTTCCAGACCTGGCCCATTAGAACTGCATGCCATTTAACCTTCCTGGATGAAAGGAAGAAACATGACTCCCTGGACAATCTTGGGAGCTACTTTTTTTTTTTTTTTTGAGACGGAGTCTCGCTCTGTTGCCCAGGCTGGAGTGCAGTGGCGCGATCTCGGCTCACTGCATGAGCTTCAGCTCACCTTACAATGGGTAACACAGGCAACAGACAAATAAATAATAAGATTTCAAGCACTGATTATTACAGCTGTCCCTCGGTATCCATGAAGGATTGGTTCCAGGACCCCCCCATGGATAAGAAAATCCAAAGATGCTCAAGATCCTTATATGAAATGGCATAGTACTTGTATATAACCTACACACATCCTCCTGCATACTTTTTTTCTTAATAAAAAAAAGTTTGAGTTTTTCTTTGACACACGGTCTCACCATGTCACCCAGGCTGCAGTGAAATGGCATAAACACAGCTCACTACAGCCTTAAATCCCTGGGCTTAAACACCTGCCTCAGCCTCCCAAGAAGCCAGGACTACAGGCATGTGACACCATGCAGGGTTATTTTTGTTTTTATTTTTTTATAGAGACAAGGTATTGCGATGATCCCCAGGCTGGTCTCAAACTCCTGGCCTCAAGTGATCCTCCAACTTCAGCCTCCCAAGACAGGCATAAGCCAGTCTGCCCAACCCTCTTGTGTGCTTTAAATGATCTCTAGTGTACTTATAATACCTAATACAATGTAAATGCATATAAGTAGTGTTTTTGTTTGTTTGCTTTGTTTTGTTTTGTTTTTGAGACAGAGTCATGCTCTATTGCCCAGGCTGGAGTGCAGTGACCTGATTTCGGCTCACTGCAACCTCTGCCTCCCAGGTTCAAGTGATTCTCCTGCCTCAGCCTCCTGAGTAGCTGGGACTACAGGCGCCCACCACTACACCCAGCTAATTTTTCTATTTTTAGTAGAGACAGGGTTTCACCACGTTGGCCAGGCTGGTCTTGAACTCCTGACCTCAGGTGATCTGCCCGCCTCAGCCTCCCAAACTGCTGGGATTACAGGAGTGAGCCACCGTGCCCGGCCAGTTTTTTTTTTGTTTGTTTTTTGTTTTGAGACAGAGCGTGGTTCTGTCAACAGGCTTCAGTGCGGTACCGCAACATCTGCCTCCCAGGTTCAAGCAGTTCTCTGCCTCCTGAGTAGCTGGGATTACAGGTGCCTGCCACCATGCCCAGCTAATCTTTGTATTTTTAGTAGAGACAGGGTTTCACCATCTTAGCCGGCTGGTCTTGAG
This sequence comes from Homo sapiens, assembly GCF_000001405.40. Classification (NCBI taxonomy): domain Eukaryota; kingdom Metazoa; phylum Chordata; class Mammalia; order Primates; family Hominidae; genus Homo; species Homo sapiens. The sequence goes on from NC_000004.12 coordinate 56,859,803, forward strand.
CTCCTAACCTCATGATCCACCACCTCGGCCTCCCAAAGTGCTGGGATTACAGGCGTGAACCACTACGCCTAGCTATATAAGTAGTTTTTATACTCTCTTGTTAGACAATATGACAAAGGGAAAAAAGGCCTATACATATTCAGTCTGTACAGCAGCAGTCACCTATTTTGTCTCGTTGAATATTTTCGATCCATGGTTGGTTGAATCCACAGATGTCACACTCACAGATATGAAACCCACAGATAGAGAGGGCTTACTGTACTTAGATGGAAAGTAAAGAAGAATAAAAGGAGTTAGAGAGAGGCCGGAAGGATCTTTTAGAAAAGGTGGTTGGGAAAGAGCTTTCTGTGCTGGTAGCATCTGACCAGAGACCTGAATGATACAAAGAAGCTAATCATACCAAGATCAGAAGGGACAATGAACTCTTAACAATTGTTCCTCTGAAACAAGTTATTTGTAGAAGGAAAACAAAGGTAACGACAGTATAAAAAAGAAAAGAAAACTAGGCCAGGTGCGGTAGCTCACGCCTGTAATCCCAGCACTTTGGGAGGCTGAGGGGGGCAGATCACTTGAGGCCAGGAGTTCAAGACCAGCCTGGCTAACATGGCTAAATCCCACATCTCTACTGAAAATACAAAAATTAGGCCAGGCGCGGTGGCTCACGCCTGTAATCCCAGAACTTTGGGAGGCCAAGGCAGACAGATCACCTGAGGTCGGCAGTTCGGGACCAGCCTGACCAACATGGAGAAACCCCGTCTCTACTAAAAATCCAAAATTAGCTGGGTGTAGTGGCACATGCCTGTAATCCCAGCTACTTGGGAGGCTGAAGCAGGAGAATCGCTTGAATCGGGGAGGTGGAGATTGCAGTGAGCTGAGATTGCACCACTGCACTCTAGCCTGGGCAACAGAGCGAGACCTGGTCTCAAAAAAAAAAAAAAAATTGCAGGGCGTGGTGGCACACACCTGTAGTCCCAGCTGTTCAGGAGGCTGAGGTAGAAGAATTGCTTGAACCCAAGAAGCGGAGGTTGCAGTGAGCTGAGATTGTGCCACTGCACTCCAGCCTGGGCAACAGAATGAGACCCTGTCTCAAAAAAAAAAAAAAAAAAAAAAGACTGAAATGAATCAACTTAGATAAAGATTAGTCAAAGAGAAAGATGAAACCCAAACCCCAGTCTTATAGATTCCTGACCTGACTTTGCCCTTGTCTAAAAATCTGCAGCCTGGTGGATAAAGCTCTTTCTTCCATTTTTGGCTTTGTATCCCTATTTCCAGTCTTTCAAGTTGAAATTTGCCCATTTATTCAGGCAACTCAATAAATATAGTAATATGTCAGGCTCTATCGCTAGACATTCGTAAACTCTATCTACATAAACTGAACTTTAGGAACTCCAGCAGGTTATTTAAAATCTCCAGTCCCTAATTTCCTCATCCCTAAAACAGAGACAGCACTAGTAACTAAGTTACTTTAGAGGTTTGTTCTGATGATCAGATGAGATAGTTCACCTAAAATGCTAGTACAGAGTAAGCACTGAAGAAATATTTTCATGAAGTCTAAATTAACCTGCTGGACACCATTCAGAGCACAAGTCTATCAAGTACCTGACTCTATGTTCTTAAGAACCCAAGATACTTCTGCCTTCTTTTGGGCCAGACTTCAATTCATTCAGACTTGAAGAGAAAGAAGAGTCTTCCCCATTAGCTTTGCAGGTGGTGGCAGTGAGCCAATAGCCTCTGGTATGCAGAAGGCTTTGTGTCAGTGATGCATATTCACGAGTAGCTGACCTGAGAGAGCAATCTGGCTCTCTGAGCAAGGTCACTTCTGAGCTGCTGTCCTGTACAACTCCACAGGGCACCATGCACATAGAACTGAACTGTAATCTGTTTGTGCATTGGGAAATCAAGTCATGGCTTATGGCTAGGATCTTTTTTTTTTTGAGATGGAGTTTTGCTCTTGTTACACAGGCTGGAGTACAATGGTGCGATCTCGGCTTACGGCAACTTCGGCCTCCCAGGTTCAAGCGATTCTCCTGCCTCAGCCTCCCGAGTAGCTGGGATTACAGGCATGTGCCACCACACCCAGCTAATTTTGTATTTTTAGTAGAGATGGGGGTCTCTCCATGTTAGTCAGGCTGGTCTCGAACTCCCGATCTCAGGTGATCCACCCGCCTTGGCCTCCCAAAGTGCTGGGATTACAGGTGTGAGACACCACACCCAGCCCAAAATTCTTAAAAGAAGCTAGCCATGGCTGGGTGCGGTGGCTCATGCCTGTAATCCTGGCACTTTGGGAGGCCAAGGTGGGCGGATCACCTGAGGTCGGGAGTTCGAGACCAGCCTGACTAACATGGAGAGACCCCCCATCTCTACTAAAAATACAAAATTAGCTGGGTGTGGTGGCTCATGCCTGTAATCCCAGCTACTAGGGAGGCTGAGGCAGGAGAATCGCTTGAACCCAGGAGGTGGAGGTGGCGGTGAGCTGAGATTGCCCCATTGCACTCCAGCCTGGGTGACAGAGTGAGATCCTGTCTCAAAAAAAAAAAAGAAAGAAAGAAAGAAAAAAAGAAAAGGGCCAGGCGCAGTGGTTCACGCCTGTAATCCCAGCACTTTGGGAGACCGAAGTGGGTGGATCACCTGAGGTCAGGAGTTCGAGACCAGCCTGGCCAACATGGTGAAACCCCATCTTTACTAAAAATACAAAAAGTTAGCCGGGCGTGGTGGCGCACTACTGTAGTTCCAGCTACTCGGGAGCTGAGGAAGGAGAATCGCTTGAACCTGGGAGGCAGAGGTTGCAGTGAGCCAAGATCAAGTCATTGTACTTCATTCAGCCTGAGCAACAAGAGTGAAACTCCATCTAAAAAAAAAAAGAAAAAGAAAAAGAAAAGAAAAAAGAAGATATCAAGGTACATCATATATAACAAGAATAGATATTTTTTACCTGAAACAGTTATATAAGTTTATACATATATACATACACACACCACGCACACATAATTTTACATATATATATATGTTTTATATATATTAATTTTAGGGTTTGTTGTTGTTGTTGTTGTTGTTGTTGTTTGAGATGGAGTCTTGCTCTGTCACCAGGCTGGAGTGCAGCGGCAGGATCTCAGCTCACTGCAACCTCTGCCTCCCGGGGTCAAGCAATTCTCCTGCCTCAGCCTCCGGAGTAGCTGGGACTAGAGACGCACGCCACCATGCCTAGCTAATTTTTGTACTTTTAGTAGAGACGAGGTTTCACCATGTTGGCCAGGATGGTCTCGATCTCCTGACCTTGTGATCTGCCCGCCTTGGCCTCCCAAAGTGCTGGGATTACAGGCATGAGCCACCACACCCTGCCTAGTGTTAGTTTTATATATTGCAGATTGCAGAAGATGCTGTGATGTACTACCCAGAGTCTGTCCTTCAGGACTAAGGCACACAGTCCCCAGCTCCCATGAATGCTGCCTGCTGACTACTCAGAATTCAATCCCTCCCCAGGAGCTGCCCATGGTCTGAGAGAGTTGAGTAAACCCAGGATCAGGACCCCTTCCCAGGGAAAGCCCACATCCAGTGACTGGCCAATTTGAAAGGTAGGTACAAAGGCCCAGCCCTCCCAGAGTGACCAACTTGTCCTGGTTTGCCTGGGACTTTCCTGGCTTTAAAACAGAAAGTCCCATGTCCTGAAAACCCAGGGCAAACTAGATAAACTGGGATGATTGGCCACCCTACTCTTGCCTCAATTTGGGACACCACTGATGACCCACCTTCAGAACTCTCTCTGGGATCAATTGAGGCTCCCCCTGGGTTGTAAGAGCATCACAGTTCAACCTCTCCCTCTGCCCAGTCCTGCATCCCTTGCTCTCTGACAGGTGCTGCTCCTAGGGTGCTCCCCAGTGAACAGGCTGCATGTAACTCCCCAGCCCAGATCTGCTTCCAAGGGAACCTAGCCTGCTAGTATAGCGAGTCCTAATAATCAAATGCATTTCTTGCTGGGAACCAAGGTCAAAAAGATTTGGAAGCCACTTCTACAGTAGATACTACCAGTTTGTAGTATTTACATAGCACACCTCTTTTCCATTAATAATAGCATCCTGCTTCTTTTGGGGAAGTAGTACTACTCTGACTCAAGTCAGGGGTTCTTGTGGGCACCTCTAACTTCCAACTATCACCACAAGGCCTGTGACTCAATCTAGACCAATCAGAATAATTTCCTGGAATTTTTCTATTCATACTTAAAGAAAAAGACTCCTGGCTGGGCGTGATGGCTCATGCCTGTAATCCCAGCACTTTCGGAAGCCGAGGCGGGCGGATCACCTGAGGTCAGGAGTTCGAAACCAGCCTGGCCAACATGGCAAAACCCCGTCTCTACCAAATATACAAAAATTAGCCAGGTGTGGTGGCGGGCGCCTGTAATCCCAGCTACTCAGGAGACTGAGACAGGAGAATCGCTTGAACCCAGGAGACTGCGGTGAGCCAAGACTGCACCATTGCACTCCAGCCTGGGCAACAAGAGAGAGACTCCTCAAAAAAAAAGAAAAAAAAAAAAGAAAAAGAAAAAGACTCCTTTCCTGGGGCCTCCCAGAGGCCATGTAGCCCATACACAGGCAGAGTAGTGGGGAAAATTAAGATAAACAGATTCCTGCGACATCACAGTGGGATTTCAGGCAGTCCTGGGACCCACTTGCACCTCTACTCTTCCTTGTTTCTCCTCCAGGTGGGCTTCTGCCATCTGCGGCCAAAAGGATCCTGACTGGTGGCACAGACTTTTAAGAAAAGCAGCTATACTGCTGCTTATACCTAATTTTTTTTTCTTTGTTACATTTATCTGTCTTCACTTCTTTTGCCTTCTTTCCTCTACTTAAGTACTTTCCTCTTTTGAACCACTTTTTTTTTTTTTGAGACAGAGTCTTGCTCTGTCGCCCAGGCTGGAGTGCAGTGGTGCGATCTCGGCTCACTGCAAGCTCCGCCTCCTGGGTTCACACCATTCTCCTGCCTCAGCCTCCCGAGTAGCTGGGACTACAGGCGCCTGCCACCGCGCCCAGCTAATTTTTTGTATTTTTAGTAGAGATGGGGTTTCACCGTGGTCTCCATCTCCTGACCTCGTGATCCGCCTGCCTCGGCCTCCCAAAGTACTGGGATTAAAGGCGTGAGCCACTGCGCCCGGCCTGAACCACTTTTTTAAGACCTGTTCAAATGTCTCCTGCTCAGTGAAGTCAAACTTTCCTGCCACTCCCAGACAGGTGCATAGTTAGATCCATGGACAAACGTTCATGAGATCTTGCTACTATGATGCTTATGGCTGCTGCTGTGCTAGCACAAGGCCAAAGATGGAGCAGTGCACAGCCCAGACCTCCAGGAGCTTTAGTGTTGTAGTGGAGCAGGCTGGCTCCTAAACAGATAATTACCATTTGAGGTGGTAAGTGCACTGACAGAGATGTTAGAGACCCACACCTAGGAGAGGGAAGTGTGAGGTAGCAACATGTTTGTCAATAATCTATTAGCCCCCCCTTTTTTTTTGAGACAAAGTCTTGCTCTGTCACCCAGGCTGGAGTGCAGTGGCATGATTTCAGCTCACTGCAACCTCCGTCGCCCAGATTCAAGTGATTCTTGTGCCTCAGCCTCCCGAGTAGCTGGGATTACAGGTGCGTGCCACCACGCTGGGCTAATTTTTGTATTTTTAGTAGAGACGAAGTTTTGCCATGTTGGCCAGGCTGGTCTTGAACTCCCAACCTCAGGTGATCTACCCTCCTCAGTCTCCCACAGCGCTGGGATTGTACAGACTTGAGCCACTGTGTTCGGCCTTTTAACTCCTTTTCTGTAGTGCGGGTACATAATTGCTTCTTCCTTTTTATTTCCTCTGCACCTTTGTATTTCTTTAGCATTTATTTCATTCTATTTTACCTTAATGGTTTTCTTGAGGAACGACTTCATGGGTATGTGTATTAGTCAGTTGTAGCATTACTAGGAAGGAATGCCTGAGACTGCGTAATTTAAGAAAAGAGGTTTAATTGGCTCACGGTTCTGCAGGCTTTACAGGAAGCATGGTGCTGACATCAGCTTCTGGCAAGGCCTCAAGAAGCTTCCAATCATGGTGCAAGGTGATGGGGAGCCAGCATGTCACATGGCCAGAGTGGGAGCAAAAAAGAGGGTGAGGCAGGTCCCACACTCCTCAACAACAAGATCACACGTGAACTCACTGAAGGAGAACTCACTCATCATCAAGAGAATAGTGTTAAGTCATTCATGAGGGATCCACCCAGTGATCCAGTCACCTCCCACCAGGCCCCACCTCCAACATTGGAAATCACATTTCAACATGAGATTTGGAGGCAACAAATATCCAAACCACATCAGTATGCAACATGTATAGCCACATGGGGCCCCACAGTTAGAAGCACCCTGTGCTAGATATAATGTTCTGCTGTCACTGTCTTGAAATTCTCCTTTAAAAAAAATTTAACAAGGGGCTCACATTTTCATTTTATATTGGCCTTGGCTTTCAGATTTATCTGTCCCAGAATTACAAAGGCAGAGACCCAGGGCTAAGAACCTGTCATGGACACCTTTGGATTCCTCATGGCACCTTGAGAATGCCCACAGTACATGTTTTTAACATGAAGGAGCTGGGTGCCATGGCTCACACCTGTAATCCCAGCACTTTGGGAGGCCAAGGCAGGCAGATCACCTGAGGTCAGCAGTTTGAGACCAGCCTGGCCAAGATAGTGAAACCCGATCTCTACTAAAAATACAAAAATTAGCCGGGCATGGTGGTGGGAGCCTATAGTCCCAACCTAGGAGGCTGAGGCAGGAGAATCATTTGAACCTGGGAGGCAGAGGTTACAGTGAGCTGAGATCACACCACGCTACTCCAGCCTGGGCAACAGTGAGACTCCACCCCAGAAACAAACCAAACCAACAACAACAACAAAACATGAAGGGAAAACTCCTTATCTCTGAAGGGCTTTTTTTCTTATTGTTTGTTTTTGTTTTCCGAAGCCATATACAGATCTCTTTAGTGATGATCGACAAACACGGAAGCCTCCAGAATTTTTTTTTTTTTTTTTTGATATGGAGTCTCGCTCTGTCGTCCAGGCTGGAATGCGGTGGCGCGATCTCAGCTCACTGCAACCTCCCCCTCCCAAGTTCAAGCAATTCTTCTGTCTCAGCCTCCTGAGGATTACACCACCACGCCCCGCTAATTTTTGTATTTTTAGTAGAGATGGGGTTTCACCATGTTGGCCAGGCTGGTCTCGAACTCCTGATCTCATGATCCGCCCGCCTCTGCCTCCCAAAGTGCTGGGATTAAAGGCATGAATTACCATGCCCAGCCCTTCAGAATTATTATGTTGGAGTCCCATTTTCCCTCTGATCTTTGCATGTTACTTTGAGCTTTACTTATTCCAAGCAAGAAACAAAGGAAGAATATTGTTTTCTGTTTCTCGTTTAGAGAGATCTATAAACATTCTCAAGAAGCAACAATTTCGGCCACTTGAAGCTTGTGAGCTCAATGTATCAACAATAGCTGTACTCAAAGAAGAATTGTGAGCCATGCACAAAGAAGTGTATATTTTCAGGCAAGCAGTAGGAGCTAGTGAATATATGATGGAGCATAAAACTATGATATTTTACATTTTTTGTCTGTCCAATTTTAGTCGCTGATTCTTCTGGATACTTTCAGGTGTTCAAAGTTCCTTGAATTTCAGTCATGGTAAGATTTACCATGACTTCTTGAAAAGAACATAAAAGATTTCAGATTGTTCTGGTTAACTTTATTAGAATGCCTTATTTTATTTTATTTTTGGAGACAGGGTCTCACTCTGTCACACAGGCTAGAATGCAGTGGCACAATCATAGCTCTTTGCAGGCTTGAATTTCTGGTCTCAAGGGATTCTCCCACCTCAATCTCCCAAGTAGCTAGGACTACAGGAATGTGCCACCACGCCCAGCTAATTAAAAAAAAATTTTATAGAGATGGGGACTCACTATGTTGCCGAGGCTGGTCGCCAATTCCAGGGCTCAAGCAATCCTCCCACCGCAGCCTCACAAAGTGGTGGGATTATAGGTGTGAGCCACCATGCCCAGCAGAATAGCTTATTTTCAGTCAAATTCTCAACATTTCCAAATTTATATTTGGAGGTAGTTCAGGCCTTTCTTTAAGTTATGCCCCCAAAATGTTAAAGAAATTTTCCCCAAAATGTTTACATTACTTCCTAAAGTGTTATAAATTGTTACGAATGTATCTTTTAGGCCGGGTACAGTGGCTCACACCTGTAATCCCAGCACTTTGGGAGGCAAAGGCTGGCAGATCACTTGAGTTTGGGAGTTCGAGACCAGCCTGACCAACATGGTGAAACCCTGTCTCTACTAAAAACACAAAAATTAGCCGGGCACGGTGGCATGTGCCTGTAATCCCAGCTACTTGGGAGGCTGAGGCAGGAGAATCGCTTGAACTCAGGAGGCGGAGGTTGCAGTGAGCCGACACAGTGCCACTGCACTCCGGCCTGGGCGAAAGAGTGAGACTCGTCTCAAAAAACAAACAAACAAACCAGCAAACAAACAAACATTTAATAAAATAGTAGCTACATCTTGGCTGGATGTGGTGGCTCACACCTGTAATCCCAGCACTCTGGGAGGCCAAGGCGGGTGGATCACGAGGCCAGGAGATTGAGACCATCCTGGCTAACACGGTGAAACCCCATCTCTACTAAAAATACAAAAAATTAGCTGGGCTTGGTGGCGGGTGCCTGTAGTCCCAGCTACTCAGAAGGCTGAGGCAGGAGAATGGCGTAAGCCCGGGAGGCCGAGCTTACAGTGAGCCGAGATCGCACCACTGCACTCTAGCCTGGGCAACAGAGCGAGACTCTGTCTCAAAAAAAAAAAAAAAAAAAAAAAAAGCTACATTTTAACATTTAAAGTAAAAGATTTTTGGGTGGGTGCAATGACTCACACCTGTAATCTCAGCACTTTGGGAGGCGGAGGCGGGTGGATCACTTGAGGTCAGAAGTTCCAGACCAGCCTGGATAATATAGTGAAACCCCATCTCTACTAAAAATACAAAAAATTAGCTTGGCATAGTCCCAGCTACTCAGGAGGCTGAGGCAGGAGAATCGCTTTAAACTGGGAGGCAGATGTTGAAGTAAGCCAACATCACACCACTGCACTCCAGTCTGGGTGACAGAGCAAGACTCTGTCTCAAAAATTAAAAAAGAAAAAAATTAATTGATTAAAAACAGAAACAAATAAAAAAAAATAAAGTAAAAGATTTTCGACCAGCTCAGTGGCTCATGCCTGTAATCCCCGCACTTTGGGAGGCCAAGGCAGGAGGATCACTTGAGCTCAGGAGTTGGAGACCAGCCTAGCTAACATGGTGAAACCCCATCTCTACTAAAAATATAAAAATTAGCTGTGCATGGACTGGGCACAGTGGCTCACGCCTATAATCCCACACTTTGGGAGGCCAAGGCAGGCAGATCACTTGACGTCAAGAGTTCGAGACTAGCCTGGCCAACATGGTGAAACCCTGTCTCTGCTAAGAATGCAAAAATTGGCTGGGCGTGGTGGCATGTGCCTATAATCCCAGCTAGTCCGGAGGCTGAGGCAGGAGAATCGCTTGAACCCAGGAGGCGGAGGTTGCAGTGAGCTAAGATCATGCCACTGCACTCTAGCCTGGGCGATAGAGCAAGACTCCATCTCAAAAAAGAAAAAAAATTAGCTGGGCATGGTGGCAGGAGGCCATAGTCCCAACTACTCAGGAGGCTAAGGCAGGAGAATCGCTTGAACCAGAGGGGTGGAAGTTGCCTTGAGCCGAGATCACACCACTGCACTCCAGCTTGGGTAACAGAATGCGACCCTGCCTCAAAAATAAATAAATACAAGTAAAAGATTTTTGTGACTTGTTTTTTCAATTATTCATTTAACAAATATTTATGAAGTTTCTACTGTGTGCCAGGCATTGTTCCAGACACAGGGAACACACCAGACAAAGTCTCTGCATTCTAGACCTTGCATTATGGTGGGAAAACATGACAATAAACAGAGGTAAGGAGAAGATCTATAAGTAACGTATTATTCTTTTTTCTTTTTTTTCTTTTAAGATGGAGTCTCGCTCTGTCACCCAGGCTGGAGTGTGGTGGTGCAATCTCGGCTCACTGCAAGCTCCGCCTCCTGGGTTCACATCATTCTCCCGCCTCAGCCTCCCGAGTGAGTAGCTGGGACTACAGGCGCTGGCCACCACGCCCAGCTAATTTTTTGTATTTTTAGTAGAGATGGGGTTTCACCGTGTTAGCCAGGATGGTCTCAATCTCCTGACCTCATGATCCAACCACCTCGGCCTCCCAAAGTGCTGGGATTACAGGTGTGAGCCACTGCGCTGGACTTTTTTTTTTCCTTTTAAAATGTTCTAGACAGGACACCTAAGAACTAGGGATCAATAATATAGTAAAATAATATCAGCTAGTGATGTGAAATGAACAAAAGAATACAAATTTGGATATTTTATTGATACGAAAAAACCTTTAGGGTATACTGTTAAATGAAAATGGGGTTGGGTGTGGTGGCTCATGCCTGTAATCCCAGCACTTTGAGAAGCTAAGGTGGGAAGATCACTTGAGCCTAGAAGGTTGAGGCTACAGTGAGCTGAGATCGCACCACTGGACTTCAGCCTGGGCGACAGTGAGACCCTGTCTCAAAAAAAAAGGCGGGGAGTTAATATGCATGTGTATTACCAATAAAGGAAAGTTGAGAAGTATATACACTAAAATAGAAGTATATTAAAATATTTTTGTAATGAAGGCATTTGTATTTGGGATCTATTTCCAATATTAAGGAGAAGAGGCTGGGCACAGTGGCTCACACCTGTAGTCCCAACACTTCGGGAGGCCGAAACAGGAGGATCACTTGATCTCAGGAGTTTGAGACCAGCCTAGCCAACAAGGTGAAAACCCATCTCTACTAAAAATACAAAAAATAGCCAGGCATGGTGGTGTGTGCCTGTAGTCCCAGCTACTCAGGAGGTTGAGGCATGAGAATAACTTCCAGAGGTTGTAGTGAGCTGAGATTGTGCCACTGCACTCCAGCCTGGGTGACAGAGCAAGACTCCATCTCAAAAAAAAAAAAAAAAAGAGGGGCGGGGGGCGGAGAAAAATAAGAAGAGCTTAATTCTCAGGAAACATCCAAACATCTGGTCTATCAGATTTTATGGCCCCTGGAGAGGATTTTTTCCTGATGGCCTCGAGCCAATACTGACAAAAATAATTGGCAGGGTGATAATTAAAGCAAGATCTCGCATTAATATGTTCCCCTGCCCACGTCCAAGGTGAAATTTTCATATCAGCTGAAGCAATGCTTTGCATGCAGTAGATGCTGCGTAACTACTTGATGCAAGCTGGCAGAAAAGAATGTATGAATTTACTGAGGAATGAAAAACAGATGGGACCACTTTGGAAATGTAATCAGTGTTTGAGGTACTGGAGAGGAGTGTATTTGCAAACCAGGAAATATCCAACCCCAGGAAGCAGATGCTGCTTTGCTGTTGGTGAAAACATCTTTTTCATAGAAAACCCTAGGGTTTTATTTTTACCTTGGTAACTATCAAAATTTTTAATCGGTCTCGGGAATTTATCTCCAAAATGATATTCTGAGTGACTGCCTCCATTCAGGGCAAGCTGGGTTTTGTGGTAATTGCCTTTGATGTCTGTTCTTCGGTCTTTCTCCCTTGCCTAACCCCTGTCGCTGTCAATTACCCTGGGAGGCTGCCCACAACAATGGAGACTATTGCCTCAGTAACAGCCGCCTAGGCCCTCAGTATCAGCGGTGCCAAGTGGCTGCAGGCTGTGCTGAGGGCTACACTGTGAGCTAGGGGAACTTCCAAGGCTTTGCTCTCCCCTTGTGATTTTCCTTTCTACTATGTATGACCACTGACCCACGATTTTATGTGACATTTCAATCTCAGATCTCAGCCAGATCCCCAAGCTGCCTGCGATGCAAAGTGATTCTTAACATTACGCAGCTGCAGCTGGGGAATTCAGAGGACAGAGTAGGGGAAAGAGGAAACCCTGGCTAAAGTGATGGCGCTGCCCCAGAGGCTGCCTTCCGTAAGCCATTTCCACCTTCCACACCCAGCAATGTTTTTTGAAGGATTAAGATATTTCAGGCAGGGGCCAGGCGTGGTGGCTCACACCTGTAATCCCAGCACTTTAGGAGGCTGATGCTGGTGGATCACCTGAGGTCAGGAGTTTGAGACCAGCCTGGCCAACACAGTGTTACCCCATCTCTACTAAAAATACAAAAAATTAGATTGGCATGGTGGTGGGCACCTGTAATTCCAGCTACTTTGGAGGCTGAGGCAGGAGAATCGCTTGAACCCAGGAGTGGAGGTTGCAGTGAGCCAAGATCGCGCCATTGCACTCCGGCATGGGCGACAAGAGCAAAACTGTGTCTCAAAACAAACAAACAAGCAAACAAAAGAAAACAACTATTGAAGGAACCTCATTATGAACTTTTTAACAGTTTGCTAAATATGCTGATTCCCAGGCCATCACAGCTAATTAGTCAAGGAAAGCAGCTAGAAGGATGAGAGGCTTTGTTTGCTGATCCTTGCTCTCCAGTTTCCACTGTTGGTCATTTCCCTGTAAGGAAAACCAGAGACTAAGGCCATATTAAATAACATTGTATTCTGTTCCCACTGTCTTCCAATATTAATTACACTTCAAACATGCCAAAGTAGTTTAAGTTACACTTATCATTATGAACTTCTCAATGTCTTTCTGAGCCTAACCCTAGCATTGTTTAAAATTGACAAATTGTTTCTTATAAATGATATTTAAAATGTACTTGGAAACCTGACAAAGATTTGCAGAAACAAGTGATTATAAAAAAATTCCATGAAGCCAGGAAGATCACAGAAAATAAAAAGTAGTTTCAACAAACAAGCAGGCCAGGTGCAGTGGCTCACGCCTATCACGCCTGTTATCCCAGCACTTATCCCAGCACTTTGGGAGGCTAAGGCAAGAGGATCACTTGAGCTCAAGAGTTTGAGACCAGCCTTGGCAACATGGTGAGGCCGTGTCTCTACAAAAATGAACAAACAAGCAAACATCAAATTCTTAATTGTGTGCAATAGTGCAAGAACAAATTGACACAGAGAATGTGTTTTCTACAAGCAATGTAAGATGAGTTCTTTACAAATAGAAAAATATCTTTTTAATTGGCTACAGTTGATTCTGGAAGGAAAAATAAAAAAGTCTGCAATAGAGTCTCTGCAAAAAAAAAATAATAATAATGTAAAAGAAAAGAAATAAATGATATGGCAATTTCATTTCTTATTTTATTTTTTGAGATGAGGTCTCGTTCTGGCACCCAGGCTGGAGTGCAGTGGTGTGATCAGGGCTAACTACAGCCTCAACCTCCTGGGCTCAAGCAATCCTACCCCCTCAGTTTCTTGAGTAGTTAAGACCACAGTCACATGCCATCATGTCCAGGAAATACTTTTTTTGTAGAGATGAGAAGGGTCTCACCATGTTGCCCAGGCTGGTCTCAAATTCCTGGGCTCACGTGATTTGCCAGCCTTGGCCTCCCAAAGTGCTGGGATTACAGGTGTGCGCCACTGCGCCTGGCTCCATTTGACTTTATTAAGTACCTTCTTAATCATGACAATGACTCCCAAACGTATATTGGCAACTCAGGCCTCTTCCTGAATTCCAAACTCAGAATTTACTTGAAATTTTCTGATGAGGTATGGCAGCTCATGCCTGTAATCCCAGCACTTTGGGAGGGCAAGAACAGTGGATCACCCAAGCCCAGGAATTTGAGACCAGCCTGGGCAACATGGTGAGAGCCCCATCTCTACAAAATAAAATAAATTTCCTGTAGCATGTTTCAAGGACATCTTAAACCTCACATGTTCAAAACTCAATTGTAAATTACGAGCTGAGTAAAATAAGCCCTCGAAGCTGTGGAGACTGGAAAAATCTCTTACCAAGAAAAAGGTGTTTTCCCATGTGGCACTGACTACAAGAGAAAACTAAGGGGTAAGGAAAACCATAGTTATTAGTAATGAAGCAACGTCATTGTCAGGGTAAATACCCAAGGTTTGTTGTCTCACACCAGGGAAATCGAGGACATGGAGACAAAAGGAGTTTAAGAGCAGAGGTTTAGGCCAGGTGCAGTGGTTCATGCCTGTAATTCCAGCACTTTGAGAGGCCGAGGTGGGCAGATCACCTGAGGTTGGGAGTTTGAGACCAGCCTGGCCAATATGGTGAAACCCCGTCTATACTAAAAATACAAAAATTAGTCAGGCGTGGTGGTGGGCGCCTGTAATCCCAGTTACTCAGGAGGCTGAGGCAGAATTGCTTGAGCCCAGGAGGTAAAAGTTGCAGTGAGCTGAAATCGTGCCACTGCACTCCAGCCTGGGCAACACAGCGGGAGTCTGTCTCAAAAAAAAAAAAAAAAAAAAGAGCGGAGGTTTAATAGGCAAAAGAAAAAGAGAACAGCTCTCTCTCCCTGCACAGAGAAAGGCACACCCTAGTGGGTCTTCCAGTTCCGTGGTGAAATGCACAGGGTTTTATAGACAAGCTTGAGGAGGCGGTATCTGATTTACATGGGGCACAAGAGATTGGTCAGACGAGGTGTGCCGTTTGCATAGCACGCAAAGAAGTTGGCCGTCCCACCCTAATCTTTTATTATGCAGATGGAGTCTTTACCTGGACAGTGCCATGTTGCCTGCTTTCTTACTGCACACATGGTGACAAAGAAAAGGAAGGAGGGAACCTCTACGTTGAACATCCCTGGCTTCCAGGTATCCCTTTGCTATTGGCACAGCTGCCAGCATTTACCTATGCAAGCTTTTAGCTTGCTTATTCATCTCTGCTTGCAGCTTGATTTTTTAGGCTGCTCTTTGTTAGAAAAGAAATGATTTCGGGGCTGCTTTTTATTAAAAGGAAACCTTACTGAAGACTCTTTTACCCTCACCATCTGCCTAAATAATTTCTTTCTAGCTCCTGTATCAGTAACTTGCCCAAAGTTAAAATATGGTTCCCAGACAAATATATACATATGTGTGTGTTAGTATGTGTGAGAGAGAGAAAGAGAGAGAGAAAGAAAGATTTGTTTGACTTATCAGTGAAGGAATCTGCAGATAGTAAAGCTGGTTCAAAATGCATATGAGAAATAGAGATTTATAAAGTTCTCCAGGAAAGACATGCTGGAGTAAATTTGCTAGGTTAGAGACTGAAACTAGTTAACGTGCTACAGGGCAATAAGATTATGGCCATTTGCGGTACTTTTTCTACTAAAGAGAAGTCATTTGCATCTTTACCAGACAAAAATCTGCAAGTTAACATGCAACTTCGCAGAGTCTGGGCCTAGTCAATAGTAAATCGCATGCCAAAAAACGATCATTTCCTTAGGGAATTAAATCATCTGTGGGTAGGTCTTTCATACAGAACTCAAGTATGACACTGAAAACATACAGCCCTGTTTCTTGCCTCTCTTCCGTGTTTTGTATTATTTTTAACAAGTGTCAGAACCTCCACACATTTTTTTTTTCCTGAGCACAGAGTTTTTAATAGAGCTGGGATTTTTTTTTTTTTTTTTTTTTTTTTTTCAGATAGAGTCTCACTCTGTCGCCAAGGCTGGAGCGCAGTGGTGCAATCTCGACTCACTGCAACCTCCACCTCCCAGGTTGAAGTGATCCTCCCACCTCAGCCTCCAGAGTAGCTGGGATTACAGTCATGTGCCCCTGCCAAGCTCATGGCTGGGTGTGGTGGCTCGTGCCTGTAATCACAGCACTTTGGGAGGCCAAGGCAGGTGGATCCCTTGAGCTCAGGAATTTGAGACCAGCCTGGGCAACATAGTGAAACCCCACCTTCAAAAAAAAAAACAAAAGATCTGAAGGTCATACTCCTTCCTCACACTCCATTGGCATATAATATATTTTTTGGAGGGAGAGATACTATTGAGATTTTCAGGTTCTAGGGCTCAGTTGAAATATCCCTCACCAGGACTTAGTGCTCTTAGAACCTGGAAGTTTCAAAAAGGAAAAATAAAAAAATAAAAAGTAATATTTTTAAAAAGATAAATTAAAATAAATAGTAAAAAAAGAAAGAAAGAACAATAAAATTTTATAAAGAAAAAAAATCACCCCTGTAATCCCAGCACTTTGCGAGGCCGAGGTGTGCGGATCATGAGATCAAGAGATAGAGACCATCCTGGCCAACACGGTGAAACCCCGTGTCTACTAAAAATACAAAAATTAGCTGGGCGTGGTGGTGCACACCTGTAGTTCCAGCCACTCAGGAGGCTGAGGAAGGAGAATCGCTTGAACCTGGGAGGCAGAGGTGATAGTGAGCTGGTATTGTGCCACTGCACTCCAGCCTGGCAACAGAGCAAGACTCCTTCTCAAAAAAAAAAAAAAAAAAAAATGGCCAGGCATGGTGGCTTATGTCTGTAATCCCAGCTCTTTGGGAGGCCGAGGCAGGTGGATCCCTTGAGGTCAGGAGTTCAAGACCAGCCTGGCCAATATGGCGAAACCCCATCTCTACTAAATATACAAGGATTCAAGATATATTATTAAAGGAAAAAGGTTTTAGGACAGTGTGAAACAATTTTAGTTTAAAGATTGTGTGTGCCTATCTATAGTCTCAGCTACTCAGTAGGCTGAGGTGGGAGGATGTTTATTTTGAACTGGGCACAGTGGCTTATGATGTAATCCCAGCACTTTGGGAAGCCAAGGTGGGAGGATTGCTTGAGTCTAGCAGTTCAAGAACAGCCTGGGCAACATGGTGAAACCCCTGTCTCTACAAAAAAACACGAAAATTAGCTGGGCATGGTGGCACACGCCTGTGGTCCCAGGCACTCGGGAGGCTGAGGTTGGAGGATCTCTTGAGCCCAGGAGGTCAAGATTGCAGTGGGCTGTGATTGTGTCACTATACTCCAGCCTGGGCTAATATAGAGTGAGACACTGTCTCTAAATAGATAGATAAATACATTTATTTTGGGCTGGACGTGGTGGCTCATGCCTGTTATGTATCACTTTGGGAGGCTGAGGTACAGGGTTCACTTGAGCCCAGGAGCTGAGATCACACCACTGCACTCCAGCCTGGTGACAGAGCAAGACTCTGTCTCAGGAAAAAAAAAAAAAAAAGACTACCATCAAATAATGGCCAATGATTGGATTAAAATTTGTTTATGGATGTGAAGGACCCATTTTTTGCCTGCTTTTATTGTTTTTCATTGACATATAATAATTGTATTTATGGGGTATAGTGTGATGTGGCAATACATGTATACAATGTGTAATGATCAAATCCAGGAATTTAACATATCCATCCAAACATTTATCATTTTTTCATGTTGGGACACTTAAAATCTGCTCTTCTCACATTTGGTTTTTTTTTTTTTTTTTTGAGTTGGAGTTTCACTCTTGTTGCCCAGGCTGGAGTGCAATGGCGTGCAATCTTGGCTCACCGCAAGCTCCGCCTCCTAGGTTCAAGCGATTCTCCTGCCTCAGCCTCCCGAGTAGCTGGGATTACAGGCATGCTCCACCACACCCGGCTAATTTTGTATTTTTGGTAGAGACAGGGTTTCTCCATGCTGGTCAAACTGGTCTCAAACTCCTGACCTCAGGTGATATGCCCGCCTCGGCCTCCCAAAGTGCTGGGATTACAGGCGTGAGCCACCGCGGCCGGTCTCACTATTTGAAAATATGCAATAAATTGTTGTTAATTACAGTCCCCCTGTAGTGCTATAGAACACTGTAACTTATTCCTCCTATCTAGCTGTGCTTTTGCCTCCAGGAACCAACCTTTGGCTATTCCTCCCTTCCTATCCCCCTTCCCCAGGTGTAATAACTACTATTCTGCAACCTATTTTTTTTTTTGTTTTTGTTATTGTTGTTGTTTGAGACAGAGTCTCCCTCTCTCACCCAGGCTGCAGTGTAGTGGCCCAATGTAAGCTCACTGCAACCTCTACTTCCCAGGCTCAAGTGATTCTCAAGCTTCAGCCTCTCAAGTGGCTGGGACTACAGGCACATGCCACTATGCCTGGCTAATTTTTTGTATTTTTAGGAGAGATGGGGTTTCACCATGTTGGCCAAGCTGCTCTGGAACTCCTGGCTTCAACTCCCCCTTGGCCTCCCAAAGTGCTGGGATCACAGGCATGAGCCATCACACCCAGCCTCTACTCCCTACTTCTATGAGATCAACTACCCCCACCCCCGCGATGGAGTCTCACTCTGTCGCCCAGGCTGGAGTGCAGCGGCATGATCTCGGCTCACTGCAACCTCTGCCTCCCGGGTTTAAGTGATTCTCCTGCCTCAGCCTCCTGAGTAGCTGGGACTACAAGCTCACACCACCACGCCCAGCTATTTTTTGTATTTTTAGTAGAGACAGGGTTTCACCATTTTGGCCAAACTGGTCTCGAACTCCTGACCTCGTGATCCACCCGCCTCAACCTCCCAAAGTGGTGGGATTACAGGCATGAGCCACTGTGCCCAGCCCGAGATCAACTTTTTTGGCTTCCATGTATGAGTGAGAACATAGGGTATTTATTTTTCTGTGACTGGCTTATTTCATTTAAGTCCATTTTATTTCGACTTTCAGTTCAAGATGACCTTAAACTTGCTAGCAGACAAATTTTCAGTGATTATTCTCTAATGGATGGCACCTGACTACAGGCCAAATAAGTCAGGGAAAATATCAAGTAGGAATCTCTAAACATTCTTAAAGGGTCACCCCACCCCTCCCTACAGATACTGCTCTGCATTTGAGGCTTATGGATGGATTTCCTCCACAAAGTCACTGTTGCCTCTCCTGTAGGCCTATTCTGACCCAGCCTGCATTAAGCACCCCTTTCATGGGTCTCCTCAGATGTCATGCATTCTTTTCCCCCCAGCACTTCTAGAGATGCGTTTTCATCTTCCCACTGACTTATCAGTCTGTACTCTCCACTAAATTGTGAGCTTCTTTTTATCCCTAAGGCCTAGCAGGGAATTAGTCATGTGTCCACAAATATTTATTTGAATGGCTATTCTGTGCCAGGCACTGTGCTAGGTGCTGGAGTTGTAATGGTGACCAAAACAGCAAATACTGACATTATGGGATTTACAGTCTGTTAGGGGAATCAGTCATTAAAATAATACACAAATAACTAATTAATTAAGATGGTGCTTAGGGCCACTTAATCCAAGTACTGGGGGCTAACAGAGCATATATAGCTTTAGCAGGACTTGGTTGAGTTCAGATGAATGCTTCCTGGAGGATATGACATTTAAGCTGATTTCTGAAAAATGAAAGCAAGTTGCCCAAGCAAAGTGTGTCTGTGGTGAAATGGGGATAGGTGGGGTGCTGAGACCCAGAAGAACCCTTCAAGTAGTTGGAACAGCACACAGAAGGAGGCTGAAGCTGGAAGTGGTCAGTGTGGCTGAGCTGCTAAGAGAGGTCAAGATCAGGCAGTTCCTCATAGGCTTGTTAAGCAGTTCAAACATTGCTTTAAAAGAAATGTGGGCCTGCCAGGTGCGGTGGCTCACGCCTGTAACCCCAGCACTATGGGAGGCCAGGTGGGCAGATCATGAGGTCAGGAGTTCAAGACCAGCCTGGACAACATAGTGAAACCCCCATCTCTACTAAAAATACAAAAGTTAGGTGGGTGTGGTGGCACGCGCCTGTAGTTCCAGCTGCTTGGGAAGCTGAGGCTGAAGAATCGCTTGAACCTGGGAGGTGGAGGTTGCAGTGAGCCAAGACCGTGCCATTGCACTCTAGCCTGGGCAACAGAGCGAGACTCCATCTCAAAAAAAAAGAAAAAAAGAAAAGAAATGTGGACCGGGCGTGGTGGCTCATGCCTGCAATCCCAGCACTTTGGGAGGCCGAGGTGGGCGGATCACCTGAGGTCAGGAGTTCGAGACCAGCCTGGCTATCATGGTGAAAACCCGTTTCTACTAAAAATACAAAAAATTAGCAAGGCGTGATGGTGGCGTGTGCCTGTAATCCCAGCTACTCGGGAGGCTGAGGCAGGAGAATCACTGGAATGCAGGAGGTGGAGGTTGCAGTGAGCCGAGCTCGTGCCGTTGCACTCCAGCTTGGGCAACAAGAGTGAAGCTCTGTCTCAAAAAAAAAAAAAAAAAAGAAAGAAAGAAAGAAATGTGAAAGCACTGAGGAGATTTTAGCAGCGAATGATGTGATCAGATGATGAGATTTGGATTTCTGAAAGTTGATCTTTCTTAGGCTGCTAGAAGAAGAATGGAATGTAGAGAAGCAGGAATGGGCAAAGGGAGATTAGCTAAGGCAAGAGATAATGGTGGCTTCATGAGTGTATGTGGAGTGAATGAGAACCAAAGTGTAGGATGCAAGGCCTGGAAAGTCCCCAGAAATCCCATCTCAGTTAACTAGGAAACTGAGTCCCAGAGTGGAACCATAAATGACTCAGTGCATTACAGTTCATTCACAGCACAGTTAGGACTACAAACCAGTCGTGCACTTTGTGTCTTTTCCTCTTTTTTCGTGGACCTTCCCATGTGACTCAGCTAGTTTTTGAATTAAAAAAAAAAGCAGTGCTTTACCAAGTGATGGATATATAAAGTTCACTACACTATTCTCTCTACGTTGATATGTTTGAAAATGTCAATAGTAATCAGGTTTATAAGAAGCAACACTTTAAAACTGTTGTGGCATAGGTGCTAACTCAAGGCCTTCCAAACAGTTTGGGAAAGGAAAGAGGTCCAGGGCTTCTTGGCACTCACATCCTTACATGGCACTCAATAATCTGCATCTTGACTCAGCTGGGCTGTGTTTGGACCTATTGCCACAGTCATACACAATGCCAGATTGTTGGACTCCATGACACTTGCCTTGGAAGTGCACAGAACCTCTCTTTGGATCTTCTATAAAATGGGAGTCCATGCCTATGACACAAAGAATGTTGTGAGACTGAAGTGAGTATTTATAAGTCCCTGTCTGCCCCCCATTCCCCGATCAAATGAATGTTATTTCACAGAAACTTTCCTTGAAATTGGGTAATGTCACCACAGCTGTCTGCATAAACCACCAAGAGTGACCACATAGTTGTGGGGTTTTTTTGTTTTTTTTGTTTTTTTGGACAGAGTTTCGTACTTTTTGCCCAGACTGGACTGCAATGGTGCGATCTCAGCTCACCACAACCTCCGCCTCCCGGGTTCAAGGGGTTCTCCTGCCTCAGCCTCCCGAGTAGCTGGGATTATAGACATGTGCCACCATGCCCGGCTAATTTTGTATTTTTAGTAGTGACGGGGTTTCTCCATGTTGATCAGGCTGGTCTCGAACTCCCCACTTCAGGTGATCTGCCCACCTTGGCCTCCCAAAGTGCTGGGATTACAGGTGTGAGCCACCGTGCCTGGCTTTTTTTCTTTTTTTTTTTTTTTTGAGACAGAGTCTCTTTCTGTCACTCAAACTGGAGTGCAGTGGCATGATCTCGGCTCACTGCAACTTCCATCTCCTGGACTCAAGTGATTCTCATGCCTCAGCCTCCCAAGTAGCTGGGATTACAGGTGGCGCCACCATACCCAGCTAATTTTTGTATTTTTAGTAGAGACGGGGGTTCACCATGTTGGCCAGGCTGGCATAGTTGTCTATACATGATTTATATTACATGTTAACCTTAAAGAGAGTCTGTGTTTTTATTTTTATTTTTATTTAATTCAGGGATTGTTATTCGTGCTAAACCCTCACAACATAGAAAGCAAAGGTGACAATTTACAGTTGCTAAAACAGTGATGTGGAAGGTGGAGATTTGCTTTCGATCTGAAGTCTCTGGGTCTTGGAGGCTGGTGGTGGACAGTTAAAAAAACTAATCAGCTTTAGGCCGAGCGTGGTGGCTCACGCCTGTAATCCCAGCACTTTGGCAGGCCAAGGCAGGTGGATCACGAGGTCAGGAGATCAAGACCATCCTGGATAACACGGTGAAATGCCATCTCTACTAAAAATATAAAAAAATTAGCTGGGCATGGTGGTGGGCACCTGTAGTCCCAACTACTCGGGGGGCTGAGGCAGGAGAATGGCGTGAACCCGGGAGGCGGAGCTTGCAGTGAGCCGAGATCGCGCCACTGCACTCCAGCCTAGGAAACAGAGCGAGACTCCATCTCAGAAAAAATAAATAAATAAAAATTAATTAGCTTATTTTCAAGTGGCTGGTTGGCCTTCTTTAGAGAATGTGCTCAAGGAGGAGCTCTTCCAATAGAACCCTCAATTTTATCCTCTTCCCAATCTTTCTACTCCACATAGACGCTCTGGTATACAGAAGACATTTGACTAGTCACCTCTCCATTTCCTCTCCTTTAACACGTCCTTTTTATTCCAATCTTAAACCGGTGAGGGCAGATTCAAGGGGCAAATCTGGCATGTTACAACTACATAATAGTTGTTGAGGCCGGGGTGGCTCACGCTTGTAATCCCAGCACTTTGGGAGACCGAGGCGGGCGGATCACGAGGTCAGGAAATCGAGACCTTCCTGGCTAACACAGTGAAACGCCATCTCTACTAAAAATACAAAAAGAAATCAGCTGGGCGTGGTGGCCGGCACCTGTAGTCCCAGCTACTCCAGAGGCTGAGGCAGAAGAATGGCGTGAACCCGGGAGACGGAGCTTGCAGTGAGCCGAGATCGCCCCACTGCACTCCAGCCTGGGCGATAGAGCAAGACTCTGTCTCAAAAAAAAAAAAAAAAAAAAAAGTTGTTGAGCGAATGAAGCAATGAGTAAGCAAATGTGAGCTCTATAATTTTTTTTTTTTTTTTTTTTTTTTTGAGACGGAGTCTCGCTTTTGTCTCCCAGGCTGCAGTGCAATTGCGTGATCTCGGCTTACTGCAACCTCCGCCTCCCAGGCTCAAGCGATTCTCCTGTCGCAGCCTCTAAGTAGCTGGGATTACAGGCATCCACCACCACACCCAGCTAATTTTTTGTATTTTTAGTAGAGACAGGGTTTCATGATGTTGACCTTGACCTTGCTTGGTCTTTTTTTCTTTTTTTTTTTTTGAGAGGAAGTCTCATTATGATGCCCTAGGCTGATCTGGAACTCTTGGGCTCAAGTGATCCTCCAGCCTCAGCCTCGCAAAGTGCTGAGATTACAGGCATGTGCAACCGCACCCAGGCTGCGACAATCATTTCTAAGTGAATCAAACATGTCTACAGGATTACAAGAATTTATGAAAATGTTAGAACCTGAAAGTTGTTTATTTTGGTGGCTCCAAAATTTGAAAGGTAAACTGTAAGACAGAAATTAGTAAAGATTTAATAAAATGTCTATAAAATACATTATGTCAGCTAACTTAGTCATAGATTTAGCATTTATAAAAATGTCATTATATTTCAGAAAAAAAAGTTACACTTTCCCACTTCCAAGATATCCTAAATAGGTAGAACAATTATTGAGAAATTATTGCTGGTAAATTAAAGAAGTTACTTATAGCCAAGTATTTTTAATAGAAAAAGATGTTACATTATTGCAAATAAATAAATATATTTGTATACTATGTATGTATATGTATATATATTTTATGTGGGTGGGTGCATTTGAAAATGATTGGTAGGATCTTCAAAATTAAGACAGCTGGGGGCCTAGGAGGCCTAGGCAGGTCTCTCACAGAATGCCTTAGCAGTGACATAGGTTGGTTACATATACTATGGGAAAAAAAAGAAAAAATAGATCAAGACTGCAGTGAGCCATGTCCACAACACTGCACTCCAGCCTGTCCAGCATTGTGACAGAGTGAGACCCTATCTCAAAAAAAAAAAAAAAAGATGTTATGATCTTAGCCGGCCAACCTCAACTTCTCACATATGTAATCACAGCACATTGGAAGGCCAAAGTGGGAGGATTACTTGAGGCCAGGAGTTCCAGACCAGCCTGGGAAATAAAGCGAGAACCCCTCTCTACAAAAAATTAAAAAATTAGCTCAACTGGGCACGGTGGTTCACTCCTGTAATTCCAGAACTTTGGGAGGCTGAGGCAGATGGATCACAGGGTCAAGAGTTCGAGACCAGCCTAACCAACATGATGAAACCCTGTCTCTACTAAAAATATAAAAAAGAATTAGCTGGGTGTGGTGGCGCATGCCTGTAATCCCAGCCACTCAGGAGGCTGAGGCAGGAGAATCACTTAAACCCCGGAGGTGGAGGTTGCAGTGAGCCAAGATCGTGCCACTGCACTCCATCCTGGGCAGTGGAGGGAGACTCTGTCTCAAAACAAACAAACAAACAAACAAAAAACTTAGCTAAGCATGATGGGGTGGCTCATTCCTGTATTCCTAGATACTAGGGAGGCAGAAGGATTGCTTGAGTCTAGGTGTTCGAGGCTGCAGTGAGCCATGATTGTGCCACTGCACTGAGCTTGGGTGACAGAGCAAGAGACTGTCTCAAAAAAAATTTTTTTAGCCAAATAAATAAATAAAATAATTATACTTATTATAATAAAAAGTTCAGACAGTCTCCAGTCTGGGCAACAGAGTGAGACTCTGTCTCAAAAAAAAAAAAAGGTTCAGACAGTAAGAAAAGTATTATTTGAAAGTAGAAGTCTAGTGGGTTCCAAGATGGCCAAATAGGAAAAGCTCTGGTCTACAGCTCCCGCATGATCGATGCAGAAGACGGGTGATTTCTGCATTTCCAATTGAGGTACCTGGTTCATCTCATTGGGACTGGTTGGACAGTGGGTACAGCCCAAGGAGGGTGAGTCAAAGCAGGGTGGGGCATTGCCTCACTTGGGAAGTGCAAGGGGTTGGGGGATTTCCCTTTCCTGCCAAGGGAAGCCATGACAGACTGTACCTGGAAAAACAGGACACTCCTACCAAAATACTGCACTTTTCCCAAGGTCTTAGCAACCTGCAGTCAAGGAGATTCCCCACACCCACAAAGACTTGCTCACTGCTAGCACAGCAGTCTGAGATCAAACTTCAAGGTGGCAGCCTGGCTGGGGGAGGGGCGTCCGCCATTGCTGAGGCTTGAGTAGGTAAACAAAGCGGCTGAGAAGCTCAAACTGAGTGGAGCCCACCACAGCTCAGCAAAGCCTACTGTCTCTATAGACTCCACCTCTGTGGGCAGGGCATAGCTGAACAAAAGGCAGCAAACAACTTCTGGAGACTTAAACATCCCTGTCTCACAGCTCTGAAGAGAGCAGTCATTCTCCCAGCACGGCGTTTGAGCTCTGAGAACAGACAGATTGCCTCCTCAAGTGGGTCCCTGACCCCCGTGTAGCCTAAGTGGGAGACACCTCCCAGTAGGGGCTGACAAACACCTCATATAGGCGGATGCCCCTCTGGGACGAAGCTTCCAGAGGAAGGATCAGGCAGCAATATTTGCTGTTCTGCAGCCTCCGCTGGTGATAATAACCAGGCAAACAGGTTCTGGAGCGGACCTCCAGCAAACTCCAACAGACTTGCAGCTGAGGGACCTGACTATTAGAAGGAAAACTAACAAACAAAAAGGAATAGCATCAACATCAACAAAAAGGATATCTACACCAAAACCCCATCTGTAGGTCACCAACATCAAACACCAAAGGTAGATAAAACCACAAAGATGGGGAGAAACCAGAGCAGAAAAGCTGAAAATTCTAAAAACCAGAGCGCCTCTTTTCTTCCAAAGGATTGCAGCTCCTCGCCAGCAATGGAAGAAAGCTGGACAGAGAATGACTTTGACGAGTTGACAGAAGTAGGCTTCAGAAGGTCAGTAATAACAAACTTCTCTGAGCTAAAGGAGCATATTCTAACCCATTGCAAGGAAGCTAAAAACCTTGAAAAAGCCGGGTGCGGTGGCTCACGCCTGTAATCCCAGCACTTTGGGAGGCCGAGGCGGGTGGATCATGAGGTCAGGAGATCGAGACCATCCTGGTTAACACGATGAAACCCCGTCTCTACTAAAAATACAAAAAAATTAGCCGGGCGTGATGGTGGGCGCCTGTAGTCCCAGCTACTCGGGAGGCTGAGGCAGGAGAATGGCGTGAACCCGGGAGGCTGAGCTTGCAGTGAGCCGAGATCGCGCCACGGCACTCCAGCCTGGGTGACAGAGCGAGACTCCGTCTCAAAAAAAAAACCTTGAAAAAGGGTTAGATGAATGGCTGACTAGAATAAACAGTGTAGAGAAGACCTTAAATGACCTGATGAAGCTGAAAACCATGGCACAAGAACTTCGTGATGCATGCACAAGCTTCAATAGCTGAATCAATCAAGTGGAAGAAAGGGTATCAGTGATTGAAGATCAAATTAATGAAATAAAGCTAGAAGACAAGGTTAGAGAAAAAAGAGTAAAAAGAAACAAACAAAGCCTCCAAGAAATATGGGACTATGTGAAAAGACCAAATCTACATCTGATTGGTGTACCTGAAAGTGATGGGGAGAATGGAACAAAGTTGGAAAACACTCTTCAGGATATTATCCAGGAGAATTTCCCCAACCTAGCAAGGCAGGCAAACATTCAAATTCAGGAAATACAAAGAACATCACAAAGATATTCCTCAAGAAGAGCAACCCCAAGACACATAATTGTCAGATTCACCATGAAAATGAAGGAAAAAATGTTAAGGGCAGCCAGAGAGAAAGGTTGGGTTACCCACAAAGGGAAGCCCATCAGACTAACAGCTGATCTCTCGGCAGAAACTCTACAAGCCAGAAGAGAGTGGGGGCCAATATTCAACCTTCTTAAAGAAAAGAATTTTCAACCCAGAATTTCATATCCAGCCAAACTGAGCTTCATAAGTGAAGGAGAAATAAAATCCTTTACAGACAAGCAAATGTTGAGAGATTTTGTCACCACCAGGCCTGCCGTATAAGAGTTCCTGAAGGAAGCACTAAACATGGAAAGGAAAACCAGTACCAGCCACTGCAAAAACATGCCAAATTGTAAAGACCATCGATGCTAGGAAGAAACTACATCAACTAACAGGCAAAATAACCAGCTAACATCATAATGACAGGATCAGATTGACACATAACAATATTAACCTTAAATGTAAATGGGCTAAATGCCCCAGTTAAAAGACACAGACTGGCAAATTGGATAGAGTCAAGACCCATCAGTGTGCAGTATTCAGGAGACCCATCTCACGTGCAGAGACACACATAGCCTCAAAATAAAGGGATGGAGGAAGATCTACCAAGCAAATGGAAAGCAAAAAAAAAAGCAGGGGTTGCAATCCTAGTCTCTGATAAAACAGACTTTAAACCAGCAAAGATCAAAAGAGACAAAGAAGGCTATTACATAATGGTAAAGGAATCAATTCAACAAGAAGAGTTAACTATCCTAAATATATATGCACCCAATACAGGAGCACCCAGATTCATAAAGTAAGTCCTTGGAGACCTACAAAGAGACTTAGACTCCCACACAATAATAATGGGAGACTTTAACACCCCACTGTCAGTATTAGACAGATCAACGAGACAGAAGGTTAACAAGGATATCCAGAAATTGAACTCACCTCTGCACCAAGCAGACCTAATAGACATCTACAGAACTCTTCACCCCAAATCAACAGAATATACATTCTTCTCAGCACCACATCACACTTATTCTAAAATTGACCATGTAATTGGAAGTAAAGCACTCTTAAGCAAATGTAAAAGAACAGAAATCACAACAAACTGTATCTCAGACCACAATGCAATCAAATTAGAACTCAGGATTAAGAAACTCACTCAAAACCGCACAACTATATGGAAACTTAACAACCTGCTCCTGAATGGACTACTGGGTACATAACGAAATGAAAGCAGAAATAAAGATGTTCTTTAAATCCAATGAGAACAAAGACACAACATACCAGAATCTCTGGGACACATTTAAAGCAGTGTGTAGAGGGAAATTTATAGCACTAAATGCCCACAGGAGAAAGCAGGAAAGATCTAAAATCGACACCCTAACATCACAATTAAAAGAACTAGAGAAGCAAGAGAAAACACATTCAAAAGCTAGCAGAAGGCAAGAAATAACTTAAGATCAGAGCAGAACTGAAAGAGATAGAGACACAAAAACCCTTTAAAAAAATCCACGAATCCACAAGCTGGTTTTTTGAAAAGATCAACAAAATTGATAGACCGTTAGCAAGACTAATAAAGAAGAAAAGAGAGAAGAATCAAATAGATGCAATAAAAAAATGATAAAGGGGATATCACCACCGATCCCACAGAAATAGAAACTACCATCAGAGAATACTATAATCACCTCTACGCAAATAAACTAGAAAATCTAGAAGAAATGGATAAATTCCTGGACACATACACCCTCCCAAGACTAAACAAGGAAGAAACTGAATCTTCAACAGACCAATAACAGGCTCTGAAATTGAGGCAATAATTAATACTCTACAAACCAAAAAAAGTCCAGGACCAGATGGATTCACAGCCGAATTCTACCAGAGGTACAAGGAGGAGCTGGTACCATTCCTTCTGAAACTATTCCAAACAATAGAAAAAGAGGGACTCGTCCCTAACTCATTTTATGAGGCCAGCATCATCCTGATACCAAAGCCGGTCAGAGACACAACAGAAAAAGATAATTTTAGACCAATATCTCTGATGAACATTGATGCGAAAATCCTCAACAAAATACTGGCAAACCAAATCCAACAGCATATCAAAAAGCTTATCCAGCACGATCAAGTCTGCTTCATCCCTGGGATGCAAGGCTTGTTCAACATATGCAAATCAATAAACGTAATCCATGACATAAACAGAACCAACGACAAAAATCACATGATTATCTTAATATATGCAGAAAAGGCCTTTGACAAAATTCAACAGCCCTTCATGCTAAAAACTCTCAATAAACTAAGCATTGATGGAAGTTATCTCAAAATAATAAGAGCTATTTATGACAAACCTGCAGCCAATATCATACTGAATGGGCAAAAACTGGAAGCATTCCCTTCAAAAACTGACACAAGACAAGGATGCCCCTTCTCACCACTCCTATTCAACATAGTGTTGGAAGTTCTGGCCAGGGCAATCAGGCAAGAGAAAGAAATAAAGCGCATTCAATTAGGAAAAGAGGAAGTCAAATTGTCCCTGTTTGCAGATGACATGGTTGTATATTTGGAAAACCCCATCGTCTCAGCCCAAAATCTCCTTAAGCTGATAAGCAACTTCAGCAAGGTCTCAGGATACATCAGTGTGCAAAAATCACAAGCATTCCTATACACCAATAACAGACAAACAGAGAGCCAAATCATGAGTGAACTCCCATTCACAATTGCTACAAAGAGAATAAAATACCTAGGAATCCAACTTACAAGGGACGTGAAGGACCTCTTCAGGGAGAACTACAAACCCCTGCTCAACGAAATAAAAGAGGACACAAACAAATGGAAGAACATTCCATGCTCATGGATAGGAAGAATCAATATCATGAAAATGGCCATACTGCCCAAGGTATTTTGTAGATTCAATGCCATCCCCATCAAGCTACCAATGACTTTCTTCACAGATTGGAAAAAATTACTTTAAAGCTCACATGGAACCAAAAAAGAGCGCACATTGCCAAGAAAATCCTAAGCAAAAAGAACAAAGCTGGAGGCATCACACTACCTGACTTCAAACTATACTACAAGGCTACAGCAACCAAAACTGCATGGTACTGGTACCAAAACAGAGATATAGACCAATGGAACAGAACAGAGCCCTCAGAAATAATGCCGCATATCTACAACCATCTGGTCTTTGACAAACCTGACAAAAACAAGAAATGGGGAAAGGACTCTCTATTTAATAAATGGTGCTGGGAAAACTGGCTAGCCACATGTAGAAAGCTGAAACTGGATCCCTTCCTTACACCTTATACAAAAATTAATTCAAGATGGATTAAAGACTTAAATGTTAGACCTAAAACCATAAAAACCTTAGAAGAAAACCTAGGTAATACTATTCAGGGCATAGGCATGGGCAAAGACTTCATGACTAAAACACCAAAAGCAATGGCAACAAAAGCCAAAATAGAAAAATGGGATCTAATTAAACTAAAGAGCTTCTGCCCAGCAAAAGAAACTACCATCAGAGTGAACAGGCAACCTACAGAATGGGAGAAAATTTTTGCAATCTACCCACCTGACAAAGGGCTAATATCCAGAATCTACAAAGAACTCAAACAAATTTACAAGAAAAAAACAAACAACCCCACCAAAAAGTGGGCAAAGGATATGAACAGACACTTCTCAAAAGAAAACATTTATGCAGCCAACAGACACATGAAAAAATGCTCATCATCACTGGTCATCAGAGAAATGCAAATCAAAACCACAATGAGGCCGGACACGGTGGCTTATGCCTGTAATCCCAGCACTTTGGGAGGCCAGGGCAGGTGGATAACGTGGTCAGGAGATCGAGACCATCGTGGCCAACATGGTGAAACCCCGTTTCTACTAAAAACACAAAAATTAGCTGGGTGTGGTGGCACATGCCTGTAATCCTAGCTACTCTGGGGGCTGAGGCTGGAGAATCACTTGAACCCAGGAGGTGGGGGATGCAGTGAGCTGAGATTGTGCCACTGTGCTCCAGCCTGGTGCCAGAGCAAGACTCTGTCAAAAAAAAAAAAAAAAACACCACAATGAGATACCATCTCACACCAGCTAGAATAGCAATCATTAAAAAGTCAGGAAACAGGCTGGGTGCTGTGGCTCATGCCTGTAATCCCAGCATTTTAGGAGGCTGAGGCGGGCGGATCATGAGGTCAAGAGATTGAGACCATCCTGGCCAACCAACATGGTGAAACCCCGTCTCTACTAAAAATACAAAAATTAGCTGGGCATAGTGGTGCATGCCTGTAGTCCCAGCTACTTGGGAGGCTGAGGCAAGAGAACCCAGAAGGCGGAGGTTGCAGTGAGCTGAGATCATGCCACTGCACTCCAGCCCGGGCAACAGAGTGAGACTCCATCTCAAAGAAAAAAAAAAAAGTCAGGAAACAACAGACACTAGAGAGGATGTGGAGAAATAGGAACACTTTTACAGTGTTGGTAGGAGTGTAAATTAGTTCACCCATTGTGGAAGACAGTGTGGCAATTCCTCTAGGATCTAGAACTGGAAATACCATTTGACCCAGCAATCCCATTACTGGGTATATACACAAAGGATTATAAATCATGCTACTATAAAGACACATGCACACGTATGTTTATTGTGGCACTATTCACAGTAGCAAAGACTTGGAACCAACACGAATGTCCATCAATGATAGGCTGAATGAAGAAAATGTGGCACATATACACCATGGAATACTATGCAGCCATAAAAAAGGATGAGCTCATGTCCTTTGCAGGGACATGAATGAAGCTGGAAACCATCATTCTCAGCAAACTATCACAAGGACAGAAAACCAAACACCAGGCTGGGTATGGTGGCTCACGCCTGTAATCCCAGCACTTTGGGAGGCCGAGGCGGGCGGATCATGAGCTCAAGAGACTCAGACCAGCCTGGCCAACATGGTGAAACTCTGTCTCTACTAAAAATACAAAAATTAGCTTGGTGTGGTGGTGGGCACCTGTAATCCCAGCTACTTGGGAGGCTGAGGCAGAAGAATCGCTTGAACCCGGGAGGCGGAGCTTGCAGTGAGCCGAGATCACACCACTGCACTCCAGCCTGGGCAACAGAGGGAGACTCCATTTCAAAAAAAAAAAAAAAGAAAACCAAACGCCACATGTTCTCACTCATAGGTGGGAATTGAACAATGAGAACACTTGGACACAGGGTGGGGAACATCACACACTGGGGCCTGTCGGGGGGTGGGGGCTGGGGGATGGATAGCATTAGGAGAAACACCTAATGTAAATGAGAAGTTGATGGGTGCAGCAAACCAACATGGCATATGCAACCTGTACATTGGGCACATGTACCCTAGAACATAAAGTATAATTTAAAAAAAAGAAAGAAAGTAGAAGTCTGGCCAGGCGCGGTGGCTCACACCTGTAATCCCAGCACTTTGGGAGGCCGAAGCAGGTGGCTCATGAGGTCAGGAGTTCGAGACCAGCCTGACCAATGTGGTGAAACTCCGTCTCTAGTAAAAATACAAAAATTAGCCGGGCTTGGTGGCATACGCCTGTAATCCCAGCTACTCAGGAGGCTGAGGCAGGAGAATTGCTTGAACCTGGGAGGTGGAGGTTGCAGTGAGCTGAGATTGCGCCACTGCACTCCAGCCTGGGTGACAGATCGAGACTCCATCTCAAAAAAAAAAAAAAAAAAAAAAGAAAGTAGAAGTCTTCTTTCATTCCACTTCCCTAATCCTTTTAAAATGTTATTCCAGGCCGGGTGTGGTGGCTCATGCCTGTAATCCCAGCACTTTGGGAGGCCGAGGCAGGTGGATCACAAGGTCAGGGGTTTGAGACCAGCCTGACCAACATGGTGAAACCCCGTCTCTACTAAAAATACAAAAATTAGCTGGGCGTGGTAGCGGGCGCCTGTAATCCCAGCTACTCAGGAGGCTGAGGCAGGAGAATTTCTTGAACCTGGGAGGCAGTGGCTGCAATGAGCCGAGATCGCACCACTGCACTCCAGCCTGGGCAACAGAGCGAGACTCCATCTCAAAAAAAAAAAAAAAAAGTTATTCCAGATATTTTTTCATTATCTTTTTTTTTTTTTTTTGCCAACAAATGTTTTTTTTTTTTCCCCGAGAAGGCGTTTCACTCTTGTCTCCCAGGCTGGAGTGCAATGGCGCGATCTCTGCTCACCACAATCTCTGCCTCCCAGGGGTAAGTGATTCTCCTGTATCAGCCTCCCGAGTAGCTGGGATTACAGGCATGTGCCACCATGCCCGGCTAATTTTGTATTTTTAGTAGAGACTCCCATGTTGGTCAGACTGGTCTCAAACTCCTGACCTCAGGTGATCCATCCGCTTCGGCCTCCCAAAGTGGTGGGTTTATAGGCATGAACCACCGCACCTGGCCTAAATAAATATTTTTTAAAGCAAATGAAAAGCTGTCAATGTGGCCTCAAATCTGGTCTCTGCACTCCTCTGAATCTGAGCAGGGCTGGTCTTTGCCACCTTTATTTCCCAGGCTTCATGTAAGTTGGCATCAAGCTGGATTTTGTCAGTGGGAAGCACTGGCAAGAGATTGTCCTGGGCAGTGTCTTATAGCAAGGGCAGTTACTTCCTCATTTGCTCCAGCTCTTCCATGGCTCCCCCTCCTGGTAAACAGGCCTGGGGTGGTTCCAGCATCTGTTGGTGTCCCCAACTCCTTGACTGCCCCGCTTGGATACTCAGCACTTCAATCACCTCTTGCATTACTCCATTCTCATGATGCTAATAAAGACATACCCAAGACTGGGTAATTTATGAAGGAAAGAGGGTTAATGGACTCACAGCTCCACATAGCTGGGGAGGCCTCACAATCATAGCAGAAGGCCAATGAGGAGCAAAGGTACATCTTACATGGTGGCAAGCAAGAGAGTGTGTTTAGGGGAACTGCCCTTTATAAAACAATCAGATCTTTTGAGACATATTCACTATCACCAGAACAGTACAGAAAAACCTGTCCCCAAGATTCAATTACCTCCCACAAAATGTTGTGGGTCCTTCCCACAACATTTGGGGATTATGGGAGCTACAACTAAAGATGCGATTTGGGTGGGGACACAGCCAAACCATATCACCTCCGTAAAAAATTAATTGCCTCAAATTCCCTGTTTTAAGTACTTTGAAAGAATTCTGTTTCCTAATAAAACCCTGACTGACATGCTGATCACGCCACCATCCTAGCATTATTTTCTTAGCATACTTCCTTCTACATGCTCACATATTTTGATATTATCACAGCCACATAAGTTAATATTTTGTCTTCTGTTTTGATCATTTAATATTATAAACACATAAACATATTTTTTAGTATTTTAAATAATTGTCCTATTTAATGGCTGATAATATTTTTTTCTTGTTGATGTACCATGGGTTATTTTGTTTTATGGTTTCTGGGTTTTTTTTGAGACAGGGTTTTGCTCAGTCACCCAGGCTCAGGCTGAAGTACCGTGGGGCCATCATGGCTCATTGGAGCCTTGACCTTCTGTGCTCAAGAGATCCTTCCACCACCTCAGCCTCCCTAGTAACTGGGACTACAGGCACACATCACCACACCTGGCTACTTTTTGTATATTTTGTAGAGACTGGGTTTTACCATGTTGCTCAGGCTGGTCTTGAACTCCTGGACTCAAGTAATCCACCTGCCTAGGCTTCCCAAAGTGCTGGGATTACAGGCATGAGCCACCACATCCCTCCAATGAATTGTTAATCTAATCCCTTAATGTGTATTTTAAAATTGTTTGCCTTGAGAACTGAAACTAACTTTCTTGTCTCTGTGCTATATTCTGTGAACAAACATTTTCCTCTTCCTGTGCTAAACAATTCTCGGATTAGGCAAAAATAACTTAGCTATTTGTTCTATGAAATTTTTGCTGATGGAAGATGTCACTGTGAACCAACTAAAATAGTTAGTTTAGGACCAGACAAGGTGGCTCATGCATGTAATCCCAGCATTTTGGGAGGCCAAAGCAGGCAGATCACTTGAGCTAAGGAGTTTGAGACCAGCCTGGTCAACATGGCAAAACCCTGTCTCTACTAAAAATACAAAACTTAGCCAGGCATTGTGGCACAAGCCTGTAATCCCAGCTACTTGGAAGGTTGAGACAGGAGAATCGCTTGAACCGAGGAGAGTGGAGATTGCAGTGAGCTGAGTTCATGCCACTGCACTCCAGCCTGGGTGACAGAATGAGACTCCGTCTCAAATAAATAAATAAACAAATAAATAAATAAAATAGTTTATCAAAATTAACAACTTGGCCAGGTGTGGTGACTCACACCTATAATCCCAACACTTTGGGAGGCCAAGGTGGAGGGATCCCTTGAGTCCAGAGTTCAAGTCCAACCTGGGCAACATAGCAAGACCCTGTCTCTAAAATAATGATAATATGGCCAGTCTTAGTGGCTCGCACCTGTAATACCAGCACTTTGGAAGGCTAAGGTTGGGAGGATTGCTTGAACCCAGGGGTTTAAGATCAGCTTGGGCAATATAGCTTGTCTGTACAAATATATATATATATTTTAATTAGCTGGGCAGGGTGTCATGTGTTTATTTTTATTTATTTATTTTCTTGAGACAGCGTCTCACTCTGTCATCCAGGCTGGAGTGCAGTGGCGTGATCTCGGCTCACTACACCCTCCGCCTTCTGGGTTCAAGCGATTTTCCTGCCTTAGCTTCTGGAGTAGCTGGGATTACAGGTGCACGCCACCACGCCCGGCTAGTTTTTGTATTTTTAGTAGAGACGGGGTTTCACCATGTTGGCCAGGCTGGTCTCAAACTCCTGACTTCAGGTGATCTGCCCACCCAGGCCTCCCAAAGTGCTGGGATTACAGGCATGAGCCACCGTGCCAGGCAGTGTCACGTGTTGAGAGGCAAGAGGATCATATGAGCCTGGGAAGTGGAGGTTGCAGTGAGTTGAGATCCCACCACTGCACTCCAGCCTGGGTGACAGAGTGATACCTTGTCTCAAAAATAATAACAATAAGAATAATGATTGCATCTGCAAAGGCTGGCATGTGTGGCTGGAGTTTAGTGAGTGTGAGAAAAGGAAGTGATATGGTAGGAGACGTAACGGAATAGTAGGGAGAGATGCATAATTTAGAATACCAGTTGATAAATGACTTAATTGTGGCTAGAAATCAAAATACTGGGAAGGGCATATTATTAACCATTAAGTTACTTGATGAGTAGGGACTGTTTTTTTTTGTGTGGTTTTTTTTTTTGAGACAGAGTCTCACTCTGTTGCTCAGGCTGGAGGGCAGTGGCACAATCTTGGTTCACTGCAATCTCCATCTCACAGGTTCAGTTGATTCTCCTGCCTCAGCCTCTCAAGTAGCTGGGATTACAGGCACCCGCCACCATGCCCAACTAATTTTTGTATTTTTAATAGAGATGGAGTTTCACCATTTTGGCCAGTCTAGTCTCTTGACCAGCTTGAACTCCTGACCTCAGGTGATCCATCCCCCTCGGCCTCCCAAAGTGCTGGGATTACAGGTGTGAGCCACCGAGCCCAGCCTTTTTTTGGTTTTTTGAGACAGAGTTTGGCTCTTGTTGCCCAGGCAGGAGTGCAATGGCACAATCTCGGCTCACTGCAACCTCTGCCTCCTGGGTTCAAGCGATTCTCCTGCTTCAGCCTCCCTAGTAGCCAGTATCACAGGCCTGCGCCACCACGCCTGGCTAATTTTTGTATTTTTAGTAGAGACAGGGTTTCACCATGTTGGCCTGGCTGGTCTCGAACTTCTGACCTCAGGTAATCCACCTGCCTCGGCCTCCCAAAGTGCTGGGATTACAGGCTTGAGCCACTGTGCCCAGTCGAGTATGAACTTCATGTCAGGAGAGATAAAGAATCTTGACATTTGGCTGGTCGCAGTGGCTCACGCCTGTAATTGGGAGGCAGAGGCGGGTGGATCACTTGAGGTCAGGTGTTTGAGCCCAGCCTGGCCAACATGGTGAAATCCCATCTCTACTAAAAATACAAAAAGTAGCCAGGCATGGTGGCTCACGCCTGTAGTCCCAGCTACTTGGGAGGCTGAGGCAGGAGAATCGTGTGAACCCGAGAGGTGGAGGTTGCAGTGAGCCAAGATCGTGCCACTGCACTCCAGCCTAGGTAACAGAGCGAGATTCTGTCTCAAAAAAAACAAAACAGAACAAAACAAAAACTTGACATTTATCTAAGCCATGAAAAATCTGAGTGAACTATCCTTGTCCTAAACCTACATTATGCATCTCTGTCTACCAGATTCAGTGTCTCAATAATCGTTAGACAATTTTAGGTGAATAGTGTCCAATTTTTCTTTTTTTTCTTTTTTGAGACAGAGTTTCTCTCTTGTCGCCCAGGCTGCAGTGCAGTGGTGCGGTCTGGGCTCACTGCAACCTCTGCCTCCTGGGTTCAAGTGATTCTCCTGCCTCAGCCTCCCAAGTAGCTGGAATTACAGGCACTCACCACAATGCCCAGCTAATTTTTGTATTTTTTAGTAGAGATGGGGTTTCACCATGTTGGCAAGGCTGGTCTTGAACTCCTGATCTCAAGTGATGCACCCGCCTCTGCCTCCCAAAGTGGTGGGATTATAGGTGTGAGCCACTGCGCCTGGCCTAATAATGCTCAATGTTTCACCTTCTTTTTTGTCTTTATAGATTACATGCAGACTAGCTTCTTATGGAAATACGTTATTTCTTCTTAGTATAATCCAGGAATTTAGACTTCAACTTCATCCCAATTCTTGCACTTCATTAGTTTACAGTTTGTCTGTGACATCCATGCTTATGATTGGATTGTAGTGCTATTGGTTGTGCTTTGCTGAGAGACTTGATCCCTGCTGTTTTTTTTTTTTTTTTGAGACGGAGTCTCACTCTGTTGCCCAGGCTGGAGTGCAGTGGCGAGATCTGGGCTCACTGCAGCCTCCACCTCCCGGGGTCAATCGATTTTCCTACCTCAGCCTCCTGAGTAGCTGGGACTACAGGCGCCCTCCACCATGCCTGGCTAATTTTTGTATTTTTAGTAGAGACAGGGTTTCACCATACTGGACAGGCTGGTCTTGAAGTCCAGACTTCGTGATCCGCCTGCCTCAGCCTCCCAAAGTGCTGGGATTACAGGCATGAACCACTATGCCCAGCCTTTTTTTTTTGAAACAGAGTCTCACTCTGTCGCCATGCTGGAGTGCAGTGGCACAATCTCGGGGAGATTACAGTTGTGAGCCACTGTGCCTGGCCAGATCCCTGCTTTTTAAATACCTCTTTGGAGCAAGCCACACCCATATGTAAAAGGGTGTCTGTACCCCATTGATCCTGTGCACTTCATCTTCAGTATTCTTTTGCTCCAACTCCGGCTGGTGTGCCATCTTGGTTTAGCTGTTTTTCCTGCATTGATTCTTCTGCCTTTTCATCTTTCACGAGGATCAGTTACCCTGCCTTTCATGGACTGACACATTAGGGATGACCTTAAGGTAACTGATCTCTGTACTTTGGACTCTCCCCATGTAAACTGTGCCATGGCTGCATCGTTTCTGGCAAAACAAACTCCACCTCCTCCTTGAAGCTTGCTCAAGACTACTAGCTGGAAGCAAATTCTTCAAACTCTAAAAGCTCTTACTGACTGTGCTTTTACTAAAGCAGGATATATTTTATTTCCTCAACTAGATAATAAGCTGGTGAAAGTCAAAACCCATTTTATACTTCTCTACCCACCTCCTAGCCCCACACCACCCTTGCACCTTAAACAGAGAAGGTGCTGAATAAATACCTGCTGGGCCGGGCGCGGTGGCTCACGCCTGTAATCCCACCACTTTGGGAGGCCGAGGCGGGCGGATCACGAGATCAGGAGATCGAGACCATCCTGGATAACACGGTGAAACCTCGTCTCTACTGAAAATACGAAAAATTAGCCGGGCGTGGTGGCGGACGCCTGTAGTCCCAGCTACTCAGGAAGCTGAGGCAGGAGAATGGCGTGAACCCAGGAGGCGGAGCTTGCAGTGAGCCGAGATCGTGCCACTGCACTCCAGCCTGGGCGACAGAGTGAGACTCCTTCTCAAAAAAAAAAAAAAAAAAAAAAATACCAGCTGGATAAATAGGGTTAAGGATAGGAAGTGACTTTTTAGTATAAATTAATAGAGACTGTATCAGGAGGAAAGACATTCTCAGATATAACATTTTATGAAAGGATTTTGAACACTTTACCAAAACAATGCATATACCTGAAACACTCACACAAAAACTAGTATCTATTGTTTATAGTTTTGTGTTTATTTATTTATTTATTTTCATTTATTTTATTTTTTTTTGAGACAGAGTCTTGCTCCGTGGCCCAAGCTGGAGTGCAGTGGCGCGATCTCGGCTCACTGCAAGCTCTGCCTCCTGGGTTCAAGCGATTCTTCTGCCTCAGTC
Organism: Homo sapiens; assembly: GCF_000001405.40. Lineage (NCBI taxonomy): Eukaryota > Metazoa > Chordata > Mammalia > Primates > Hominidae > Homo > Homo sapiens. The sequence continues at coordinate 56,898,667 of NC_000004.12, forward strand.
TCCCGAGTAGCTGGGACTACAGGCACGGGCCACCATGCCCAGCTAATTTTTGTATTTTTAGTAGAGATGGGGTTTCAGCATGTTTGCCAGGCTGGTCTCAAACTCCTGACCCCGTGATCTGCCCACCTCGGCCTCCCAAAGTGCTGGGATTATAGGTGTGAGCCACGGCACCTGGCCTGTTTATTTATTTTTTGAGACAGAGTGTTACTCTGTTGCCCAGACTGAAGTGCAGTGGTGTGATGTCAGCTCACTGCAACCTCCACCTCCTGGATTCAAGCAATTCTTGTGCCTCAGCCTCCTGAATAGCTGGGACCACAGGCCCGTGCTATCATGCCCGGCTAATTTTTGTATTTTTTGTAGAGATGGGGTTTCACCGTGTTGGCCAGGCTGGTCTCAAATTCCTGGCCTCAAGTTACGCACCTGCCTCAGCCTCCCAGTGTGCTGGGATTACAGGCATGAGCCACTGCACCTGGCCTATAGTTCTATTTATTAAAAGTCAGGTTTATTGGGGTATAATTTGTATTCAGTAAAATTTACCCTTGTAAGTAGTTCAGGTTCTTTTTTTTTTTGAGATGGAGTTTCGCCCTTGTTGCCACCACGCCCGGTAGAGATGAGGTTTCTCCATGTTGGTCAGGCTGGTCTTGAACTCCCCACCTCGCCCATCTCGGCCTCCCAAAGTGCTGGGATTACAGGCATGAGCTACCTCGCCTGGCTGTAAGTAGTTTAGTTTTACAAATTTTGAGAAATGTATATAGTTGTGTAGCCATCACCACAGTTGAGATGTTGATTATTACATCACCCCGCTGGCAGAGTGGTGCATGCCTGTAATCCCAGCTACTTGAGGGGCTGAGGGAGAAGGATCTCTTGAGTCCAGGAGTTTGAGGCTGCAGTGAGCTATGATTATGCCACTGCACTCTGGCCTGGGCAACAGAGCGAAACCCTGTCTCTGAATAAATAAATAAATAAGTAAATACAACAATTATGTCACCCCCCAAAATTCCTTTGTGCCCTTTGTAGTCAATCCTCTTCCTTTACCACCAGCCCACGGCAACCACTGATTTGTTTCCATAGCTTGCCTTTCCCTGAATGGTATACACATGGAATTATGAGGTAAGTGGCCTTTTGCATCTGGCTTCTTTCCCTTAGCATAATGCTTTCGAGACTCATCTATGTGGTTGCATGTATCTGTAGTTACTTTATTTTATTATTGAATGAGTCCGGAATACACAGCTGTGGCATAAAAATTATTTTGAGTAGAAGGCCATCTGAGTTCTTGAAATCTCTTATATCCCTGAAAGCAGAGCCTCCCAAAAGAATTCAGTTTTTGTAAATCCCTTCCCAGCAAAGCAACCAGGGACAATTGACTCTTATCACCACTAATGAGAAGTCACTTTCAACCAAGCAAGGTTTGAAGAAAAACAAAAGAAGAGAGAGAAGTCTGCACACCACATCTAAAAGGCATTGTTACAAAACTATCATATCTCCCATCTATTCTCCTAAAGCCCATTTGTCTTTCCAAAAAGTCATTTGTTTTCTCCTAAGTGCCCTTTTCCCTCTCTCCTTCCTCTATTAAGTTGGTATATAGGCCCAGATTCCAACTGCCCCGTGAATCACATTTTTTGATCAAATCTTTTATGTACATTTAATATATGATTAATTGTGTCTTTTCTGGGCTGGGAGCAGTGGCTCATGCCTGTAATCTCAGCACTTTGGGAGGCTGAGGCGGGCAGATAACCTGAGGTCAGGAGTTCAAGACCAGCTTGGCCAACATGGTGAAAGGCTCTCTACTAAAAATGCAAAAATTAGCTGGGTATGGTGCCGGGTGCCTGTAATCTCAGCTACTCCAGAGGCTGAGGCATGAGAATCACTTGAACCTAGGAGGAGGAGGTTGCAGTAGACTGAAATCGCGCCATTGTACTCCAGCCTTGGGGATAGAGAGACTCTGTCTCAAAAAAAAAAAAAAATTTGTCTTTTATGTTGCCAGTATGTCTTTTGTCAATTTGATTTGCATGCCGCCAATGATTAAACCTAAGAGGATAGGCCGGGAGCGGTGGCTCACGCCTGTAATCCCAGCACTTTGGGAGGCTGAGACAATGGGTGGATCGCCTGAGGTCTGGAGTTCGAGACCAGCCTGACCAACATCGAGAAACCCCGTCTCTACTAAAAATACAAAATTAGCCAGGTGTGGTGGCGTGTGCCTGTAATCCCAGCTACTCGGGAGGCTGAGGCAGGCAAATCGATTGAACCCGCAAGTGGAGATGCGGAGGTTGTGGTGAGCCAAGATCATGCCGTTGCATTTCAACCTGGGCAACAAGAGCAAAACTTCATCTCAAAAAACACAAAAAACACAAAAATTAGCTGGGCGTGGTGGTGTGCGCCTGTAGTCCCAGCTACTCAGGAGGCTGAGGCAGAAGAATCGCTTGAACATGGGAGGCAGAGGTTGTAGTGAACCAAGATCGCACCACTACACTCCAGCCTGGGTGACAGAGTGAGATTCTGTCTCAAAAAAAAAAAAAAAAAAAACAACCTAAGAGGATAGAGGAAAAGTTTTTCCTCCCCAACAATATCATTCTATTGAATGGGTAGATACAAATTTGCTTTTCATTCACAGTCTAGACTACTTTTAGGTTGTTTCTAGTTGTTAGACACCTCCCATTTGGGTCTTTAGGTACCACAGGTTTTCAGTTCTCTTGTGTAAATATCTAGGAATGTGATGACTGGATTATATGCTAAGTGTCTATAAGAAAATTCAAGTTTGCAAAAGTGTTGCATTTCCAAAGTTGTTAACAACAGTTTGCATTTCCATCAGCAATATTAGAGTCATAGGCTAGGCAGGCGGTTCACTCCTATAGTCCCAGCACTTTGGGAGGCCAAGGTGGGAGCATCACTTGAGCCCAGGAGTTCAAGACCAGCCTGAAAAATAGTGAGACTATGTCTCCACAAAAAAGAAATTTTAAAAAATTAGCTGGGTGTGGTAGGTCGTACATGTAGTCCCAGCTACTCGGGATGCTGAAGGGGGAGGATCGCTTGAGTCCAGGAGGCAGAGGTTTCAGTGAGCTGAGATCATGACACTGCACTCCAGCCTGGGTGATGCAGCAAGATCCTGTCTCAAGAGAGAAGAGGGAGAGAGAGGAAAAGAGAGAGAGAATTCCAGGTGCTCAGTATCTTTGTCGCATTGTTTTTTTTTTTTTTTTTTTTTGAGACGGCGTCTCGCTCTGTCGCCCAGACTGGAGTGCAGTGGTGCAATCTTGGCTCACTGCAACCTCCGTTTCCCAGGTTCACGCCATTCTCCTGCCTCAGACTCCCAAATGGCTGGGACTACAGGTGCCCACTAACACGCCTGGCTAATTTTTTGGTACTTTTTAGTAGAGACAGGGTTTCACCGTGTTAACCAGGAAGGTCTCGATCTCCTGACCTCGTGATCTGCCCGCCTCGCCCTCCCAAACTACTGGGATTACAGGTGGGAGCCACTGTGCCCGGCTGTAAAGTGCTGTGTTTCGATCTCAGCTTGCTACAACCTCCACCCCCTGGGCTCAAGTGATCTTCCCACCTCAGCCTCCCGAGTAGCTGAGATCACAGGTGCACACCACCACACCTAACTTTTTGTATTTTTGGTAGAGACAGGGTTTTGCCATGATGCCCAGGCTGGTTTTGAACTTCTGACCTCAAGTGATCTGCGCCCCTTGGCCTCCCAAAGTGCTGGAATTATAGGCATGAGAACCGCACCCAGCCCTTGTTGCATTTTATACTTAGCTTTTTAAACTTTTAGCCATTCTAGTAGGTTTAGTGATAATTTTTAGACAAACAAGGAAAATGTACAGGTTCATTAATCTAGGAAACATTTATGCATAAAGCCAGTGCCTGGCTTTAGCTTTGGGTTGATACACTTTGCCAGAAGTTTGATTTTATTTACTGTGTCAGGAATATCAGCATGTTGAGAACACACAACACAGTTTCTTGTCTCTAGACCCTCTCAGACAGATGAGAAAGACATGGGAAAGAAAACAGGCGCAAGAGTATACTTATGGCACTTTAGGAGTTCATGTGGGAAGGTTTTAACCTCTCCTTGGGAAGAAGGGAAAGGTTGCCAGAAGTTGTCTTCTGAGTCAAGTCCATATTCCTCTAAATTGATGATTAGCTTTGTAAATTAACATGTCAATGTTGGCTCTTGAGTGTTTTAAATGCCATGGAAGACAATAAGGGCTTCTGCTTCCCAAGCCAGAAGGTAATAAATCTTTTTTTTTTTTTTTCGAGACGTGGTCTTGCTGTGTCACCCAGCTGGAGTGCAGTGGTGTGATCCTGGCTCACTGCAGCCCCAATCTCCTGCACTCAAGCAATCCTCCTACCTCAGCCTCCCAAGTAGCTGGGACTACAGGCACACCTCACCACACCAGCTATTTTTAAAAAATTATTTTTACTAGAGATGAGGTCGCACTGTGTTGCCCAGGCTGGTCTCGAACTCTTGGGCTCAAGTGATCTTTCCACTTCGGGCTCCCTAAGTGCTGGGATTACAGGCGTGAACCACTGGGCCTGGCCCAGAAGGTAATTAATCTTAATATAAAAAGTAGGCTTCAGAGTTATGGAATTGCGGATCTGAAAAGTCCCCCTATCTCAAATATATACATCTCTAAAGCCATTGTACATAGTGGCCCATCAGGCCCCAAAGATTAAAAGATGTTTTCGGGAATAGGGCCAGGGTAGAGCAGAAAGAAGACTGGACAAAGTGTCTGAGAGACATGGAAAGAGCACCGGACTGGCTGGAAATTGAGTCATGGGTCCTACCTCCATCTGTGCCCTAACTACTTGTGCAAACCTGGACAAGCCAAAAGCTTGTAGGCCTGTCTCCTTTTACATATAAAACAAGAGCCTGCACCTCTAAGATCTCTTGCATTTGTGACATTTTGTGGCCTACATAACATTTGGAGGGAGAATTCTGGAAGGAAGGACAATGGTAAAGGCCAGAGAAGAGAGAGGCAGAGCAATGCAGTTGATAGGCTATGTAACTTGTATTTAAACCCATCAAATGGAACGATACCTAAGGTTGAAACATTTTTTTTTTTTTTTGAGATGGAGTTCTGTTCTTGTTGCCCAGGCTGGAGTGCACTGGCACGATCTCTGCTCACGCAACCTCCGCCTCCCAGGTTCAAGCCATTCTCCCGCCTCAGCCTCTTAAGTAGCTGGGATTACAGGCGTGTGCCACCATGCCCAGCTCATTTTGTATTTTTAGTAGAGACAGGGTTTCTCTATGTTGGTCAGGCTGGTCTAGAACTCTCGACTTCAGGTGATCTGCCTGCCTCAGCCTCCCAAAGTGCTGGGATTACAGGCGTGAGCCACCGCACCTGGCCAAAACAGATTGTTAATGATCACCAAGGAATATCCAACCAGAGGCTGATGCGTGAAATCAGGAATGTGCTAGGAATACAATATGCAGAAGAGCAGGCAGGGAGATTTTCACCAGGAGGGTAGAACCCCAAGACCAGGGATCCAGGAGCATTAATTTATTTAACAGTAGTTATTAGGGAGATTCAAGGAGGCAGGCTCATGCTTAACATGAGGGAAGACTGTGATGGGTACTGAACGTTGGGTACCGACATGGGTAAGGATGGTCCCCACTTTGAGAGATTGTGATACCAAGCTAGGATTTTGTAACCATTCATCTAACTAATATTTGTTGAGCAACTAACGAGTTATAGGTGCTGGGGATAAAAAAATGTCTCTGCCTTTCTGGAGCTTAAGTTCCTAAGTAGGGTAAATAAATAAAAATACCTAGCATGTTAGTAATAAATGTTAGAGACAGAAACAGCAGGGAAGGGCATTAGGATTGGACGAAAATGGGAGCAGAAACAGCAGGGAAGGGCATTAGGATTGGACGAAAATGGGAGCGGGTTCCAAATGTGATCTAGGCTCCAAAAGAAGGCAGGAAGGAGCCCAGCTCAAGTCTCAAGTTCTCTTGTTCACCTCCTTCCCTTCTCAGCATGAAGGGAAAACCTCCCTGGCTCAAGCTGTTGATGCCTATAATGAGTAAGACACTATTCCAGTTATCAGAACCAGAACAAGAGGTCAGAGTCCAACCGGCAGCAAGAGTAGATGATGCTGGCTGGACTCGGTGGCTTACACAGGTAATCCCAGCACTTTGGGAGGCCGAGGCGGGTGGATCACCTCAGGTCAGGAGTTCGAGACTAGCCTGACCAACATAGTGAAACCCCATCTCTACTAAAATACAAAAATTAGCTGGGCGTCCTAGCGGGTGCCTGTAATCTCAGCTACTCGGGAGGCTGAGGCAGGAGAATTGCTTGAACCCAGGAGGCAGAGGTTCCAGTGAGCCAAGATCTTGCCACTGCATTCTAGCCTGGGCGACAGAGCAAGACTCCCAGGCGGGGTGGCTCACACCTGTAATCCTAGCACTTTGGGAGGCCCAGGCAGGTGGATCATCTGAGGTCAAGAGTTCAAGACCAGCCTGGCCAACATGGTGAAACACCATCTCTACTAAAAATACAAAAATTAGCCAGACAAGGTGGCACGTGCCTGTAATCCTAGCTACTCGGGAGGCTGAGGCAGGAGAATCACTTGAACCCGGGAGGTGGAGGTTGCAGTGAGCCGAGATCGCACCTTTGCATTCCAGCCTGGGTGACAGAGCAAGACTCCATGTCAAAAAAAAAAATAATATATATATATATATATAATTGGCCAGGTGTGGTGGCTCACGCCTGTAATCCCAGAACTTTGGGAAGCCGAGGCAGGCGGATCACCTGAGGTTGGGAGTTCGAGACCAGCCTGACCAACATGGAGAAACCCCCGTCTCTAACTAAAAATACAAAATTAGCTTGGCGTGGTGGCACATGCCTGTAATCCCAGCTACTCGGGAGGCTGAGGCAGGAGAATTGCTTGAACCCGGGAGGCGGAGGTTGCGGTGAGCCGAGATCGTGCTATTGCACTCCAGCCTGGGCAAAAAGAGCCAAATTCTGTCTCAAAAAAAAAAAAAAAAAAAAAAAGAAAGAAATCTCTCTAGAGAAAATACTATTAAGAACATATGATAATTAAAATAAAAAAATTGATGAGTTAAATATGCAGGAAAAAAACCATATAAGAAAAGCAGAACTCATTCTCATTTCAGAGTTTTTATCTTGCAGAAGATCCTAAAGTTTGGATACAGCAAAGTAAAATACAGACTTTTGAAAAACAGTTAGGAATTCAAGTTCATAGCAACAGCTTCCCTCAAGAAAATTTTCAATTGATTTGTAATTTGGCCTATGAATTTGACCTGTGGCCTTCATGTCATGATAATTTGGGTCACTCTGAATATGCCATCCCTTGAACAAGGGCCTCTGCTAATTTTAAATGAATGCAGCTGCCCATTCGCCATTCTTCTATTTGCATCACAATATGTGGGAATAAATTTGCAATTAATAAGACATTTCCAGTAAGCAGTCAGATTGAGGAAATGAAGGACATTTAGTAAGTTTAACAAGAGACATTTCATTTTTGCCTTTTTGGACCTAAAAAAGGGAAAGAAAACAAGTTTATGTCTTTGACAACCTTGGTAGAGGCCTGAATTGTACCCTGGGCTACAGCATCTAAAAAAGCCATGTGACCTCAAACTTGATTTTAGTTAAACAAATAAAATATATATAGAAAAGTTTGTACCAGTCCTAAAAATGTCGATCTTCCTTTCCTCCCTCCCTCCCTCCCTTCCTTCCTGTCTCTTTGGTTCAATGAAAATGAATACTTTTCAGGTTTGATTCATGGAGAGGTGTTACATTTGAAATTGCCTCATTGAAACTTTTGGTGGTCGAGCACCTTAGGGTCTTCATTTCATCTTGCATCGGAGACTGCATTAATTAGTAATATATTGTCCAGATAGAGGGAAACAGAGGTCCTACGTGGGTATACCAGGAAATGAAGAGTCTGGAAGCCCTGCCCTAAGAGAAACAAATAAAGGAACTTCAAAGAGAAGGAAGTGAGGTACCCTGAGGAGAAGCTGGGATGTCTTAACAACTGCTTTGGGATTTTGAGCTTGCCCTTTTCACTGTGTAGAGTGTTCCTTGCCCTACTTTCCACCTGTTGAAGTTTTCCTCATTCTCCAAGGTCAGACTGAATACATCTACTGTGAAAAGTTTCTAGAACCTCTTGGGATCCATCTTCCTACTGGCAAACCCCCATAGCACTTGCTACTTATGTTGTAATACCAAGCAATAGTCAGACTTATCTAGGTCAAGTTAAGTAGGGGCTTGAACGCCACACTAAGGGGTTTAAGCTTTAAGCTTGTAGTCATGGGGAGCCACTATGCTTCTGAGGACAGGTGTGACTTACGACTGACGTTTAGGAAGGTATCAAAGGCAGACTGAGAAGCTCTTTCAGGTGTGAAAGGGGGTGGAATTACTCTCTCTCTGTTCTTTTTTGTTGTTTTTGTTTTTGTTAGCACATGACTATGGGCTAGGCATTCCGCTTGGTTATCCCGCTTCATAGACGTGAGCCCGGTTACTCCGACACACCGTGGCCCCAGGCAGCCTCCCCGTCCTCACCACCTTTTCTTCTGTCATCTGAGGGTAATTCCTCCCCTGCAGTCGTGCTTTCCGGGCTCAGCAATGACCTGCTACCTGCCACGTCTAGGGATCTGTCCCCTCAGTCCTCACGCTCACGCTTTCTGAGTCCATAACCTCCTTCCTGAAACGTTTTCTTCTCACTTCTCCCAAACTGACTGCATTCCCCCTCCGGTAGTTTGAAATTTGGAAGACTTTTTTTTTTTTTTTTTTTTTTTACCGCAGACGCTTAAAACGAAGCTTAATTAGTCAAGGACAGCTATGGGTGGAGACTTGAAGAGATCTGAAGGGTATCTTGGAGCGCTTTAGACTTGAGAGGCCGGTGACAATAGCTCTAAAGAGACCCGTCAAAGCCTGCGGATTCTTCTTTTAACAGCTCTATTCTCATGCATGCACGCCAGGGCTGGGGGGAACTTTTGTTGTTTGTTTGTAATAGAAATCGAGAAAGGGAGTGGGGCCCGCCTCTTTTCTGACCTAAGGGCAGGAGTGAGGGGCCGGGAGGATTACGGGCGGCTCCCCCTAGACGCGCCCCCAGGCGAGCTGGAGACTGGGGCACTCCTTGCTTGGTAGAGGGGCGGGGCGCGCCTAGCGGCCACGCGCGCGGGCGTCGGAGGGGGCGTGTCTCGCGGGCGCGCGCGGGCGTCGGAGGGGGCGTGTCCCGCGGGCGGTGGCGGCGGCGGCGGCGCGGACTGGGTGCGCGGCGCAGCGTCCTGTGTTGGAATGTGCGGCTGCCGCGAGCTCGCGGCGCAGCAGCGGAGCGAGCGCCGCCGAGGCCCGGGGCCCCAGACCCTGGCGGCGGCTGCCGCAGCCGAGACGGCAGGGCGAGGCCCGGAGGCCTGAGCACCCTCTGCAGCCCCACTCCTGGGCCTTCTTGGTCCACGACGGCCCCAGCACCCAACTTTACCACCCTCCCCCACCTCTCCCCCGAAACTCCAGCAACAAAGAAAAGTAGTCGGAGAAGGAGCGGCGACTCAGGGTCGCCCGCCCCTCCTCACCGAGGAAGGCCGGTAAGTGGGGCGCTGGGCTGGGGGCTCGGTCAGGGTGGGGGAGGGCCGCCCGGGCGGCGGCAGTGGCGGGACGGGGAGGGCGCGGAAGGACGCGGAGTCAGGCGCTGTCCAGGGCTGATTTGCAGATACTGTGGCTCCGGCGGCGGCGGCCCCGCCGGGCGGGGGCTGGCGGCCGAGCAGGATCGGGTTACACAGCAGCCGCCCGGGGGCTGGGGGCGTTTGTTGGGAGCAGCGCGTCGCCTGGACCCCCTCCCCACTGGAGGCTGGGACGCCGCCTCCGCGCTGGCCCGGACGCTCCACCGAGTCAGGTCCTTTGAGGCCAAGGAGCGGAGCTGCTCGGGCCCGTAGTCCTGAAACTTCCTCTGCTTCCTCCTCCTGCCCCCGGGTCCCACCGCAGCCCCGCGCCGGCCCGCGGCCCTCCTGGCCCCCTCCCCCAGGGCCTCTCCCTGTCGCCGGAAGGCGCCGTTGAGTGCGGCCGGGCGGGTTGAGTCAGCCCCGGGGCCCGGGCGGTTCCGCCTGCGGGGCTGGACAGCGATTTCTGCGCTTCAGCCGTCCGGCGCCGCTGGCCCCCGCGTCCGGCCACCCGACCGCTGGAGCTGGCGGGGCTGGGGCGCGCGTCCTGCCGGGCGCCGTGGGGGAGTGAAGTTCGCAAACTTCCGGGGCGCGGGGGTGGCGGCTGGCCCGTGTGGGGGCCCCCTCCGGCGCTCGGAGCCCGACGCCTCGCGAGGGCGCCCGCGGAGCCTCCCCGGCCCTGGGCGTTGGGCGAGCCCCGGGGCGGTCGGAGGGGCCCGGGGGCGGTCGGAGAAGCCCGGACGCCGGCTGCGCGGTAACTTTCCGTCCTCTCCCGGGACGGGGGCCCTAGGGCTGGGGAGGGGGCTGCCTGGACTCGGGGAGGACTGGTTCCGGCCAAACAGCGCCTCGAGCTTGATCCCCTCCCCCGTTTTAGTGTTGGAGAGCGCAGGAAAAGGCTCAGGACGAGTGTCGGGGCGACTCCCGCGAGTTGGTGTGTAAATGTGTGCAGTGAGCGGGCCGAGGCGAGAGGAAGCGAGAGCGCCCGAGTTTGCAAAGAGCTGCTTTGTGTTTGGTATTTTGAGAAAATGGCCGAATGCCTATTTCAGTTAGGAATGCCGCCGCCGAGGCAGGCGCTGGTGGCAGCAGCACGGAGGAATTCGTGCAGCACGTTGGGCTTTCGGGCTGTGCCTGGACGGTCTTCCTAACAATCGTTAAAATTCCATTTGGGGTGGCAGTTAGGGGTTAGGGAGCAATTAGAAAAGTCGATGTTGGGCCAAATTACCCAATAGCTTGGGCTGTTCAGCCCCGGGACAGCCTTCGCCCTCTGTTTTCTGTGATGGCATTTGCTTCCAACTTTTGTTGGTACGTAGAACTAAACCGGTTTGTGTTTATACACTTGGGTGAAGCGGGTTACTTTTTGTATTTTCGGTTTAACTTTATTTTCTTAGAACTTCTTACTTTTTTTAATTTGCGAGTGAACACTTCGTTTGAGAATGGCACCTTTTAGATTGAGAAGTAACGTAGCATCTAGAAAGCCCAACTTGTTTTGAAGAAGGTGATCTTGTAATGGCTTCCACTAGGCAAGTAGGCCAAGTCAAGCACAATGCAAGAAAGTTGCTGATTGTCGAGTTGAGTTGCACGATGATTTTATTCGTATTGAAAAGCTTGGAATTCAGTGTTGTGGAACTTCAGCCTGCAGAAAAATAAGCTTATTAATTTTTATTTGTGAAGTTTTGAATAAATCAAACTTCCTTTTTCACAAGAAAAGGGGTCCATAAATGTTTTTTCTTTTAAGCCTGTGGAGTTGTCGAAAAATTAAGGGGCTGACTGCTACTTTTTCACAGTAGTTTATTCTTTTGGAGTTAGTTGAGTTCATGCGAAATCCAATTAAGTTGAACAATTATTACAGGCTTGTACTTTCCAGATGTGTTTGTGTACTTAATAAATGCACTGAATGGCTTGTGGATTTCTGGGCTTTCTGATTCAGACCATTGAACTGTTGAAGGGGGGAAAAGTTGGGAGGACAATAATTTACTACTCATGTTTTGAATTTTTAAAATAATTTTAACAGTAAAAATGAAGGTTACTTTTTATCCCCACCAGAACAATTAAAAGTGCTTGAGGAGGCACCACATGCCAGTGGCTGAATGATGAATGAGTTGTGCAAACAATTGGTAGAATTGTTTTATAGGGATAGTAGAAATTTTTTTTTGGTGATTGCAGTAGACTATTGGGAATTAACAACTATTTTAAAGATTTGTTTTTAATAGGCGATGAAGTTTACTGAGTTATAAAGATCATACTGGAAAATTTTTAAGTTATGAAGAATTACAGCGATGTGGTTTTAAGCCAGTAACAGTAGTGTTTAAACTGGTGCTCTTGTTTTGTTTTGTTTTTAATTCAGAATACAGTTATGGCCACCCAGGTAATGGGGCAGTCTTCTGGAGGAGGAGGGCTGTTTACCAGCAGTGGCAACATTGGAATGGCCCTGCCTAACGACATGTATGACTTGCATGACCTTTCCAAAGCTGAACTGGCCGCACCTCAGCTTATTATGCTGGCAAATGTGGCCTTAACTGGGGAAGTAAATGGCAGCTGCTGTGATTACCTGGTCGGTGAAGAAAGACAGATGGCAGAACTGATGCCGGTTGGGGATAACAACTTTTCAGATAGTGAAGAAGGAGAAGGACTTGAAGAGTCTGCTGATATAAAAGGTGAACCTCATGGACTGGAAAACATGGAACTGAGAAGTTTGGAACTCAGCGTCGTAGAACCTCAGCCTGTATTTGAGGCATCAGGTGCTCCAGATATTTACAGTTCAAATAAAGATCTTCCCCCTGAAACACCTGGAGCGGAGGACAAAGGCAAGAGCTCGAAGACCAAACCCTTTCGCTGTAAGCCATGCCAATATGAAGCAGAATCTGAAGAACAGTTTGTGCATCACATCAGAGTTCACAGTGCTAAGAAATTTTTTGTGGAAGAGAGTGCAGAGAAGCAGGCAAAAGCCAGGGAATCTGGCTCTTCCACTGCAGAAGAGGGAGATTTCTCCAAGGGCCCCATTCGCTGTGACCGCTGCGGCTACAATACTAATCGATATGATCACTATACAGCACACCTGAAACACCACACCAGAGCTGGGGATAATGAGCGAGTCTACAAGTGTATCATTTGCACATACACAACAGTGAGCGAGTATCACTGGAGGAAACATTTAAGAAACCATTTTCCAAGGAAAGTATACACATGTGGAAAATGCAACTATTTTTCAGACAGAAAAAACAATTATGTTCAGCATGTTAGAACTCATACAGGTAAGAGAAGCTTTCTAGTCCATAAGTTCAGTTCTCTTTTCTGATTGTTACTTGAGTGGTTAGTTAAGTAGTGCTTGAGAAAAAGGACTCTGGTTCAAATCCAGGTTCCATTTTGCTATCTTTGTGACCTTGCACAAGTTGTTTAACCTCTTTGTTCAGAAATTTCTCCATGGAGTAACAATATCTAGGTTGGGAGGATTATGTGAAGTTACATGTAAAGCACAGAGGAACAGCCAAGAGATCTTACCGTGGTCTTACTAAAGTACATATCCTAACTTGGGGTTTACCTTCAGCAAGTTAGACTGGCCGTGCATGGTGGCTCACGCCTGTAATCCCAGCACCTCGGGAGGCCGAGGCGTAAGGACTGCCTGAGCCCAGAAGTTCTAGACCAGTCTGGGAAACGTGGAAAGACCCCCGTCTCAAAAAGAAAACAGAAAAAAAAAAGTTTGTGTATTTATTTCTGTGACAGTGAACACATTTAAGATGCAGTGTAGTTTCTGAAAGAAATTGAGGGCTTATATAAAAAGGAAAACTCAGTGATTAACCTTGCACATGCCCACTTAACAAAAGCCTCAAACTTTAAAACATTTGACTTATAGCATTGAGTTCCTAAATGGAACAACTTGTCTTTGTCCACAAAAAAGAAATGTGAGAAGGTAGTTTTTAAAAGGTGGGTGGGATTATCACCAATTGAAACTATTTTCCTATGAAAGCAAACACTTGTAGAAAATGTATTTTTCAGACAATTATGTTTAGGGTGTTTGAACTGATACTAAGCGCAACTGTATAAAAAAAGTTGAAACTTTTTTTTTTTTTTTTTTTTTGAGACAGTCTGGCTTTGTCGCCCAGGCTGGAGTGCAGTGGCAAGATCTCAGCTCAGTGTAACCTCTGCCTCAGGGTTCAAGTGATTATCTTGCTTCAGCCTCCCTGGCTCAGCCTCCCGAGTAGCTGGGATTACAGGCACCCACCACCGTGCCTGGCTAATTTTTTTTTTTTGAGACGGAGTCTGGCTCTGTTGTCGAGGCTGGAGTGCAGTGGCATGGTCTTGGCTCACTGCAACCTCTGTCTCCCAGGTTCAAGCAGTTCTCCTGCCTCAGCCTCCTGAGTGGCTGGGACTATAGGTGCCCACCACCACACCCAGCTGATTTTGTATTTTTAGTAGAGATGGGGTTTCACCATGTTGCCCAGGCTGGTCTTGAACTCCTGACCTCGTGATCCGCCCACCTCAGCCTCCCAGAATGCTGGGATTACAGGCGTGAGTGCCACCCCTGGCTAATTTTTGTATTTTTAGTAGAGATGGGGTTTTGCCATATTGGCCAGGCTGGTCTCAAACTCCTGACCTCAGGTGATCTACCCACTTTGGCCTCCTAAATTGCTGGGATTATAGGGGTGGGCTACCGCACCCAGCCGAAACTTTTTTTTTTTTTTTAATTTCTTTTTGTGGAGATGGGGGGTCTCACTATGTTGCCCAGGCTGGTCTTGAACACCTGGCCTCAAGTGATCCTCCTGCCACAGTCTTCCCAAGTGTTGGGATTATAGGCGTGAGCCACTGTGCATACTAGTCATTCACTTTTAAATTGGGTTTTATTCAGCTGCTGTTCACTGTAGTTTTTTTAATTGGATTTATTTATTCATTTATTGATTTATTTGAGATGGAGTCTCACCCTGGAGCCCAGGCAGTGGTGTGATCACAGCTCACCACAGCCTCTACCTCCTGGGTTCAGGCAGTCCTCCCATCTCAACCTCCAAAGTAACTGGGACTACAGATGTGCCCTACCACACCCTAATTTTTTAAAATTTAAATTGGGTTTTAAATATTGTAATTGAGGGGCCTCATTTTTCAAATAAATGTTTTTAACTATTGGTAGCTCATTTGGACATTTCTGTTACATTTTCTTGGTAAGAATTGGTACATTTGGGTCCTGATGAATGGATAGAGAATAATCCAGTACTCTACTCTTGGGGTCACAAATGAATAGGGGGTGTGGGATGCTGTTTGCCTCAGGTCTCCTCTTACAGGAGTTGGCACTTGACAGGACTGAACCCCACTGGTAAAGGGGACACTGAGGAGGGGAATTGATGCTGCTTTAAGTGGAGTGGTAGACTTAATTTTTGTTTTGTTTTGTTTTGGAGATAGGATCTCCCTCTGTGCCCCAGGCTGGAGTGCAGTGACGCGATCTCGGCTCACTACAACCTCCACCTCCCAGGTTCAAGCGATTCTCATGCCTCAGCCTCCCCAGTAGCTGGGATTATAGGTGCCCACCACCATGGCTAGCTAATTTTTTGTTTTTTTAGTAGAGATGGGGTTTCACTATGTTGGCCAGGCTAGTCTCGAACTCCTGACCTCGTGATCTGCCTCGGCCTCCCAAAGTGCTGGGATTACAGGCGTGAGCCACCGCGCCTGGCCAGTTTTTTTTTTGAGATAGTTTTACTTTGTCACCCATCCTGGAGTGCAGTGGCGAGATCACTGCTCACTGCAGCCTTGACCTCCTGGACTTGTGACCCTCTCGCCTCAGTCCCCCAGGTAGCTGGGACCACAGACGCATGCCACCACACCTGGCTGATATTTGTATGGTAGAGACAGGGTTTCGCCATGTTGCCCAGATTGGTCTGTAACTCCTGAGCTCAAGTAATCTGCCCTTAGCCTCCCAAAGTGCTGGGATTATGGGTGTGAGCCACCGTATCCAGCGACTTAATTTTTAAAAATTTATTTTATTTACTTATTTTTTATATCCCAGATACTTAAAACTATTAACTGGCAGGCTTAAACAATAAAACTTGCAGGTGAAATTCCATTACAAGAGTGACCTCTGTTACAGGATTGCTAAGCCCCAGCAGATGGATGGCTCATGTGTTGAATGCTTTAAAATTTAGTCCAGTAAAAGAATTTGTAGTCCCTTTGGAATTTGTCATAAGCTGTGATTGATTGTCTCGATGCTTTGAAACCATTCGATTTCAGAAGTAAAGGTCAAGCATTACAAAAATACATAAAGTAGGAAATGAAAGTTACTTGGGGACACAACCCCATTAATCACTTGACAGTTTGAATTAGACAGACTGTTAGACTAAACCAGCCTTACCTACAATATCTTAAATCCCAGCCATCATATATACTAAACTCATAAATAAGTACACCATATTCATTTAGCTGGGATTACAGGTGCCTTCCACCATGCCCGGCTAATTTTTGTATTTTCAGTAGAGATGTGGTTTCACCGTGTTGGCCAGGCTAGTCTTGAACTCCTGACCTCAGGTCGTCTGCCCACCTCAGCCTCCTGAAGTGCTGGGATTACAGGCCTGAGCCACCAAGCCTGGCCTGGTTTATTTGGTCTTAATGCTTATTTTTCCCCAGTATTACCTTCATTCTGATTTTTTTTTTTTTTAACTTTTTTTTTTTTTTTTTTTTTGAGACAGTTTTACTCTTGTCGCCCAGGGTGGAGTGCAATGGTGCAATCTCGGCTCACTGCAACCTCCGCCTCCCAGGTACAAGCAATTATCCTGCCTCAGCCTCCTGAGTAGCTGGGATTCCAGGCATGCGCCACCACACCTGCTAATTTTGTATTTTTAGTAGAGACAAGGTTTCTCCATGTTGGGCAGGCTGGTCTCGAACTCCCGGCCTCAAGTGATCCACCCGCCGCGGCCTCCCAAAGATTACAGGCGTGAGCCACCACGCCTGGCCAATTTTGTGTGTGTGTGTGTGTGTATTTTTTTTTTTTTTTTTTTTTTTGAGATGGAGTCTTGCTCTGTTGCTCAGGCTGGAGTGCAATGGCGTGATCTCTGTTCACTGCAACCTCTGCCTCCAGGGCTTAAGTGATTCTCCTGCCTCAGCCTCCCGAGGAGCTGGGATTACAGGTGCGTGCCACCACGCCCAGCTAATTTTTTAAAAAATTTTTAGTAGAGACAGCGTTTCACCATGTTGGCCAGGCTGGTCTCGACCTCCTGACCTTGTGATCAGCTGACCTCGGCCTCTCAAGGTGCTGGAATTACAAGCGTGAGCCACCAAACCTGGCCTTTATTACATTTTAAAACAATTTGGTGATGTATAGATTGAAGGTTAATATTTTGATTATGTAAATTCTGAAAGTATCTCTGGTATTAAATGGATAGTTCTGAAAATTATGGAAAATAAACTCATCTGGTGCGGAAGAGTAGAGACAGAAAAGACAGGAATCACTTAAATTGATAGTGTTCAGGAATTACTTCTCATTTCCACTTGCATTAGTAAGTAGCCCAGTTTTCTGATTGGCTTAGTGGGCTTAATTGTGTTTCTTGTGCCCTTCTATTCTGTGCTAATCTTCAGAACAATCCATTGAGGAAAATAGCATCTGTGATGATAGTTCATGTTTACACAGGGGAAAACTTCAGATTTAAAAGGCTGAAGTGATGTTCCCAAGGTCATATACAAGTATCATTTATAGCCGTTCCACGATGGCTCACGCCTGTAATCCTAGCACTTTGGGAGGATGAGGCAGGAGAATCGCTTGAACCTGGGAGGTGGAGGTTGCAGTGAGTCGAGATTGTGCAACTGCACTCCAGCCTGGGGGACAGAGTGAGACTCTGTCTCAAAAACAAACTACAAGTAGCATTTAAAGTTCAGCAATCTCGACTCACTGCAACCTCCACCAAAAGGGTGGGGGGAGCTGGGGACTTTCATTCTGGTTGACCTCTTTAGTTTAGTGGTTTTGATATTTAACTTGTTCACAAAATCTACTTTTAAAGAAAACCTTTTTGCCTGTATGTGTAACTGAAAAATCAGTAGGTAACTAAGCTTTCTGGAGGAGAGTTATGCCTAGTTTGTGGAATTACACAGATAAAGTAATCTGTTGTAAAGAATTTAAAAGCAGGCTGGGCGAGATGGCTCATGCCTGTAATCCCAGCACCTTGGGAGGCAGGCAGATCACCTGAGGTTGGGAGTTTGAGACCAGCCTGGTCAGCATGGTGAAACCCTGTCTCTACTAAAAATACAACACTTAGCCTGTAGTCCCAGCTTCTCGGGAGGCTGAGGCAGGAGAATCACTTGAACCCAAGAGGCAGAGGTTGCAGTGAGCCAAAATCGCGCCACTGCACTCCAGCCTGGGCGACAGAGCGAGACTGCGTCTCAAAAAAAAATAATAATAAAATAAAAGAATTTAAAAGTAAATTATCTTTGATTCTTCAAGTTTATCTGCAGTGGTATTTAATTTTTTATTGAGATACAGTTTACATATGCAGTTCACTATATATTGGCCTGTTCTGAATATTTCACACAAGTGGAATCATAATAAGCAGTCTGAATAATGCTGCTATGAATATTCATGTTTAAGTTTTGTGTGGACGTATGTTTTTGTTTCTTTTGGATATATACCTAAGCGTGAGATTGTGGGGCAGTATAGTAGCAACATTTTGGGTAATTGCCAAACTGTTTTCCAAATTAGCCATGCCATTTTACAATCCCACCAGCAATGTGTGAGGGTTCCAATTTCAGCACATCCTTAGCAATAATACTGTTAACATCTGTCTTTGTGATTACAGCTATCTTAGTGGATATGAAGTCTTCATCTCCTTGTGGTTTTGATTTGCATTTCCCTCACTGCTAATGATAATGTTCATCTTTTCATGTGTTTATTGGCTATTTGTAAATCTTTTTTTTACAGAATTCCATTAACATAAAACTATCTTAATTGTTCCAGGTCATAAGGTAGGCATTCTGTTGCTACCAACTCTTTACAGCTAATTCGTAGCTACCAGCGAATTACAGCAGAATAGTTATGAGGAACACATTTCCCATCTATCACCATTCTTTTTGTTGTTGTTTGTTTTTTGTTTTAAGACAGGGTCTCGCTCTGTTGCCCTGTGTGGAGTGCAGTGGTGTGGTCACGGCTCACTGAAGCCTCGGCCTTCTGGGCTCAAATGATCCGCCTACCTCCCAAAGTGCTGGGATTACAGGCATGAGCCACCATGCCTGGCCTGTTCTTTTTTCTGTGTACCACCTTTTCCTTATTTTATTAGACACATTTGTTTCTGTCTTAGACAAAATTGATAGCTTACATTTATTGAGGGCTTTACTATGTGCCAGACACAGTGTTAAATGCTCTGCATGTATTATTTAAGCTTTTGCAATTACAGGAAATGAAGATTCTGTTACTTTTACAGATGGGGAAACGGTGTTTTAGTAGCTTTACCAAGGTCATAATTATCTTGTGTTTGGAGACTATATTAAAACAAATTGTATACCTTTTTTTAAAAGCTTGTTTTGCCGGGTGTGGCGGCTCATGCCTGTAATCCCAGCACTTTGGGAGGCCGAGGTGAGTGGATCACGAGGTCAGGAGATCGAGACCATCCTGGCTAACAAGGTGAAACCCCGTCTCTGCTAAAAATACCAAAAAATTAGCCGGGCATGGTGGCGGGCGCCTGTAGTCCCAGCTACTCAGGAGGCTGAGGCAGGAGAATGGTGTGAACCCAGGAGGCATAGCTTGCAGTGAGCCGAGATCTCACCAGTGCACTCCAGCATGGGCAACAGAGTGAGACTCCGTCTCAAAAAAAAAAAAAAAAAGGCTTGTTTTGTTGTTGACAGCCATGTCTAAAAAGAATATACGTTTCCTACCTTTGAGTCTTAAATTCTTCAGTATTAAATCACTGGCCTCTAGTCTTCAGTCCCTGTGGCTTTTATAATTTGTTTTAAAAATTGATGACTGGTTGGGCATGGTGGCTCATGCCCGTAATCCCAGCACTTTGGGAGGCCAATATAGGCGGATTGCTTGAGCCCAGAAGTTCGAGACCAGTCTGGGCAACATGGCAAAACCTGGTCTCTACCCAAAAAAAAAAAAAATTAGCTGGGCTTGGTGGCACACGCCTATGGTCCCAGCTACTTAGGAGGCTGAAGTGGGAGGATCTGTTGAGCCCGGGAGGTCCAGGCTGCAGAAGCTACGTTCATGCCACCACACTCCAGTCTGGGCAACAGAGCGAGACCCTGTCTCATAAAAAACAATAAAAAGAAAATTGATGACCTTCTCTTAAATTTTTCTTTTTAGCTTAATGTTTTTTATTTATTTTTATTTTTAGAGACAGGCTCTCTCTCTGTACTCCAGGCTGGAGTATAGTGGTGCCGTCATAGCTCATTGCAGCCTCAAACTCTGGGCTCAAGTGATCCTCCCGCGTCAGCCTCCCAAGTGAGACTACAGGGTCTCACTTTCACCCAGGCTGGAGCACGGTGGTACAATCATGGCTCACACCAGCCTCATCCTTCTTGGGCTCAAGCAATCCTCCCATCTCAGCCTCCCAAGTAGCTGGGACCACAGGCATGCGCCACCACGCCTGGCTAATTTTTCTGTTTTTTGTAGAGAGGAGGTCTTGCTATGTTGCCCAGGCTAGTCTTGAACTCCTGGGCTCAAATGATTGGCCTGTCTTGGCCTCCCAAAGTGTTGGGGTTACAGTCAGGGGCCACAATCCCCATGCTCAGCCCAGGCTATTTTTTTTTTTTTTTTAAACGAGATGAAGTCTCACTCAGCCTCCCGAGTAGCTGGGACAACAGGCACGTACCACCATGCCCGGCTAATTTTTTTTGTATTTTTAGCAGAGATGGGGTTTAATTATGTTGGCCAGGCTGGTCTTGAACTCCTTACCTCGTGATCTACCAGCCTCAGCCTCCCAAAGTGCTGGGATTTCAGGCGTGGGCCACCGTGCCCAGCCCCAGGCTAGTTTTTAAAATAAAATTTTAGAAATGAGGTATTGCTGTGTTGCCCAGGCTGGTCTGGAACTCTACCACTTGAAAATTTTTAGCATAAAGCAATTACATTCTCACTCAGAAGTATTGTTTTAAGCTAACACTTTCAAATGGTAGTAGATTCATCATTTACAAGTTAAAAAAAAAACCTAAAAACCGGTGTTAATAGCATCAGACAGTTCAGGTAGATTTTTTAAAAGGTGATTCTTAATATAACAAAAATGCTTTGTACCTTATCAAGATAGTTTTTTACTTATCACTACTTAATGTATTAACATGCAGTATCACTGTGAAAATTAAAAGGGCTGTGAGAATTCGGAAAGTCAATGTTGTTTTCTTGTCAGCAAAGCCAAAATAATGTAGTCATAGTTTCTGAAATAAATAACTTACATTTTAAGTACATGATAAATTGATCTTTTTGCCAGAAATAGGAAAAAAAAATTCTTGTTAAAATGTGCTGAGCGCTGAACATTGTTGCATTGTTAGTGAGAATTGTATTTGGCTATTTCGTGACATTTAAACACTCTTATATTATTGAAATTTTGCAGGAGAACGCCCATATAAATGTGAACTTTGTCCTTACTCAAGTTCTCAGAAGACTCATCTAACTAGACATATGCGTACTCATTCAGGTTGGTAAGAAATTGGAACTTTTCTATCATTTTCAGTAAATGACCATTTTAAGGAAATTCTTTTAGACTTGTAACCGAGTCATTTACTTATTATTTATTTTTAATATAATTTAGAAGTCAGAATTTAAAAATCAGTATTCCGTCAATCTGGGGATTCCTAACATGGAATCCAAAGGTGGACCTCCTGAAAATGGAATTTTTGTGTACACTTTTTCTGGGAGGAGGGGCCTTAATTCTCATCAAATCTTTGAAGCGTTCCGTGACTCCAACAAAAGTTAAACTAATGTAGACCAAGACTGATTGATCTTTTAACCCCTACTTCTCATATTTCTCCTAACAGTATAAAGCTGAGAGTCACAACGTGTGGTTGACAAGTGTCAGGGATTCCTTCTTAGCTTCTCAGGTCCTGAAATGAAGGTTTGTTCTGTTTCAAGGTTTGGTCGAGCTTTTGAGGACTGACTGCAAAAGTTTAGCTTGAAAAAGAAAA